>NC_000011.10:43999393-44302424 GCF_000001405.40 Homo sapiens | reverse complement strand
GTGTTGCCCCCACATGGTTAAGTGCACCCAGGAGCCAGCTTAGGTGTTTGTGTGAGCGTGTGCACAGCATGAATGTGAGCGGTGTGTGCCGTGCCCATTCTCTCTGGGTCCACGTCCTGCTATCTGAGTGTTTCAGGGCGAGGCCGAGGGTTTGTGTGTAGTCCGGTGAAAGGCATGTCTGTCCTCTGGCACTTGTGTCTGTGTCCCCCAGTGTGCGAGCCTCAGGTGTGCAAGGGTGAGTACCCGTGTGCACGGCTCTGGAGCTTCTCTGGGTCTGTGGGTGGCATAGCCTCTGCCTCCAGAGGCGCCCCCAGGGAGAATGACTAAGCGCCCTTGCATCATGGCCTGTGGCCTTCCTGCCCCTGGTCATGGCTCCCAGGAGCAGCTGACTCACCGAGTGGCAGGCAGAATCTCCCTGTGGCAAGTCCCCGGTGGGGCCCAACCACCCCCCGCGTCATCCTGGGGCCCTCGAACATGGTCCATCCAGCCCACCCACACTGCGGCGAGGCCGTCTGACAAGCCACCAGCTCTGGAATATACCCTCTGTCCCGTGTGGCTCACTGCGGAAGAGACGTGTCCTTGGCACTGTCTGTGCCCACTGCTGACCCCATTTAGCACATGAGCAAACTGAGGCCCAAGGGGAAATGGACCCCCACAGCCAGGTTAGTAGGAGGGCAGGAACCCACCGAGTTCTCCTCCTTCCACTACAATGGGTGGAAAGGCAGAAAGTGTTGGGGAATCCAATCCACTCACCCGCTCTCTTGTTGGATGCGACTCCTGCAATAAGTCCAGTAAGTTGCACTCTCTCTGTGCATCAAATAGGGCAGATGCTTGCAGTTCTGCCTCAGTCTCCTTAGAAGTAAAGCAGACCCCGCCATGAGCTCCTGGGCATTAGAGGACAGCAGGAGAGCACCCGTGGAATCCCTGGTGGGATTGCAGGGACCTGACTCTAATGCAGCCCCACCAGGCTGGGACTCCTGCTCTCTGCCCAGCTCCCCAAGCTGGGTTTTCTTTTCCTAAGTTCTTGAAAACCACAAGCCAGGGTCAGCTGAGGCCAGATGACCAACTCCTCCCACTGTGTAGGACTGTCCACCAGGCCCTGAGGGCCTTTGGTTACATCGAGGAAACTGGTACCTCCCCTGACCCTGCAGCACACACACAATGGGTCATGGTGACATGTTGGGGGGTCTCACTCAAGGTTGGAAGAGATGGCAGTCATCTCCTGGCCCACATGTCTTATTTCACAGACAAAGGGGACTGAGAGGCTTGATTCCATTTACGCAAGGCTCACCAAACTTTGCCTGTCACTATGCCAAGCCTTGTGGGGTATTCTGGGAAGCTCTGGATGCAGCCCCTGCCTTCAGGTCCAGAGGCAGAGACAGACAAGTGACCTTGAAATTCCAGTTCAGTGGGATGGGCCCTGAGATGGGGAAAGCCCTGACTCAGGCTCTGAGGAGAAGGTCAGGCTGGCTTGCCCTGGGGCGTGCAGGCGCCACCAGGGTTTGGTAGCTTACTGGAAGCCACTTAAGGGGAGGGTGCAGGAAAGTTGGGGGAAGTTGGGATTTGTCCAGGCCAATGAGTTTTCTCTAGTGGCTGGAAATCCTGAGGCTTCTTCTCTCTTGACTTTCTCCTTTTCTCCCTCCATGCTTTCTCTTGGTTTTTCTATGGAAATAGTCATGTATAACAGCCCCCTTACTTCTCTAGTGCCACTCCATTTCTCCCTGTGTTGAATGGCACTTTGGCCCTGTCCCACCTGGGAGGGGAGTATGAGGAGGATGTGATGATGGAGAGAGGTAGTGTGTCTGCCCCGTACATCCTGCACCACCAGGTTCTCTGCCCCACCCCTCACACTATACCCTTTGAGGGTGCTAGGATATTGCAAATGATAGTGGTGGGGTTCTGATCAGGTTTTAGAGTGTGTATGTAGAGTTTGGGGTCCTCCTGGATATGTGAGCCTCCCCGATGTCTCTATGTGGCCACAAGGATCCATTCACACCTGGCTCACATCCCAGCATGGAGATGGGACAACTCCAGCTCCATGGCCTCTGACTTCAAGGAGGGAGCTCACTTTCAAATGGGGAAGACAAACATGCACATAGCTCTACTGCATGGCTCCCCTGTTGTGGCCTCAGCCTCCCCATCTCTGAACCTTCTTCATGGGACTCAGTGGTTTCAGAGGCCTTGGGGTTCTGTGATATTCACCAAGAGGGGTGAATTGGCCCTCCAGAATCCTCAAGATGCCTCAGGACCCCACACTCTTCCCCATTCATTGTACCAGGAAAGGGGGAAGGCTGGTCCAGTCTGCCAAAGGTTAAGAGTCTGGGATGCCAGGCCTGGCTCCTGGCCTGAGTTTTCCCATCTACAGGACAGAGACAATAATGGGTTTTAAGGCAAAGAAGGCTTAGAGTTGGCTGCTGCTGCAGAACCATGAGACAGCCCAGAACAACTGAGCGTCCCTGCCTGTGCGCCAGGCAGTACACCAGTGCTGCTTATGCATGATTTCACTTAATCACCATCACAATCCTATGAGATTGGTACTATTATCATCCCCATTTCGTGGATGAAAACTGAGGTTCATGGAAGATAAGTAACTCGTCCACAGTGAGACAGCCAGGAAGGAAGAGTCGAGTCTTGCTGGCCGAGGGCTCCAAGAAACCTAAAAGGCATCCTGTTCTAGAATGATCCTGATTAGACTTGAGATAACCCTAATTCCATCCCAGATGATGTGGAGATGAAAGACAGGGTCTTACAAACATGGCCCCCAGGGCACGGTGCAGTGGCTCATGCCCGTAATCCCAGCATTTTGGGAGGCCTAGGCGGGCGGATCACAAAGTCAGGAGATTGAGACCATCCTGGCTAACACGGTGAAACCCTGTCTCTACCAAAAATACAAAAAATTAGCCGGGCGTGGTGGCGGGCGCCTGTAGTCCCAGCTACTTGGGAGACTGAGGCAGGAGAATGGTGTGAACCCGGGAGGCGGAGCTTGCAGTGAGCCGAGATCCTGCCACTGCACTCCAGCCTGGGTGACAGAGCAAGATCCATCTCACAAAAAAAAAAAAAAAAAAAAAAACCATGGCCCCCAAAGCGTTCTTCTCAGCTTCACAACCGGGGATGCAGAAGACAAGTAGTGTCAGGAGTAAATTTCGGCACCTGTCAGGTTGAAGTTCTACACCTGACTCTGTGACCTTGGGCACAGCTTCCTCACCTGTACCAGGTGAAAACAGTGTCCCAGGCATGGCATAGGGCCTCATAGCTGGTATGAGGAATGACTGCATGAGTTTCCAGAAGTTTCAGGAACATGAGAGAACCTCTGATCAAGGTAGGGTGGAGCTGAGGAGCATCTGTGGGAACAGTGCCCTCTAGGAAACATGAGAGACCGCAGGAGGCTTTGTCTGTTTTGATTCCAACTTTCCCCAGAGCCTGGAGCTAGTCTATATAGTAGATGCTCAATAAATGTCTGTTGCTGAGTGAATGAATGAAGGGATCTTACAGGAGGGGAACATGCTAGGAACTCTGTAAGTCTTTCCACTCTCTCTTCGTTCATCCTTCCTTTGAATGGAGGCCTGGGGTGAGAGCCTGCTTTGTCGTTCTCTTGCATTCTGGTAGAAAATTATTGATTTTTTTTTTTTTGCAGGGTTTCCTGTGGGGTGTAGGAGCAGCGAGGCTCTGGGTAGCTCTATTTAGCACAAGTCTTGGTCTTCTCCAACTCTAGCAGTCGGAGGAGTACCCCTTTTCCTCACTGCTCCTCTTTTGGGTCTCACCCCACTGGCCACAGGCCTGCGGTCTGACTGCCACAGCCCCCGGGGTCGGCTCTAGCCAAATGGTTTTCTCCCTTCATCCCCAACTCTCCTCCTCAGGTCTCCCCCATTCCCTACAGTGAGTTCCGTGTCCTGCCCGCTGGCACCCCCATTCCTGCCACCTGCCCAGGGTGCTGCCTGAGAGCTGCTGAGGTTCCTCCCTTAGTCCCCCATTCACTCATCCTCCACCCTGGGATTCTGAGACTCACCTGCAAGGGATGCAGCCCTCTCTTCTGGCCAGGATGCCATCTGACCTCACCCGGGTTCCCAGCAGGGCATCCGGCTCCAAGGCCTGGGCTCTTCCCAGCACACCCATGATTCCGTCCACCCGTCCCACCCCGGCATATGCAATCTGAGGGCACTTGAACATCCATGGTCCCCTGAGTCTCACCAAAGGCCTAGGTGGAGGAATTGAATCTCCATTTTACAGATGGAAGCCAAAGTTCAAAGAGGGGGAACAGCTCAGAAGGAATGCATGGAGGAGTGTGCGCCTGGCAAAAGCTCCTCCTTACATCCAACAGATCCTTCAGCCTGGCACTTCTGTGTCAGGCAGGGACCAGAGTGTTTGGCAGTGAATGAACTGGCTCCTGCCCTCAGAGAGCCCATAGCCTGGTTAGAATGTGCTACATGCCATGGGAATCCCCAGGGAAGGTGAATGGATTGGGGCTTCCTGAGCATGGACATTCGAAGTGGACCTTGAAAGTTGAATAGGAGCTCACCAGCTGAAGGAGATGAAAGAGGCCCTCTAGACTCAGGAAACAGCACAAACTAAGTCTTCGGGTAAGGGAAGAACATGAAGCAAGTGTGTGGAGTGCAGGGGCATGATGCATGCCGGTGAGGTGGGCTGAGGAATGGCAGGGGCACAGCTGAAGAGAGCTTTTTATTTTATTTTATTTTATTTTATTATTTTTTGAGACAAGGTCTCACTCGGTCACCCAGGCTGGAGTGCAGTGGCGCAATCTCAGCTCACTGCAACCTCTGCCTCCCAGGCTTAAGTGATCCTCCCACCTCAGCCTCCCAAGTAGCTGGGACTACAGGCTCGTCACCACGCCCAGTTAACTTTTGTATTTTTAGTAGAGACAGGGTTTCTCCATGCTGCCCAGGCTGGTCTTGAACTCCTAGACTCAAGTGATCCTCCCGCCTCAGCCTCCCAAATTGCTGGGATTACAAGCATAAGCCACCGCGCCTGGCCCCTGGGCCATTTATTTTCTACCAAAGGGTTCAGACTTTGGGGAAGCCACTGGAGGGCTCTGAGCAAAACAGTGAGACCCCAGGCTGAGTGTTCTTTGCATGGTTCAGTATGGCCTTTGCTTTTTGCATTCAAAATCTTTATTTTAATTAAGAATGAACTTTTTATTGTGGTAAAATATACATAGCATAAAATGCTACCACTTTAACATCTACAAGTGAACCTTTCAGTGGCATTAAGTACACCCACAATATTGTGTAACCATCACCACTGTTTCCAGAACTTTTTCATCATCCCAAACAGAAACTCCATACCTATTAAACGGGAACCGCCATCACACCCTTGACCCCCCACCCAAGTGACCTCTATTCTACTCTCTCTCTGTGGATTTTCCTACTGTAGGTACCTTTTTTTTTTTTTTTTTTTTTTGAGACAGAGTTTCACTCTTGTTGCCCAGGCTGGAATGAAATGGTGCAATCTCAGCTCACTGCAATCTCCACCTCCCGGGTTCAAGCGATTCTCTTGCCTCAGCCTCCCAAGTAGCTGGGATTACAGGCACCCACCACCACACCTGCCTAATTTTTGTGTTTTTAGTAGAGATGGGGTTTTGCCACATTGGCCAGGCTGGTCTTGAACTCCTGACCTCAGGTGATCCACCCGCCTCAGCCTCCCAAAGTGCTGGGATTACAGGTGTGAGCCACCGCACCTGGCCTTAGGTACCTCTTATAGGTGGAATCATACAGTATTCTCCTTTGGCGTCTGGCCATTTGTGTATCTCCTTTGGAGAAGTGTATTCAAGTACTTTGCCCATTTTTGAATGGGGTTGTTTGTTTCCTTGTTCTTCAGTCATAGGAATTCTGGATATTAATTCCTTTTCAGATACATGATTTGCGAATATTTCTTCTCATTCTATGGATTGTCCTTTCACTCCCTGGATACTGTCCTTTGATGCACAGAAGTTTTACATTTTGATGAAGAAGTACAATTTTTCAATTTCTTTATTTTGTTGTCTGTGCTTTTGGTGTCATATTCAAGAAATCGTCAATAACTCCAGTGTCAGGAGGATTTTCGCCTATGTCTTCTTTTAAGAGCTTTATAGTTTAGCTCTTAGGTTTAGGTCTTTGATGACTTTAATTTTGAATATGACGTAACATAAGGCTCTCCAACTTCATTCTTCCTTATGGGGATATCCACTTTTCCCAGCACCATTTGTAGAAAAGATGGCCCTTTTCTCATCGACCGGTCTTGGGACCTTTGTTGAAAATCAATTGCGCATGTATTTGAGAGTTTACATCTGGTCTCTATTCTGTTGCATTTGTCTATCTGGCCCCTGAATGATCTTCTGATGTGAAGTCCAGGATTGCAGAATGTACAAGGACCCTTGTAGGCCATCCGTTCATCTCCTTGCCTGCAGGCCAGTGACCAACAGGTCACAGAAATTCAGCTCAAGGACACATTTGTTTTCCGGGACCTGGAGCTGGTGAGAAGGGGTGGAGGGCAGAGCCAAAGGCGAGGACTCTAGAGCCACAGTCTTGGCCCTGGCTAGGCCCCTGGATATTCGGGGGCCCCTCTGCCCCTTCAGTTGACCATCCCATGAGGACGTGGCCTTTGGGGAAATTCTTTTGTGCTCTGAGGGTCTATACACCCACCTCCTGAGATGCGCACATCTGGGACCACTTCCTTTATTAAGATGATTCCAGAATCCTTCCAGCGGAGCTTGGAGGAGCTCCAAGAAGGAAGCATCCAGTGGCTCCATGCTGTTGGCCCCATGCATATTTTGAAGATTTTCTGTTAGATTCCCAAAAGAGGCACTTGCAACTCCCTGTCCCCTACCCTAGGCCATCCAGTGAATGGCACAACCAGGGGCTGGGGCTCCAGGGACTAGACAGCAGAGTCCAAGGGGAGCACAGCTGCAGAGAAGTAGCTGTCCCCGGCTCCCCTTCCTAGGAACTTCCCCGGCCTAGGTGACTAAACAGAGGCCTGCTTGAGCCTGGTCTTCCAGCCATGTGCCCTAAGGCATAATTTCTAGGGTTCTTGGAAAATCATGGAAACTGTTCATTCCACAATTGTGCTACACAGGCTGCTTGATGCTTCAGATGCCTTTGGTTTGGAGAAGCCCATGAAGCTCAGGACCTGGAAACAGATTTCAGCCCACATAGCTGAGTGACCTTGGGCAAATTAGTTGACCTCTTTGCCTCAGTTTCTTTACCTGTAAAGTGGGGATAAGAATCATGTCTACCTGTTAGTGATAGGGTGAGGCTTAAATAAGGTAAAATAGGCAAGGACAAAGCCAGGTGTGGTTGCTCACATCTGTAATCCCAGCACTTTGGGAGGCCGAGGCAGGTGGATTGCCTGAGGTCAGGAGTTTGAGACCAGCCTGGCCAACATAGTGAAACCCTGTCTCTACTAAAAATACAAAAAATTAGCTGGGCGTGGTGGTGGGCGCCTGTAATCCCAGCTACTAGGGAGGCTGAGGCAGGAGAATCACTTGAACCCAGGAGGCAGAGGTTGCAGTGAGCCGAGACCACACCATTGCACTCCAGCCTGGGCAAGAAGAGCGAAACTCTGTCTCTAAATAAATAAATAAATAAATAAATAAATAAATAAATAGGTAAGGATCTTAGAACAGTTCCTGGAGCATAGTAAGTGCTCAGTCAATGTTAGCTGTTATGATTGATAAGATTTTGCTGGAACCTTGACTCTATCAGACTGGCCGGAAACCTTGACAGGCAGTTAAAGTTGACTGGGATGCATAGAGTTGGAAAATGAAGAAATTATTACTGAATCTATGATTACTGTGTGGTTGACATTGTCTTTTAAAACATGGATGAGTGATGGGAGGGGCGGGGGCTGCCATCTCTACCTAACGCAGCGGGGGCAGGCTTCAAGGAGGGACAAAGGCCACCCAGGCCCCTCAGGCCCCTCCTCCCCATAGGCTGCTGCACCTCGTACACATGTGTCATGAGCTGGGGAATAACTCTCTCCCTGCTGAATGTGTTTTCTGTGTTTATTTGACCCAGAACTTCAGCCTGTCCCCAGGGCAGGGGTTCTGCTGTGTTCCTCTCTGATCAGCACAGGGCTGAGCACAGAGAATCGGGCTCAGGGAATGTCAGGCAACCTCTGCACCCTTCCTGGGCCCCAGCTTCCTGGGCCCCATCTGCAATTAAGAAAGCACCTGGTGGGCATTGCCCTTGGCCACACCTGGACTGAGACTTTTTGTGGAAACCCACTGGGAGATATTAGTATCCTCAATTTGAAGATGAGGAAGGTGAGGCTGTCCCGCTGTGAATTGAACCCAGATCTCCTGAAGCCAAAGAGCCTTTTTCCTCCCCTGCCCAGGGGGCTCATGCCCACTGCCTGGATGCCCTCATGCCTATGTGCCCATCAGACTTGACCAGCATGTGAGAGCTCTGTAGACGGTGGAGGGGGTGCACTGGGAGGGGTTTTCAGCACACTGCATGTTGTACGTGGGCTACACCATCTTCGCCCATCTACTGAAATGATGACCATGTCCCCTGACCGCCCAGACACCACTCCCTCCTCCCTCCAGAGCCATCCTGAGAACCAGGCCAGCCCAGCCCAGGACCCCCATGTGATATGTGGGAGCAGCTCCTGTGGGTAAAGAAGGAGGAGACAAACCCTTCTAAACAGAACGAGTAATAGCCTCCTCACTAGCCCAGTGTTGGCGAAGCCAGGGGCAAGAGGCCAGTTTGGAAATATTACTTGTACCATGTGGCAGGTGGACAGTGAGGGCCAGGCCTCCTCAGGGAATGTATGTGCCCAAGCTCTGCTGTATTAATGCATCCCCCAGGATTTAGCCCCATGAGAGAAGATTCCACAGAGCCCAGTTTTGTGCTACACAAAGTATCCTCTCAGGAGATCTATCCCGTTGCAGGGGATCCATCCTGCCAAGAAGTAGTAACAGGTGGAAAAGAGATGTATTTGTCTCACGTTCGCTGTGGATTAAGGTTTGCTTGGTAGAAGGGACACACCATGCATTATATATATATTTTTTTTTCTTTTTTTAAGATGGGGTTTTGCCATGTTGGCCAGGCTGGTCTCGAACTCCTGACCTCAGGTGATCCGCCCACCTCAGCCTCCCAAAGTGCTGGGATTACAAGTGTGAGACACTGCACCTGGCCACATCATGCATTTTAAAGAAGAGACTTTTTTGAATTTTTTATTTTGTTCAGATGAGCAGAAGTCAATGAAAAAACCATTTTCTTCCTTCCTTCCCTCCCTCCCTCCCTCCCTCCCTGCCTGCCTGCTTCCTTCCTTCCTTCCTTCCTTCCTTCCTTCCTTCCTTCCTTCCTTCCTTCCTTCCTTCCTTCCTTCCTTCTCTCAGACAGGGTCTCACTATCACCCAGGCTGGAATTCAATGGCTAAATCATGGCCCACTGCAGCCACAACCTCCTGGGCTCAAGCAGTTCTCCTGCTTCAGCCTCCTGAGTAGCTGGGACTACAGGCTTGTGCCACCACGCCCAGCTAATTTAAAAATTTTTTTTATAGAGATGGGGGTCTTACTGTGTTGCCCAGGCTGGTCTCAAACTCCTGAGCTCAGGCAGTCTGCCCACGTTGGCTTCCCAAAGTGCTGGGATTACAGGCATGAGCTACCATGCGGGGCCAAAAGAACCATTTTTAACTAACATGTTAATTGTGAATGCTGAAACATTGATTATTTATATTTTATCCTTACTATATGTGATAGGCAAAATCCTGGGAACCCATCTACTCCAAATCCCAGTCATTTATACAAAAACACCAACCAAAACTTTTAGGTATAATTATCCTTTAGATATTTTGAATTGTTAACTATTTTATAGTTGTAAATGTGGATTTTTTAAAAAGCAAATATTGAAGAATCTTTCCCATTCTTATCAACTTTAAGGAAGTTGATGACTTTCCTAAAGTACAAACTAGGACTGGGCATGGTGGCTCATGCCTGTATTCCAGCACTTTGGGAGGCTGAGGTGAGACAATTGCTTGAATCCAGGAGTTTGAGACCAGCCTGGGCAACATAGTGACACCTCGTCTCTACAAAAAAAAAAAAAAAAAAAAAAATTTAATTAGCCAGCTGTGATGTTGTGTGCCCATAGTACCAGCTACTCAGGAGGCTGAGGAGGGAGGATTGCTTGAGCCCAGGAGGTTGAGGCTGCAGTGAGCTGTGATTGTACCACTGTGCTCCAGCCTAGGCAACAGAAAAAAAAAAAGCAATCTTATAATTAATTGAGCCATTACTTTCCCTTTCTCATCCAAGGGGAGAAAAGCCTTGTTGCTTTTTCAGTTTGTAAGTGATTCTCTAGATTGGAATGAGTATATTTGGGCCAGGCGAGGTGGCTCACACCTGTAATCCCAGCACTTTGGGAGGCCGAGGAGGGTGGATCTCGAGGTCAGGAGTTCAAGACCAGCCTGGCCAAGATGGTGAAACCCCACCTCTACTAAAAGTACAAAAATTAGCCAGGTGCAGTGACCAGTGCTGGTAATCCCAGCTACTCGGGAGGCTGAGGCAGAAGAATGGCTTGAACCTGGGGGGCAGAGGTTGCAGTTAGCCGAGATGGCATCAATGCACTCCAGCCTGGGTGACAGAGCGAGACTCCGTCTCTATAAATAAATACATAAATAAAAATTAAAGAAGGAGCACATTTGAGAAAGAAAAGATTTGATGTTGGTGAAAGCAGCACATTCTTTCTGGGATCATATGCTGCTTCTGCAGGCTAAGAAATTCAATTGTTTGGCCAGGCGCAATGGCTCATGCCTGTAATCCTAGCACTTCGGGAGGCTGAGGCGGGCGGATTGCTTGAGCTCATGAGTTCAAGACCAGCCGGGACAACAAGAGTGAAACCCTGTCTCTACTAAAACACAAAAAGCCAGGTGTGGCGGCATGTGCCTGTAGCCTCAGCTACACGGAAGGCTGAGGCAGGAGAATCGCTTGAACCCAGAAGGCGGAGGTTGCAGTGAGCCGAGATCGCACCACTGCACTTCAGCCTGGGCAGCAGAGCAAGACCCTGTCTCCAAAAAAAGAAAGAAAGAAAGAAAGAAATTCAATTGTTTAAGATTAGCTCAATTCAGCACGTACTTGGGTGCCAGACAGTGACAACAGGCAGGGCGAGTGATAACGCTGCCTCGTAACACCCCTCCCCTGCCCTTGGTGAGGGCACAGTCTAAAGGCAGAGGCTGCCGTGAATCCACTCTTTAAAAGTTTTTTTAAGTCTATATAACCAAATAAATTTAACATTTGATTTTTACAGCAGTTGCCAATGTTTCACCCCATTTATAGTCTTTGTTATATGTATGTGAAATGGGCCCTTCATTGAAAGGGACCCTGGGAGCTACTTTTGACAGAGGTTTATGGTTCATAAATGTCATTCTGGGAGCTGCCGCTCGGGAAACCTGAACTGGAGAGGATGCACCTGGGGAAGGAAGCAGGTGGGGGTGACACAGTTGCAGGCTGAGCAACGTTGCCCTGGCTGTCAGCTGCCACGGCCAAATTCATCCCCAGATCATAACTGTGTTAATATATCATGGCAACGTCCCATTGATAGAGTGGGTGCCGTGTGTGGGTCAGGGGATATGCCGTCTTGCACTCTACTTCAGTCAGACCTCACAGCCATTCTGGGATGTGGATGTTCTCAGCCTCATCTTACAGATGAGGAAACTGAAGCACACAAAGGTCAAGTCACTTTTCCAAGGATACCCTTCTGTGGCAGAACCACAAGGTGGCTTGGGAGCCTCCTTAATAATCTCCTTTAGTCGGCTCCCATTTCTTTCATGGGGAAAACTGGCATTCCCTAGTCTTATGTGAAGCGTTAGCTAAACACAGCTTCAACAGACCTCTCCAACAACATTGCTGCTTCAAAACACCTCCTCTACAGAGATCTGGAGTCGCCCCAAGGCTGGGCTAGGTGCCCCTGCCCTGGTCACCACCCTGCACTGTAACCATGGCCCCTGTCACTGAGGCGAGCCATTTGAAGGAAGGGACTGTGTTTTACTGGGCTTTATATTTTCACCACCTGGAACTTTGCCCAGTGCATAGCTGGTGCTCCAGGAATGCTGTTGAATGAATCAATGTAGCAAATAAGTGGCAGAGCCAGGGGCCAAGCCCAGGCCTGTCCTACCCCAAAGACTTCTCAATCATTTCATTTTGCCTCGTGCAGGATCTAAGCTCCTCCATCTCGCCAGCCTCTGGATGAAAGTGATATTACAGTGTCTTGGTGAAGGTGGTGGAGCTGCAGGATTCTTTCTGCTACAGAAGGGAAACAGAGGCTTGGGGGAATTAAGTGAGAGATGTCTTGGGACACGCCCAGGGCCACATGGTTTAGGGGGCTTGAGAGGGACAATGGGCAGACAGACCACAGGGCTGGATGCAGGAGGTGCAGGGTTCAAGTCCTGGCCCTTCCATTATCAGGCAGTATGACCTTGCTCTGGGCCTCCGCATCTTGGCTGTGAAGGGAGGGTCTGGTCCAGTGGGGTCTCTGAACCCTGCGGACGTATTGCTGGGATAGGGGAGAGCATGGGAGACTCTGTTTCTCTGGCAGTGGGTCCTGCCGGGGACAGGGTCTCATCCAACCACCCACGCCATGAGATGGAGCTTGGGGATGGGACGAGGAGCCGGGAAACTTCTAGCCTCCTTGAGGAGAGAAGCTGACAGGGGCACTTAGAGCCCAGACTGAAGCTGGAACACCCATCCCACCCCAGGAGGCATCAGGAAGTGATCTCCAAGTGTTAGATCATACATGGGCTTCTCATGGAGACCCTGAAGCTTGGTTTACCCTAGTCCTTTGAGATAGAAATGACCCCAGTGGCTCAGCAATGCCCCCTTAGAACAAAATGAAGCCTGCCTGACCCCTCCATGTTAGAAAGATAACTCATCACCACCTTGAAAGGCAGTGGACTTGGCATGGGACCATCCAGTCTGCCCCTCCTAGCTATGTGATCTTGAGCAAGTTATTCATCTTCACTGGACCTCAGTTTTCTCATCTGTGAAACAGAGATACCAACACTGACCTCATGGGATCTGGGGAGGGTCAGAGGAGATAGTGGGTGGGTCAGGGCAACACGAATACAAGGCATTACATTATTGCTGTCATGGTTGTAATCAGCCCTGGTTGGAGAGCTCCTGTCTAAGGAGCTTGGTAATTTGGGATTTGCCCTATTTGGGGTGAGGGGATGGTATCTTGGTATCTTGTTTTACCATAAAATGCAACATGCCTTGCCGAGCCTTCCTTGACTGGCAATACCCAATTCAAGAGCCACTCCATTGCAGAGGCCTTCTCCGACCTTTTCAACCAAAATTGACCGCTCCTTTCTGTGGGCCCTGCCGTGTCTGGGAAACAAGACTTTTGCCCTGGGGACCCTGGAACACTTGACCGTGCTTGTCCCTCATGCATCTCTTCCACTAGGCCATGATTCCTAAGGGAAGCTCTGAATGAATCAGTAAGGCAAGACACAGGGTGGGGGAGAGAACAGGAAAGACAAATTCCAGACACAAGCTGGGGGATGGAGGGGACCCAGGCCTTGGCAGAGGGGCCATGGGGGCTGAGGGCTGGACAAAGTTTAGGGTTCTTTCTTTCCACCATTTCTTTTTTTTATACAAGGAAACTTTACTCATTTGGACTAACTGTAGGACAGTTGAAATTACAGTAGACTCAAAAATTAAAGTACTTTTTAAACTTTTAAGTTCCAACAGTAGCTTGACCTTGGTCTCCTACAGCTCTCAGAAGAGCTGCTTAAAGGAGCCCCATGTTCTAATTGGGTCACAGTGGCTTCCACGGGAGTGAGGGCTTCCAGAGGGCTGGGGAGCAATGTGTGCTCCCAGAGTTGGCATTTGTCTTGTGATTTTTATTGCAACGTACAAGGCCCCTTGTAGAATTATGAATGGTGGTGGTGATGAGGGGAAGGCGGGGAGGTTGCCAGGTAAACTCATCCAGGTCCTGTTCAAATGATTACATATGCCAGCTTCACAAGAGGGGTTCCTAGGGAAGGTGCCTTCTTTCCATTAGTCCACATACCTTTTCTTTTAAAAACCTTTTTATTTTGATACAGTATTACACTTAAAGTTATAAGTGGACTACAAAGAATTCCCAGATGCCTTTTATGCTGACTCCCCAAATGGTGATGTTTTGCCATATTTGCATTATTTTCAATCTCTCTGGGTCTCTCTCTGTGTCTCTCTCTGTGCATATGCTCTGTTTATGTATGTATTGATATACATGCATACGATATACAGCTGTATCATTTAACAGTAAGTTGCAGGCTGGGCGCAGTGGCTCATGCCTGTAATCCCAGCACTTTGGGAGGTCGAGGAAGGTGGATCACCTGAGGTCAGGAGTTCGAGACCAGCCTGGCCAACATAGGGAATCACTTGAACCCGGGAGGCAGAGGTTGCAGTTAGTCAAGATTGTGCCACTGCACTCTAGCCTGGGCAACAGAGCAAGACTTTGTCTAAAAACAAACAAACAAAAAAAGAGTAAGTTGCAGACATATGACTCATATGCCTCTTTGCCTCTAAGTACTTCAGTGTGTGTAGGCCCTGAAACAAGGCACTGGTCCACATCTGAGGTCCCAGATGGTCAATGAAGTTGATCTTCAGCAGAGCAGTTTGATCAGGGGCAGCCTTGAAGGTTGTTGCAAGGGGGCCAATCTCTTGAGGCAGCTGAGAGCAGCCATTCTCCTGTGACTTCCTCCCTTCCTCCTTGACCCTGTCTCCTGTCTGCCTGTCCCAGTCCCACCCACAGCATCCACCCCAGGAGGGCCCAGTAGGCATGCTCCAGGCATGAGATTCAAGTCTCAGCTCTGCCTCTTACCAGTTTTTTGTTTTCTTTTCTTTTCTTTTCTTTTTTTTTTGAGACAGGTCTCTGCCTCTGTCACCCAGGCTAGATGGAACTCTGGGGTCAAGTGACTCTCCCACCTCGGCCTCCCAAAATGTTGGGATTACAGGCATGAACCACCACCCCTGGACCTTCTTAACAGTTATTGATTCTTAGCAAGGCATTTACCCCCTCTGGCCTCAGTTTCTGGGGCTATAAAATGGAAACCTGGCGGTTGTAAAGAGGCTGGAACCCTACTGGTGGCATAATAGATGCCCTAGTACTTTGTAAAGTACAAAGCCCAGTTCCTGGTTTTGTTTAGTTTGTTTGTTTGTTTTTTGTTTTTGCGAGAGCCCAGCATTAATCCCTTTTCGTTCCTGGACTCTGGGAAGCCCACTCCATCTCTAGACTAAGAGAAAAACAGTCCTCCCCACTCACCCCTGCCATTGCAGGAAGAACTGAGAGAGCTTCTGTGTGAGGGCGGAGCAGTGGAGGACGGGGTGGCAGACCCTGCCTCGGCGGATGCCTGCCTCGGGAAGAACCCACGGGGAAGCTGGTAACAAGTCTGCCAGCCACATGGAAAGCCGCTGGGCCAAACGACAGGGGTGTCCTAGGGAGCTTTTGCAAGGCAAAGGCTTTTGCAAGTTAGTCAGTTTCCTGAGCACCCACTGTGCGCCACCCTCTCTGGAGGGCCAAGGAATCCCCATGGGTCTCCAAAGGGAGGCCACTTAAGGAATGAAAAAGAGCCCAGGTCTCAGCCTGTCTGTCACTCAGTCACTAGTGACACTGGTGGGTCCCTTCTCTCGGCGCCTCACTTTGACCGTCTGTCCAATGAGGATGCTGGGGCCACAGTGTGGGAATTCTGAGGAGACTGGAATGAGGCAGGAATGTGAAAATACCCAGAACTAGGGGAGGAAAGACCCCTGCAAGGAAGGCCAGCGACCCGCCCCATCCATCTCTTTGTCCCTTGTAGTGCTGGAATGGTGGCAGACGCGTAGTAGGGCTGAATTACTGCTTGAGTGGCAAATCCTCCCAGCTAGGACCTGGGTCTTCAAACAAACGTCTAGAAACCTCATTAGGCACTGGGGCCCCAGGATCATCACCTTCCGTCCAGTGACTTTATTGGAACTGCAGTGCCTCCTGGTGGCCAGCATGCACAACTGCAGTCTTGATCTTGGCCTGCTGGGAGTTGGGCCCTGGAACCTGAATGCTTAGCCTTCTGGGTAAGCAGCCAGGGCCGGGGACTCCTCTTCAGTCTTGGCTTCCCACAGGGCTGTGCCCCTCCATCTCCTCTTCTCATACCCCTCCCTGGCAGGAATTCATGCAATGTTGTTGAGCTGAGCAAACAGAAGGCAAGAGGTTTGTCCAGGGCCAGGGAGCTGCCGGGGTCATCTTTGGTCCTTCCTGCCCTGCGCTGTGGCTGGTTTCCTCGACCCCCCTCATCCTGAAAGGTCCCTTCTTCCGACTCCATGCAGCAGCCTCCTGACACAAGCAGTGTGTGCAGGGGACCAAGGACCTCCTGTGTCTGGAGCCCAGCTCCAGGGCCTGGGGCCTTTTCCTGCAGACACACTGGCCACCCTCAGCTGTGCCTGCAGAGCTGCCCCAGCCAAACCAGAGGCAGAAGGAGCCCAGAGGAGTCTCCCTCAACCCAGGCACACACAGGCATTTGCATTAATTCCAGGGGTGTGTCCTGAGCCCTTACTCACACGAGGCCCAGGCCCCAGCAGTACATCTGGGAGGCCCACTCTGACCAGCTCACAGTCTAGGGAGGGAGCAGGCCCATGAGCCGGTGCTGTAAAGCAGGGGATTCAGTGTTTAAGAGGCAAGGGAGGTCCTGGAGGAAGAAGGGTGGCCCTTGGCTGAGCTTTGAAAGCCCAGGAGAGGGAATTCACAGCAGAAGAAAACAAAAAATAAAATGTTCCATAGTTAAAAAATAAAAAAAAAAAAAGGAAAGACAAGATCTCACTTTCATCCATCGTGCTGGCAAAGATTTTAAAAACACTATAATGACCATTATTGGCTCTGAAGTGGGAGGGGACACCGTGGTAGCTGAGGACATTACATGTTTCTGGAAGACAACTTGGCCGTGTTTCTCAGAGACCCTCAGATATGTGGATAATTGAACTTCATATTTCTAGTTCTTGGAGCTTCTCCTAAGGGAATCGCCATGCATGTATTGAGAGATTTAAATCACAGACCTGCTATGATTTCAAACAAGTAGAAACCTGTGAGCCCAACAGAAAAGGATGGATTAAATAAAATAGTGATTGTTCTCGCTACGTAACCATTAAGGATGGTGTGGTAGAAGAATATAGAACAGCATGGAAAGGGGTACGGAATATGGTTAGATTTTACTAAAATGTTTATAGGCTGGGCACGGTGGCTCACGCCTGTAATCCCAGCACTTTGGGAGGCCCAGGAAGGCAGATCATCTGAGGTCAGGAGTTCGAGACCAGCCTGGCCAACATGGCGAAACCCTGTCTCTACTAAGAGTACAAAAATTAGCCGGGCGTGGTGCTGGGTGCCTGTAATCCCAGCTACTCAGGAGGCTGCGGCAGGAGAATAGCTTGAACCGGGGAGGCGGAGGTTGCACTGAGCCAAGAGTGCACCACTGCACTCCAGCCTGGGCGACAACAGCGAGACTCCATCTCAAAAAAAAACACAAAAGTTTACAAAGTAATGTTTTCTCTGTGTGTGTTTGTGTGTGTGTGTGTATGTGTATGTGTGTGAGTGATTTTCTTTTGGTCTGTCTTGATTTTTTTTTAATCTTCCATATAGAACATAGATTACATTTGTAATGCGAAAGAAAAGTCACAAAAGTTACAGAGAAAGCTATCCAGGTGAAAGTAGTAGTTAGCCACAGACAGGAGAGGCAGAGAGACATGCTAGGTAGAAGGAAGGGTGCCCGCAGGAGTGCGGAAGCCTGAAGATACTCGTGCAGTGCGCTGCAGAGCGGAAGCAGGTCTCTGAACCTCAAGCTAGATGGAAGGCTGGCGTGTAAGTCCGTGAGTCTGGTGGGGACCAGTCCTGCCTTCGGGACCCTGAATGCCACATAAGCCTGATGTACAGGGTTGGCAGATTTAGCAAAAAGCAAGCAAGCAAACAACAAAACCAGGTTACTCAGTCAAATCTGCATTTGAATAATGAATAATTTGTAGGATAAAAGTATTTCTTGTGCCATATTTGGGATATACTTATATTGTTTAAAGTGTTAACTGTTTATCTAAAATTCCAGTTTAACTGAGTCTCTCCAAGTGGTGCTTGTCTCTTGCTTCCCATAATCCCACAGCACAGAGCCCAGCCCGCTCTCAGAGCATGCACCATCCAGGATTCTAATCACTGCTTTCAGATATTTCAACCTGTTCCTGGGAAAACAAATAGAAAATTAATTCAGACCAGCCCCGCCCCGCCCCCCAAAAAAAGAAAAGAAACAAAATTAACCCATAGACCCATATTGCCACTTCTGGAAACTTGTAGTATTTTCTGAGGACAAATGCTCCACTCCCTTCCTCTTTTTGATCAAAATGAGATTTATTTGATATAAATTGAACATCTTTGCATGTGTTAAAACGCTATCCTTTCTTAGCATCATCTCATTCATTTGTTCATCAAATGTTTACTGAGCATCTACTGCATGCCAGCTATGATACTAGGTGTTACACAGCAGGGTAAACAAAGCACACATGTTCAGATATATTCCCTGCTCCATGGGAGGGAGAGAGAGAGAGACAATAAACAAGGGGAAAACAGAAGAACAAATAAATACCTAATATTGGCGCGGTGGTCCATGCCTGTAATCCCAGCACTTTGGGAGACCAAGACGGGTGGATCATTTGAGGCCAGGAGTTCAAGACCAGCCTGGGCAACATGAGGAAACCCCGTCTCTACTAAAAATACAAAAATGAGCGGGGTGTGGTGGCCCATGCCTGTAGTCCTGGCTACTCAGGAGGCCGAGGTCCGACAATCGTTTGAATCTAGGAGGTGAGGTTGCAGTGAGCCGAGATCGAACCACTGCACTCCAGCCTGGGTGGCAAAGCGAGACTCTGTCTCAAAAAAAGAAACAACGTGCAGAATAAAGACTATCAGGAAGGATCTTCCATTTATGGAAATATCATCCTTTATTTAACCAATCCCCTATTGTTGAATATTTTGATTACTGTCGGTTTTCCTACATATTAAACTATGACATGATGAACGTTCTCTCTAGTGAATGCTTACCATCATTTATTGAGTAAATTCCTAGAAGTGAGATTTCTGGGTGAAGGCATATAAACTTTTAATTTAGTTTTTGTTTTATATATATGAACACAATTTTGTATTTTCTTTTTAGTTACATTTTTTAAAATTTGAAAACAACATGCTGTAAATTTTTTTTTTTTTTTTTTGAGATGGAGTTTTGCTCTTGTTGCCCAGGCTAAAGTGCAATGGCATGATCTCAGTTCAGTGTAATCTGCACCTCCCGTGTTCAAGCGATTCTCCTGCCTCACCCTCCCAAGTAGCTGGGATTATAGGTGGCTGCCACCATGCCCGACGAATTTTTGTATTTTTAGTAGAGATGGGGTTTCACCGTGTTGGCCAGGCTGGTCTCAAACTCCTGACCTCAGGTGATCCACCATCCGCCTCTGCCTCTCAAAGTGCTAAGATTACAGGCGCAAGCCACCACGCCCAGCTGTAAAAAACTTTTTGGTATATACTTTTATGAGTTTTAACACACTCATGTATAGATTCATGTATTCACTGCCACAGTCAGGATACAGAATAGTTCCATCACACCAGTGCAAGCCCTTTGTAAACAAACCTTCCCCCTCCTCCTACACCTGGCAACCAGTGATCTGTTGCCTAGAGTCCCCGTAGTTTTGCCTTTCCCAGAATTCATGTGCTAGCTGAGTGCAGTTGCACTTCATGTAAATTTGAGACTGGCTTTGTTTACAGACCCTAAGGCCACCTTTCAGATTCATCCATGTCATTGTCAACAGTTCTTTCTTTTCACTGTGGAGTCGATCCATGGCCTGGATAGACCACAGCTTGCGTCTCCATTCCCCTGTCAAAGGACACTTGGGGGTGTCTCCATTTCGGGGTGATTCTGAATAGAGCTGCTGCAGACATTTGCCTATGGGTTTGGGTTCCTCTCCTCTTAAAATAAGTCATTATTTCTGTAGGGTAAATACCTAGGAGTGGGATTGCTGGGTCATGAGGTCAGTGTTAGTTTAACTAGATAAGACACCGCCCAAGTGTTTGCACTGTGATGGATGGGAGTTCCGGGTGCTCCATACATCGCCGTAACTTGGCATCATCAGGTCTTATTCCCACTGTGATAGGCACATAGTGGTATCTCATTGTGCTTTTAATTTGCATTTCCATAGTGGGTAATGAGGTTGAGCATATTTCATGCTTATTTGCTCCCTGTAGATCTTCTTGGGTGAAGTGTCTGCTAGAATATTTTGCCCACTTTTTGTTAAATATTACTATTAACTACACTCCACACTTTATTCAGATTTCACTGGCTTCCCCCAATGTCCTTTTACTGTTCCAGCATTCCCCCCAGAACACATTGATTACACTTAGTCCTCATGGTTCCTTGGCCTCCTCTAGTCTGGGGCAGTTTCTCAGACTTTCCTTATTTCGAGAGCATTTCAGGGCTTGGGTTGGTGGCTGTGGGTGAGCAGGATGGCCTGTGCCACTGGCTAGCCTGAGGACTGCCATTTCCACCCCACCCTCTGCTGAAGATTGGCAGCCCCTTGAGGGCCGGGACACTGTCTGTCTCTGCAAACAGCTGTGCCCCGTGCATGTGTGCTGAAATCTAAGCCCAGTCACTACTACCCCTTTGGCATTATTTATTGGGACTGGAGCTAAATTAGGGACATTCAAGTTGAGCTCTGGACAGACCCCAGTGTCAGATGAGGTGGGGTGGGGACGTGATCAATGGCTAAACTTTAACCTCCGCCCTCACCCCCACAGGACCGTTTGGACAGCAGTGGGTTTAGTCAGTGCCCTTTCAATAGCATGAAAGGGCCTCATGCTGGCCTGTTTTTTTTAAGGAGATTACATCGGTGTGTGCACTCCGCCACAGGGTGTGTGGGGCCAGCTCACCCGAGAACAGAGCAAGCGGCATGTCCCCCACAAAGCAGATGTTTGGAGGAAAAATAGATGTAATCAAAACCATGGAGGATAAAATGACTGAGACCCCTTAGCGCCATATGCATGGGCCTGTGCACGGCTCCACACAGGCCCACACCACCCATGTCCACACCCACCCACGCGGATCTGCACCCACACACAACTGCCCACGGGGACACACATCCCACTTGTGTGCCTGCGCTTGACCACACAAGCATGCACACTCCACAAACCTATCCACAAGCAACTACACATATGTTCCCCACACCCACTCACAATGGCAGACTTGTGCCACAGGCCCTCGGGTGTACATCTGTACATACAGATGCTACCAGCACCCTCTCCCTAAAATGGCTCTAGAAGGTCATTCTTTAAATCACGGCCAAAAAAAAAAAGAAAGAAAGAAAAAAGAAAAATCAGTCACCTTTGGAAACCTCTCAAGGGTTTTCCTGTTTTAAAAAGGTAAAACTAGATTAGAGTGATGCCATTGGGTTGAACCAGGACAGATGGGTAGAGGTTAAGGGAACGAAGCAAGGCTTTCCACTTCATGCATTTCTCCAGCTGAAATCCAACAGCCAGGGGTTCCCAGCACTAGAAACGACAGCTCCCAGTGGTACGGGGGTCCCCCCAGGGGGAGTTCCAGCAGAGGTTGAAGGGCTCAGTGGCTCCCGATTGAGAATACAACCTTGAACTGAATGCTTCCCACTTCATCAAAAGCAGTCTATGGCAATAATGCTGACCTAGGATTGTTTGAAGAGCACTGGATACCATGATGGCCACACTGCGTGCACAACACCCTCCGTGGAGCAGGCATTGCTCTCAGTGATGTAGGTTCACTACTTGATTGATGGCTCTAAGTAGTCAGGGGTTTACTTCCAGATCAAGACTGGGAAGCTGCAGATTGGGACTACATTGTCTTGGACCCCATAGCCTCAGCCCTGGGACAAACTCATCATGGGAGGGGCATCAGCATAGAGCCTTTCCGGGTCCACAAGGAGCTGCTCCAGGGAGGATGTGAGAAGTCCAACCCCTGGCGGGTGGCCTGGACCCACGCTGGGCGCTGTTGCTGCTCAGCCTTATGCCAGCACGAGGTGCCCCAAGGCTCTGAAGAAGGCTTGCCCAGCATCCAGGCAAACTGAGAGCTCCCTGGCGGTCTTCTCTACCCCAGTGTGGTGGCAGGGTGGGTGTGGAGCCAGTTCCTGGCAGATCCTGGACTGGGTTTCTGGACCTTGGTTTCAATTCTGGAGCCGCCCCTATGAAGCCCGTCTCTGCTTCTCCTTCTGTCCCTTGCTCTCTGCATGGAGACATCGCTCAAGGTCTGTCTGGGTCTTTCTTCTCTCCTGTCTCCCGCAGTGACCTTTGCTGTTTGTGCTGTCAGCCTTGAATGGTGGCATTCGTCATTGCGTGCCCTTTTTCAATGTATCCCACCCGACTTTCTCCCCAGTGGGTAGGAGGATGAGGCGGTTGGTTCATTTACTCGAGAGACATTTTCTGCACATGCTCTATAGAACATCGGCTCACCAAAGGTGCACACAGATACCTGGACAGAGCGAGAGCTCAGTGATGTTTGTTAGTTAGAAATTGTTCATTTATTCCTCAGCAACCTCTTACTGCATCTCTGCCACCTGACCTATCCTGTGCTGAGCCTCAGGCTGAGAAGGGACAAACGGCATGAGGTCCCAGCCCCTGGGGAACTGACATTCTATAGGAGGAGCTGGACATTCGGGGCTTGATGAGATTACGAGTCAGCAAACATAGGCAGTCAGTGGAGAGGGTGAGCAGAGGATGGAAAACAGTCACAATCTGGGAGGGCTTCCTGGAGGAGCATTGGATCTTGGAGGTCAGCTGGAAGGAGGAACATGCCAGGCAGGGGCCCGAGATGGGGACTTGGGGGACCAAGGTCAGTGGTTTCCTTTGGTCAGGAGCAGTCAGCCTGAGCCATGGGACTTCTATTTTCAGCAGCCGTCTTGCTGAGGAGGGCACCTTGCGGGGAGTCAGATCTGACCAGCACCCAGGCCTTCAGCTACCATGCTGACACTCCAGCCAGCCCGGGGTCATCTCCCTGGAGAGCAATCTGCTGGCTTTGCCCAGGGCCCAGCCCCACTCCTCATATCATCCCTGCCACCCTCTGTCTCACACAGGCCGGAGAAACTCAGGGCCACCCGAGGAACAGCAGTGGGAACTGCAGAAGGAAGGGAGACTCAGAGGGGTGGCAGTAGCCTCCCAATGTCCGCAGGGACAGGGCTGTCATGGGGAAGGGCGCTGGGGGGTTAGAACTGGAATCAGTGAACCAGACCTACAGGAGACAGACATGGGCTGGGTCTAAAGATGAGTAGTTCTGCTGTCCTGGGGGCAGTGAGCTCCCTGCTACCCTAGACTGGAACCAGCGCCAGGTGGAGATGCTGCAGGGTGGCGAGAGGTGGACATAGACAGCCTGAGCTTGGGGTCTTAGGACTCAGACTCTGAGAGGGCTGTGCTTGTTATTCTGACCAGTTGAGTGGAGCTGCAGAACTTCAGGGAATTTTTCTTTGTTGTCTAAATGAGGAACCCAGCCTCAGAATTTAAAGCAAGCTGACTCAAGACAGGTTAGAAGGCTTGCTTCCTTCTTCCTTGAGGAACCAGGAGCAGCGCTCCCCTGAATTCCTTCCATCTCTGACACAGGCACACCCTCCCCCTCTCCTCCCCTCCCCAGGTCCTCAGGGACAGTCCTGGCTGCTGGTGAGCAAGGGAGGAGGGACCCTCAACTACCCCGCTCTCCCTATTTGTAGGTGAGACTCCAGAGATGAAATGGGTCATCTGAAGTCCTGAGAAGAGCGGGGGCCGAGGCCAGGGCTCCCAACTCTTGGCCTGGTGGTCTTCGCACACCCTGTGCCACCTCTATCTCTGCCTGCTCACTTGGTCTCAGTGGGCAGCTGGAGGTGGGCAAAACTGGACCCTTACTTGTCACCATGAAGACTGGACCTTCTGCCACTTCCCCTGAAAGGCCAAGAGCTGGCTCAGTGCTGAGAGGCTGCCCCCAGGCCGCATCCTCACTCCCTCATCCTCAAGGGCTGGTCCTGCCCCCCACAAGATGGACAGAGCAGGACGCCTTGGTCATATGAGGCCCCTGGGTTCCTTCTGCCCCTACCTCTCTCCCTGGGAATAAGGCCTAAGACCGCAGGGGAGGGAGTAGAGGGCAGGCCAGGAGCTGAGAGGCTGTGCTCTGTCCGGAATTGGGGCATGTTCCCTTCTCTCTCTGGCCTCAGTTTCCCCCCAGTTAAAACTAGGAGTTCAGGCTGGTCCATACCAACTCTCAGTTCCTGTAACATGGAGCTCCCATTGCTGTGCAGGGTGGTCCCAATCCCCAGCAAGCGTCTATGGGGCTGTGAGATGGGGCCTGGGGATCAGAGCTCAGGGCTCAGTGCTCACCTCCCTCAGCCCCTCATCTGGCTTCCAGGAAGTTGCAAAACAGGGATGGTTATTTTTGTGAGGCTGGGTGGGGTTTCTAAAAAAAAAAAAAAAAAACCTAAAACATAAAATGTATTTGTCTGCCAGGAAGATAAATATCTTTGCTGAAAGCTCTTGGCCCAGCTGCCAGCTGCAGTTTGCAGAATGTTGTCACTGAAGCCATGGCTGTCTGCATGTGCCTGGGCTCACACAGGTGTCATGCGTGATGCCGCTGGGCCGGTCGTGCACCCCCATGGCGTCTGCACTGCCAGTGGCCCTCAGGAGCAGCCTCCTGAAGCTGCTTTCAGGCCTACTCTGGGCACTCACCTCTATGCCCTTTCCTTGATGCCTTGGAGAGGGAGGCGAGAATGCCACAGGCCAAATGTCCCTCTCAGCTTCCCCAGTGTGCACAGAAAGCCAGGAATGAGACGAGTCTGAAGCTTCAGCCCTCAGGATCTGGATGGAGTCAGAAGACCTGGACTAGAGGCATCATTCTGACACTTAATGCCCATCGCTTGGACCTATTTCCAGAAGAAGAAACCGCGGGTCAGAGTGGCTGATGCTCACACCTACCACACGTGCTTGTTGTGATGATCAAAGCTCGTGCACGTGAAAGGTCGTGTCAAATGCTCCCCAAACGTCTTATTAATTGTGTTTGTTCTTTCACTCAACAAGTTCCTTTTCCCCAAGTTACAGACAAGGAATACAGTTCTCGAGGAGTTCACACCCACATCTGCAGACACCCAGTTGGCTGCCCTTCCCTAGGCATCTGTGCACGCCCTGCACATGCTCCTGTGCCCAAGGGCCTGCATGCTTGGAGGACTTCTCCAGGGTCGGAGTCCTCTAATGTTCACAGGGTCTGTGGGTTTGCAAGTCCAGACTAGAAATGTGAATATCAATAATGGCAAAACTACATAGCTAGCACACTAGCCTCTTTATTTCCCACAGCTACCCTATGAGGAAGATCCTAGAAGTATCTTCATCCCCATTTTATAGAGGGGGAAACTGAGGCACATAGCGGGTAGGTAAGCTCTCCTGAGCACACAGCTGGGGAGTCATGGCCATAGGATTCATGGCGGGGCTATCAAGAGTCCATGACCTAAACCAGGGGTCCTTAGCCCCCAGGCTGTGGACCAGTACCGATCCATGGCCTGTTAGTAACCGGGCCGCACACAGGAGGTGAGCGGCAGGTGAGCAAGCATTACTGCAAGTTCTGGCTCCTGTCAGATCAGCGGTGCCATTAGATTCTCACAGAGGCGTGAATCCTACTGTGAACCATGCATGTGAGGGATCTAGGTTGCGTGCTCCTTAAGAGAATCTGATGCCTGATGATTTGAGGTGGAACAGTTTCATCCCCAAACCATGCCCCACCACAACCTTCTCCACCCATGGAAAAAATTATCTTCCACAAAACCAGTCCCTGGTGCCAAAAAGGTAGGGACTGTTGTCCCAAACCCTCTGCCAGGAGGTGAGTGTGTCTGCCTAGGAAGCTCACCAGGCTGTGTGGTGGTAAAGTGGCTTCTTGCCTCACTCTCCCACCCCAGCCTCCACCTCTTCTTTCTTGATGTGTATGGGTTGACTCGTCCTTGCAGTCCTGAGCTAGGAATGTGCCGGTGGGTGGGGGGTCCATCTGCCAGACGCAGTGGCTGGGAGCTGTGCTCATGTACACCCACCCAGGCCCGGGGTCAGCGTGCTGGGGATGAAGGTGCCCGGGCAGCCTCAGTAAACAGTGGGCAGGAGCTGCTTGTAACAGGAAATGTGGCCCATGCCTCAATCCCATGCACCCCCAAGGAAGAAAGACCCTTCTCTTGAACAATAGGTGAGACCAGTGTGCAGGGTTGGGGGGCAGGGAAGGAGGTGTTGACTCCTCAGCACTGGACTCTTGGGGCAGAGTCTCCACAGCTCCTGCTGAACTCCTGGTGGGACTAGGCCAGGAAAGGAGGGGCACTCCTGTCTGCCTCAATCCTGGGTCCTCCTCACCCCAAGCCCCACTGGGCCAGACATGGCTGCTGAATGAGTTTCCCTTCCACCCAGGGAGGCCATGGCACTGGGGTCAGAATTCTCGGGCCCCAGAAAAGTCCTGATGCAGGGAATCCCTCTAGAGAGAGGAGCTCAGGGTCAGTGAGGTGGGGATTAAAGGTCACAGAGGTCAGATTGGCTGCCTTAGGTTCACATAACATTGTTGCTGGAAGGGACCTAGTCTAAGATGATGGTGAAGAGGCTCAGATTGGGGAAGAGATTTGCCCAAGGTCACACAGCAAGTTAATGGCAAGCCAGAATTAGAAGCCAAGTCTCCGGACCTCGCATCCAATGAGCTCTAAGAGGAAAAAGGCAGGGGGTGGCTACCCGAGTGCCCCACTCTCCCCCTGACATTCCCCTTCTCTTGTTTGGTTCAACCATTGGTTTCTGACTTTGTTTCCTCCTCCCTCAGCTAAAGAGAGCTCCCTGGGTGAGCCAGAGTTACCCCCTGACTCTGACACTGTGGGGATGGACAGCAGCTACCTGAGTGTCAAGGAGGCTGGGGTGAAGGGGCCCCAGGACCGGGCCAGCTCAGACCTCCCCAGCCCATTGGAGAAGGCCGACTCAGAGAGCAACAAGGGCAAGAAGCGGCGGAACCGGACCACCTTCACCAGCTACCAGCTGGAGGAGCTGGAGAAGGTCTTCCAGAAGACCCACTACCCAGACGTGTATGCGCGGGAACAGCTGGCCATGAGGACAGACCTCACTGAGGCCCGCGTGCAGGTCAGTGAGGGCCACCTGGGAGTGAGGCTGGTAAAGCAGAGCCTGTCCCTGGGCTCTTGGCTGCAGTTGGGGTCTCCTGACTGCCCACCAACCACACCATGGCTTTCCTTTCCTCAGTTCATTGAGAACCTGAAAGTGGGGGCTCCTAGCCTGCCCCTCATGCCCCTGTCCCAACTAGAGCGACTCTGCTTTTATCCTCTTTAATATTGGGCTTCTGCACTGTGGTGGGGGGTTGCAAAGGAAGGAGGGCCTCCAGCAGAGGGGCAGGAAGGCTGCTGCTGGCTGTTTCTGGGCTTTACACAGTGTAAGAGTCCTGGCTCTTTCACACAGAGAAGGGTTACTTGTCCCTGCTCTAGAAGGCCTATCTCTTAGACAGGAAACAGGACAAACATGAAGACAATGTCCACAGCATCCCAGTGGGCAGAAACAGAGAACAGTTTAGCTCTTCCTTCTGCCTAGATGGCTGCATCCCCCTCCATTTTTCAAGTCCCAACTCATACCTCCTCTGAGAAGTCTTCCTGACCACTGTGGCTAAAGCAGTAGCCCCCCTATTACCAGCCAACAACCAAAACACCCAACCCAGTACAATACAGTGGAACCCAACACTCAACCCAACTCATTGCAACCCAACAGAACACAACCCAATAGAACTCAACTCAACACAACACAACACAGTGGAACTCAACACACTCAACCCAACTCAGTGCAACCCAACACAACACAACCCAATAGAACTCAACTCAACCCAGCACAACACAATGGAACTGAACACACTCAACCCAACTCAACCCATTCCAACACAACACAACCCAATATAACACATTCCAATGGAACTCAACCTAACACAACACAACACAATGGAACCTGACACACTCAACTCAACTCAGTGCAACCGAATAGAACTCAACCCAACCCAACACAACACAACCCAATAGAACTCAACTCAACCCAACACAACACAATGGAACTCAACATACTAAACCTAATGCAGCCCCTTCCAACACAACACAACCCAATATAACACATTCCAACAGAACTCAACCTAACACAACACAACACAATGGAACCTGACACACTCAACCCACTCAACACAACCCAATAGAACTCAACCCAACCCAACACAACAGAAGCAAACCAGCTCACCTTTTGTTACACTGTCCTATTTTATCTTCTTAAAAATTTTTTAAATTTTTTTTGTTTTCTTTTTAGAGACAGGGTCTCATTCTATCACCCAGGCTGGAGTGCAATAAGATGATTATAGCTCACTGCAGCCTCAAACTCCTAGGCTAAAGTGATCATCCCACCTCAACCTCCCAAAGTGCTAGAATTATAGGCATGAGCCACCATGCCTGGGCCCATTTTATCTTTTGGGTATTTTTGTTTATTTTTTTTAAAGAGACTGGGTCTCTCTCTGTCACCCAGCGTGGAGTACAGTGGTGTGATCATGGCTCACTGTAGCCTTAACTTCGTGGGCTCAATGGATCCTCCCGCCTCAGTTTCCTGAGTAGCTGGGACCACAGGCATACACCACCACGCCTGGGATAAGTTTTTTTATTTTTTGTAGAGATGGGGTCTTGCTTTGTTGTCCATGTTGGTCTCAAACTCCTGGCCTCAAGTAATCCCTCACCTCAGCCTCCCATACTGCTGGGATTATAGGCATGAGACACTGTGCCCAACTCCTATTTTGTCTTCTTTACAGGATTGTTGACTGGCTTACGTTATTTTACTTGTTTGTCCCCTCCTACTAAACTGTGATTTCCTTGAGATCAAGCACTGATTGTTCATCACTGTATTCCCACCAATTAGAGAAAGCCAAACGCAGAGCATCAAGTCTAAAAAATAAGTATCCGTGGATCAATCAACCCTTGTCCAGAGAGCTGTATCTGCCCCGACCAGCATGAATTCACAGCAAAGAAAGGATCAGAAAGAAAGAAAAGACCCATGAGTAGCCAAAATACAGGTGACAAAATTCACACACTCAAGTTTAAGTTTCAATTTAACACAAAATAAATGTCATAATCAGTCCGCTTTTCCAACCCAAAGCATGTTGGAAATAGCAAATAAAACGTTGCCACATAGCAGTTTTTCCCTCTCCAGTGGGCCAGAAAAATCAATAGCTTCAGAACAAAGAGAAATCTTTTTTTTTTTTTTTTTTTTAATCAGCAAAGCGCCATGCAGCTCAGTGGGCTGAGCCCTTCAATGTTAGGACAGAGATGCCCCAACCCTGCAATCCTCAGCAGGCCCCAGGGACTCTTGAATTAACTCATGAAAGCATCTTCAGCAGCATTGTTCTAAGGCATCAGTAAAAGATTCATCAGTTACAACCATTTTCTGTTTAAGAAGGCAGAGGCATCTCTAATAGAGTCTACAAACTTTTTTTCCAAAATGGCTAATGTGGAAAAGGACTAGTGGTTATCAGTAAATATGTAGCTGTTCAGAAACTGCAGCTACCAGAAGTGATGCTGAAGAGCTGCACGGTTGAGTTGCTGTAAGTTCCCTGAGGGCAGCCTGCCATTTTTTTTTTATTTTTTTATTTTTTGAGACAGGATCTCACTGTGTCACCCAGGTTGGAGTGCAGTGGTGTGATCTTGGCTCACTGCGGCCTCCACCTCCTGGGTTCAAGCGATTCTCATGCCTCAGCCTCCCAAGTAGCTGTGACTACAGGCATGCACCACTACACCCAGCTAATTTTTTTTATTTTTTGGTAGAGATGGAGGTTTCACCATGTTGGCCAGGTTGGTCTTGAACTCATGACCTCAAGTGGTGCACCTGCTTTGGTCTCCCAAAGTGCTGAGATTACAGGCGTGAGCCACCATGCCCAGCCCAGACTGCCTTTTTTTTTTTTAGACAGAGTCTTGTTCTGTCGCCCAGGCTGGAGTGCAGTGGTGCAATCTTGGCTCACTGCAACCTCTGCCTCCCGGGTTCAAGCGATTCTCCTGCCTCAGCCTCCTGAGTAGCTGGGATTACAGGTGTGCACCACCACACCCGGCTAATTTTTGTATATTTAATAGAGATGGGGTTTCACCATGTTGGTTGGCTGGTCTTCAACTCCTGACCTCAGGTGATCCACCACCTCAGCCTCCCAAAGTGCTGGGATTACAGGCATGAGCCACTGCACCTGGCAAGACTGCCATTTTATTCCCCTCCAGTGCCTAATGAATGTTTGATGAAGGATGACAGGGCAGCTGGGGCTTTCCTGTGAATCCAGAAGCCCTCACACACCCAGATCTCACTTGAATTTGGACAACCAGCCACTCACATGACCTTACATGCCTGAGTTTGGACAGGAATCCTAGCATCTAGCCTGATCTCCAGCAAATGGATTGGGGAGGACCCACAGGTGTAGGTAGAGAAAGGGGCATAGCTGGTTATGGGACAGCCCTGTAGGTGCTGTGTTGGTGTGGGATAAACCTGTTCCTTTTCTGTGCAGTATGTGTGTACATTTGTGTTTGCATATGTGGGTTGCATGCATGCTTCCTAACAAATATATGGGAGTGCCCGGGAGTAGAATTCACTAAGTACTGAAAGAAGAATGACGCCTTGAGTACAAAACATGAAAACAAAGGCGCACAGAGCATTTTTCAGTTGCCACCATACAACTAAAACAGAGTGTTCTCTGCACACACACATGCGCGCGCACACACACACACTTATACCTACTTCCAAAATGGAGTTGAGGTAGCTTACAATTAAAGATTTATTTGTTCAATCTAAAAACAAGAACAATGGCATGAAATGCAGAGGTAATGTGGTAAAAAAAAATTTAGGCTAAGGTTCATGGTTGCCATTGAGCACAAACTTCAACTTGGAGCTTCCTGGCAGCCAAGGCAGAAAGGGAAACTCTGACGTGCTGCATATCTTATCACCTAGTGGGAGGACCACAGAACTATAGAACGGTAGTGCTGGAAATGATCACCCCATCTTCCCATTTGATAGACGAGGAAGAAGAGGCCCATAGGTGGGAAGTCATAACCTGAAGTTAACAGCAGCCACTCAGTAGCAGCACTGCGACTGGAATCCGGGACTCCTGAGTCGCAGCCTAGTGCTTCTTTGACTTTAGTTTGCTGTACAAGGACACATGCCAGATTGTTCAGAGGCTTTTCTTTGTATAAAGGCAGCAGGGTGGGTGGGATCTTCATGTGCGTCAGACCTCTGGGTTGAGCCCTAAGCCTGGCAGTGCCCTGGGGGGGTAAGGGGGTGGTGATGGAACCCCCTGCCTGCCTCTGCTGTGTTTGTTCAGGGCCCATACTCAGCTGGTGGCAAGCCAGGTGCCTGGCGTAGAGTGGTGGTGGGGACAGGGACGGGGCAATGGGGGCCCCAAGATGGACTTTTCCTGGGAAGAAGCCTAGGGTTTGGCCCTGCTCCAGGGGGCTGCAGGGGCCTCTCTCTGCTGTCTGGGATTCCAATCTCTGCAGCTGGTGTCTGAAGACAATAAGACAGAGGCCTCCCCGCCCTGGGCCACCCCGCCCTGGCCCCAGATGGGCTGCGGTTAGCGAGGCCTCCGCCAAGACAGTTGGTTCCTTGCACAGCCCGGTCCTCGGGAGAGGCCTGTGCTGAGTGGGCCCAGGCTGGGGTGGTCCTGAGGTATGACATTCAGACCGGGAGAACAGTGGGGACCTCGTGGTTGGCTGTCCTCCTGGGGCTGCACAGTGGAGACAGGCCTGCGGTGCAGAGCTGGGAGGCACAGGAACGGGCGTGGGGGTTGGTGTGGCATCTGGAAGGGAGCTCTCGGAGCCCCTGGGGCGCCAGGGGTCAGAAATGGATGGACACTCCAAGCCTCAGGACCTGCAGATGTGAGCATAGAAGGGGTCGTGAGGATACCCTTGCTGCCTCCAATTTACTGGGGAGGATATTGAGGACCGGCCAGGCTCACCTAGCTCATGTCTGGATCTGGGCAGAAAAGCCAGAACTGGGTGCGCAGGGTAAGGCCCCAGGACAAAGGAACAGGAGAAGAAGGAGGGAGGAGGTGGGCAGCCCTGCTCCCACCGGTCGCTCACCCGCCTCTCACCATTTCCATCTTCAGCCCTCAAATAAATCCCTCAGCCTGACCTTCTTCCACTCCTGTTCCAAAGACGGTGCTAGCTCTGCTGGCCTCTCCCCCGCCTGGTCATCTGTCTTCCCCAGATAACCCACATCTCCTCCTCCCTCACACTCAGCTCCAGCGAGCCCGCGCCCCACATTCCACTCCCCCACATGGCTCCTCCCTCCACTCTAGACCCCTTTGCCAGGCGCTGGCCACCTCCTTCCCTCTTCGGGGTCCCTCCCCGCCCATCCCTGGATCCTCTGTTCCAGAGCCTGTAGGGACATCTTCCACTTCCACAGTCCCACCATGGGGACCTGGAACCCACAGAGACACAAGGAGAACCCCAACAGTCACAGTGACAAAAAGAAAAAGAGAAGCCATCTCTCTCCGTGCCTCCAGTGGCTTCTCCCCTCCCCCCAGCTTCCCCCACAGAAAACCCTGGGAGGCTGAGGAAGGAGCGGAAAGACGGAGCTAAGCCTGCAGGAAATTAAACATGAAATGAAAACAAGCTCCTCTGATTCATTCTCTCATCCTGGCCCCAGTCTCCCATCCCAGGCCACTGATAAAGAGGGATCCCATTTCAGCAGCACAGAGAGGAGACCCCATCTGTCCTTGGCTCCCAGTGGGCAGCCAGGGCCTGGACCCTAGGAATCCCTGGAGGAAAAGGGGCCCTGGGAGGCCAGGGCAGGGGCTGAGACCCCAAACTGGGGAGAGGGTCCGTTTCTAAGGAAGAGGCTTCTCCTCCCCCAGTCAATGTGTGTGCACACATGCACGTGCGTGTAGCCACACTAGTGGGTACACTCGTGCACGCACACACATGCTTAGGATTAGGGAGGGGAAAGTGAGTTGGTACAGGAGTGGAGAAACATAATAATGTACACCCCTGCTCACCCCCACCCTCCTCACAGTAACATGAGATACATCCCCATCTTCCTTGACCTCTTTCCTCTAGCAAAAGACAGTGAGAAAGGTCAGGAGCTGTAAAGAAACAAATGGGAAGTACTCTAAACATTCTTGGACTGCATTTCCCATCTATCTCCCCTGCTGCGACTATGAGGTACCATTCGCCATGCAGAAACTGAGGCCCTTGGCAATACCAGTGCTCCTATGAGCCTGTCCATTGGCCAGCTACACTGGATGCCCAAAGAGGCCAGGCAGCGTCTGTGAGGAAGCACGTCCACACCTCCTTCTCCCCTCCTCGCAGTGGTTCCTAGGAAGCTCAAAGGCTCTGAGGCAGAGGAATTTTGAGAGCTGACTCCTATATTTAGCTCAGCAGCTGCATTGGTCGTGATGGATGGAGAAATGTTTCCACCTGGAGAGCAGGGACTGGACCTCAGGAAAGTTGGCTTTCTTGATGCCTGGGCCTGGAAGGGCCTGGCAAGGCTCCTTATGGCTCTGCAGCTGAGGCTATTGTCATGGCTCTGTTCTCCCGGTCTGCAGCGTGCTGTCTGAGGTGTGCCCACTTGCATCTGAGTCTGCAAAGCCAGCAGACAAGTGCACATCAAGCTGGCAGAGGCCTCCCTCTGAGGAGCACCACGGTCCATCTCTGAATCAGCCTAAAGCCATTCCTGGCCTGGAAGCTGATCCCTCCTCACTCTCCCTCTCTCACCCACCCCGTCCCCATCACCCCTTCTCCAGATCCTAAGTCATGGGCCAGGGGTAGGGCAGCTCTTGCTCTTGAGCCTTGGGAAAGTTCTCAGCCTTCCAGAAATGCTCGTGCAAAGGAAAAGGACCCAATACTCCCCGTCACCAAAAACCCCAGTGCTCACAGCTGACTCAGAGACCTCCCCTCCCCCGTTGGGCTCCCAATCAGGCCAACATCCCATCCACTTGTGCTCAGTGACGGGTTGGCCTCCACTTCCTCTCACCATCAGGCCACGCTTCTACACAAGATTTTATAGCAACTGCCTCTACAGACAGCACCAAGGGAAAAACCCTTCACTTGGCAGTCAAGGCCCCCTGCGATCTGACTCTGTTTCTTTCTCTCCCACCGCTTCCTTCAAATTGACCTCTTTAGGTTTTTGGAGTATGCCTTGCTGTTTCTAAACCTAGGCCTTGGCTTTCCTCCTTTCAGCCAACCATTCAAGGCCCAGCTCCTGTCCCTCCTCCAGGAAGTCTTCCCTGACTGCCTCTGTTGCCCAGCAGAGCCCCTGTTCTCCCTTTAACACAGGGGAGTTCTGAGCTGGGAGACTGTCTCCAACAAGAAGGCTGCAGACAGGATGCAGGGAGGAAGGCATTGTGAATCTGGACCAATAAGCCTTAGAGAGCCATGAACCTTTTGGAAAACTGTGGCAAAACTGTGTGTGATTGTCTAGGAGAACACATCTGGAGGAGCATTTGTAGCTTTTATCAGCTTCTCCACAGGAGTCTGCTTAGATGACTGCTAAGATGACCAGTGACTTGTTTTATAGGTGGTGACACTTGGCTGCTCTAGATTCTCAAGCTTAGAAAAATAAAAGTTCTGGCTCAGGATCACGCCCATGGCTAGTGGGGGTAAGATACCTTCCCAGCTCAGAGTGGATGATTCTAGATTGTCAGCTCTTGAGGACAAAGACCAAGGTTGATATTTATGTGTGGCCGCACCGTTTCCCAAACGCACTGCAACTGATGGGGGGCTCAAGGGAACAGTTTGCACTGCCTGAAAGTGAGGCCTCCAGGCGGGCATCTCACCCTGGTGACAATGGCTTTTTCGCGTCTTGTAGGTCTGGTTCCAGAACCGAAGGGCCAAGTGGAGGAAGCGGGAGCGTTTTGGGCAGATGCAGCAGGTTCGAACCCACTTCTCCACTGCATATGAGCTGCCCCTCCTCACCCGAGCTGAGAACTACGCCCAGGTAAGTCCCGCCCTGAGCTGCCGCCACCGATCCCCAGCCCCTGGTGCTCTGAGAATGAGCCCCTTGGAGGAGAGCCCAGGCACCCCGAGATGACTTATGGCTCCAGGCTGCCCTTCCGTCTCATTCCAGGGGTGTGCCTGTTTATACCAGAGTGTGGGAGGCCCAGGGTTAATCTATCCAACTAATCATTGAACCAGGCTTGGCTGAACTTTAGGGAAGGGAAGGTTGGGGCAGTGAGAACGGCTCTTTCCTCCACTAGCTTTGGCCACTTTTGCTGTGGGCATCGGAACCAAGGCAGGCAGAAGGCCACCAGGCCCTCAGATACCGCTCGGAGGGTCTCTTCAGAAAGCGAGCTCTGAAATCTCCAGGACTCGTGGCCAAGTTGGAATGAGCTTGGGATTCTGAGTCCGGGGACTTAGGTTATCTTTCCAGCTCCAGGTCTTTCTCACTTTAGGCAAGTCTCAAATCTCTGAGCCTCAGTTTCTTCACCTGTACCTTGGACATGGTAAAAGCATCTGCTCAGCTCTGTTGTCAGGCAGTTGTAAGGTCTAAATTCAATCATGCAAAAGTATTTTGTGAATTGTACAGTTTCAAAAAGCTTGTGTGCCTGTGCTCAGCTTCTGGGGCCCTGTCCTCCCCTCCCCCCAGAGCATTTTCCCTAGGTGTCTGTCAGCCAGTCCCCTGTTCTAGTGTGAGATGCAAGGGATGAGAAGTATTGAGTCACATCAGGCACATGGGATGCTTAGAGAGATGTGTTTTTGGCCAAGTCCAAGTCCTCTCCTGACCCCCACTCAGCCTGCCCAGCAGAAGCGGCTGCTCCCTACCTGCTCAGGCCTCATTCTGGCATGGCCTCCACCTCAGCTCCCAACCTGGCCCTGCTCAGCAGCCAGCCAGTAGCACGGGCGCCCCTGCCTCCTTTACTTCTCCCTGACCTGGTTCTGTGCTAGCAAATGGTCTCTGGCTCTCCAACCAGACCAGCCCTCTGTTCCCTCTCCCCCAGCCCAGGATTCATGGGGCAGGAGGGCAGGGCACAGGCCTGGAGGTGAGGCTGAGGAATATGGGGTGTCTCACACAGGCACCATCAGCATCAGCTCGCACTATGTTCTTCCATTCTCTTTCTCCCCTCTCCCTCCCTAAACTCAGCCTCCCTCTGTCCTCCCAGGATGGAACTCTAGCTCCCTCCTTGGCTTTGAGCTCTGCTGCCTGAGCGCACAGCTGGAGGGAGAACCCAACACAGGGCCCTGTTCACCCCTCCTACCCCCACCTCACCTACAGCACCACATAGTGTGTGCTCAGACCTCTTCTGAGAGGGGGTGATGGAGGCCAACCGGTCCCCCTTCCCCTGCACCGCAGAGAGAAATGCGGTTCCCTCCAGGATGGGGGCTGAGCTCTTTCTCCCTGCTTTAAAATGCCTCCCTCGAGTGTGCTCCAGACACATGCAGGAGGGCAGGCCAGCAGAAGCCCACATGAGGTTACCAGGAATCCCGTGTGCATAAGCTGAGAGGTTCCCGGGTCTCCCCCACACCCTAATTCTACCTCCTTATACGTGCCTAGAAGGTAGAGGAAGATGGGAGCCCCAGGTGAACGTTGGGGAGGGAAGGGAAGCCCAGTGGCACAGATGGAAGATAAGATGGCCAACTCATCCCTGCACATGCCCTCGCCCCTTTGGCACGAGGAGGTCCGGTCTCAGATCTGGCTGTCCACTCCTGAGGCAGCCCCTTCCATCCTGAGTTAGTTCTGAAGCCTCCTAGTTCAGGCCCTGGAACCTCAGCCACTGACCCTTGGTTTCTGAGAGGTTTAGGTCCCTGCCGCCCACCTCACCCAACCCCTCCATCTTCCCTGCTACTGGTGGGGGCCCAAGGGAACCTGCGAGGCCAAAGCTCTCCGAGTTGAGGTCTGCTCACCTTGCTCAGGTGCCTATGGATGTGAGGGGCCTGGGGAGGAGCTGGAGGTGAATGAGACACAGCTGCCATCCGCAGATGGAGGCCAAGTCTACAGTTGAGTCTAAAAATAGGAAGCCAGCTGGGGGGTGCTGGGGTGTCACCCTTCCACTGGACCCTTAATGAAGCCTGAGGTCACTCTTTAGAACTGAATTTCCCTCTGCTGCTAGCCTGGCCCTGGGAACAGAGATGCCAAGGTGTAAAAGCCACCCCCACAGGGGTATCTGGATGTCCATCAAGGCTAAACACTCAAGAGGGGCTTCATGGGAAGGATGGACAGTGAGGGGAGAGGTGCTCTGGGGGAAGGGGCGAGCCCCTTCCACACCACACCTGCCCGCCAGCCGGTGACATCTCTCCCTTCCTCTCCCAGATTCAGAACCCGTCCTGGCTCGGCAACAACGGGGCTGCCTCACCAGTGCCAGCCTGCGTGGTCCCCTGCGACCCGGTGCCTGCCTGCATGTCCCCTCATGCCCACCCCCCTGGCTCTGGGGCCAGCAGCGTCACCGACTTCCTGAGTGTGTCTGGGGCTGGCAGTCACGTGGGCCAGACGCACATGGGCAGCCTGTTTGGAGCAGCCAGCCTCAGCCCAGGCCTCAATGGCTACGAGCTCAACGGCGAGCCGGACCGCAAGACCTCGAGCATCGCGGCCCTCCGCATGAAGGCCAAGGAGCACAGTGCGGCCATTTCCTGGGCCACATGACAGGGCACCCCTGCCCCGTCCCCACCTCGGGACACCATGGGCCACGCCCATGTTTTCCAGGCCCCCAGCCTCCCACTCGACTTTCCTCTTAGGAACCTGGCCTGGGCCAGGGGCCTGACCCTCAGCACTTTCAGCCGCCCCAAGTCTGAGGCCCCGTGGACTGCTGGGAGGGAGGGGGCAGCAGGCCCCTGGCCCCTCCCTGGCACTGAGGCCCTGACCCCTGCTCCCGGCCACAGGCAGTGGAGAAAGCCAGGTGGCCACGTTTTTCAGCTTCGCATCCATGATAAGCTGAAAGCGCTTTCTTGCTCCCGCCCACTCCTCTGCTCTGCCTAGTTGACCATGAGTCAATGCTAGATTTCCATGCAGACCCAGCAGCCTCACCAGCCCAGTCTTGTCCATCCTTCCCGCTCCTAGTGGGGTCCCCTGGTCACCAGGCCGGTGGCTGTGTGTCTGAAGCACAGGCTGCCCTGCAGAGCCAGCCTCCTGCCCTCCCATCTTTCTCTCCCTGAAAGCACACGGAATCCGACCTGCTGGGGCCAAGGCGCCAGCCTCCACCTCCCCCCGAACAGTGACGAGTCTGACAGAGCCTGGCTGACTGCATCCTGGCTGTCCCCTAGGCTGGATACACCTGGAGAGAGTGGGCAGAGGATGACAGGAGCTGGAGCCGAGGACCCCTGCTGCCATCTAGCAATGCCAGTCCCCAGGGGAGACACGGGCCAGCCCCTCACTGGACACTATAGGGGAGGAGCCAGACCTGAGGGAGGCTGAGAACACAGATGCCACAAGGGCTCCCATGGTGCTAGAAGAAGGAAAGGTCCTGGGAGAGGGGGAGGCATCCGGGTGGGGCGTGGGCCCGGGCAGTCCTCCCGCTCTCCGGCCTGCCTGGCATCTGGTACAGCGGGGAGGTCTGGGCAGCTTTGTTCTCCATCCAGAGCCCAGTCAGGTTCCCTCCAGGAGGATGCGGAGGGGCTCGTCTCTTCCCTGCCCTACCCTGGCCCCTCCCTGGGGCTGCTCAGCAGTGTCCCGGCATGGAAGGACTCACAACTTCGGAACACATAAGCTAGAGCTTGGGGGCCGGGTGGCAGAGGGTCAAAAGCTGCGTGCAGGCTTTGCTAGAGGACGTGTGGCCATGCTCGGCCTCCAGGCCCTGCTATGGCCTCAAACTGACTGTCCTCCCTGCCATATCTGTCAGTGTCATCGCTGCCCAGAGCCTTCCACGGCAGATGGGGGCTCTGTGTCCCTCCAGGCACTAGGAGGTGTTGCTCTTCTCCACACAGCTTTCCACACTCCGTCCTTACACTTCTTCCACAGGGACCAGGACTCTCTGCCCTCTCTCCAGCCTGCGGAAGGGCTCCTGGCCTGGGCTCCTCGGTGTGGCTTTGCTATTGCAAATGGGGCTGTCAGGATGCCCTCCTGAAACCAGGCTTCCTGCCTCCAGGAAGCGGGGCTCTGTGCCTGCCTGCCCGACCCCTGTAGCTTGGGTCTGGCCCTGAGCCCCAGCCCTCACCTCAGCTGGGAGTACACAGTAACCGTCCAGAGGCAGGCCTGTCAGACCCCAGGTGGGGGGTCCCTCCAGCAGGCAGCGCCCCGCATTGAAGCGCTCGCCTTTTCTACCTTCTCCCTTGATTCCTGTCATGGAGTAGGGCCAGGCCCACTATGCTCAGGGTCGTGGACACAGAAAGGCCTCCTGGGTTGGGCGGAGGGTAAACTTGGTGTTGTTGAATGAGGGTCTCTGGGGTTGGGGGTGACAGTCTCCCGCCTGCCTGGTGTTCTCATCTGCTCTAGAAACCAGGCTGAGGAAGGGTCTGGCTGTGGCCTCCCTTAATGAGTCAGACCTCTTTGTGAACCGTAGCTCTAAAATGGATCTTATAGAGGTGAAAGGGTCTTGGACATTGAATTAAATGTTCTTGGAGGCTTGGCTTTAAGTGTTTCAAATATTTGAGGATTTGGAGTGACTTTTGGGAAGTTTTTTCTAGTTCTGAGGTTCGCTGAAATGACCCAGACTCCCCCAAAATCTAGCCAGGGAAAGGAAGAACTTAAGGCTGGGAACAGTTTCCCCATTTCTCCCCCCTTTCCTTCTGAAATGCTCATGGCTGAGGAAGGATGGGGAAGGAAGGAACTTTCACCTTGGGTCTTTCTCACCCATGAGAGAATCAGGACAAAGAGGAGGAGAGCCAGGTAGCTCCAGAGTGGGCCAGGAGGGAGAGCAAGGGAATCAGGACAAAGAGGAGGACAGACAGGTAGCTCCAGAGCAGGCAGGGAGGGAGAGTGAGAGCTTTAAGGGGGCTCTTCCGCAGTGGCCCCCGGCACTCAGTTCCTCCATGCGTCTGCTCTCTGGCTGGGCTAGACCCAAGTCAGGCAAATTTCAACCCAAAAGCTTGAGAAGAAAAGGCGTCTATTAGAAGACTCTGTGGCTATGGCTGCCTGTCCCAACACACCCAGGAAGTGTCTAGGATTAAACATGCCAATGTGAAACATTCCTGTTCATCTCGTCAAAGGCAGCCACGTACCCCAGGCCTGTCCTCTGTGGCTTGGCCCAGCCCTTGGGGGCCACCTAACCACACTAAGTATGATAGGACCACCGAGTTGGGAGGAAGCTTAGAAACCCTCTAGTTAGTCCAGTCCCTTCACAACAGAGAAGACCCTGGCCCAGAGTGGAGACATGACTGCCCTGACCTGTACTTGCCCTGAGACTAGGCTGAGAGAGGAGCCTGGGACGTGCCACCCAGGGTGTGAGGGCCTGGGCTTCGTTGGCACCAGGGGCGGCCGGTGCTGCATGGAGCTCCCCTCTCCAATGCCTCATGGGCATTCACTCAGCAGCTCAGTTCTCCAGAAGAGAACCTTGGGGCCCAGTCCCTTCCAAGACAGGTGGCTAGGCCCAACCTTCTGCACTGCAGAGCAGGGGGCCACTGCCGTGTCAGCTCCTAGGATGACTGAGCAAGTCAGGGCAGCTGCCCAAGGCCATCTGGAGCTAAAGCTCATGAAGGCAGGTGGAGAGAAGCATCTACCTGCCACGTGGTTCATTGCTATGCGAATAAGCTAAGAGAGGTGAGGATTTCCTTTGGATACCTGCCTAAGATCTCAACAGAGATGGCAACTTAAAAATAAAGTCGTGGGTAGCCGGCAGATGGATGGGCAGCCTCCCCACACTGACAGCCTCCAGTCCCTGCTGGGCACAGGTCTCAGCATGGCAAGGCTTGACACTAAGGTGCTGCTACTGCCCTCCAGATGCCAGCACTACTCCTGGGGCATGGGAGCGAGGGCTCTGGGGGGCACACAGAGAGGCTTGTCTCCAAGGCTGAAATAGCACTTGGAGGACATGGGCTTTTAGAACTTTCCTTGAATTCTTTTAACTATACTTGATTCTCAGCGCTCACTACCGTGCCTCCAGCTTCGGGAAGCACGGTGGCCAGGTTAGCTCAAAGACACTGCGATGGGGTAGGTGCAGCAAGTGTGGGGTGGGTCCCCAGCACACACAGCTGTGATCACACTGGACCCAGCTCCGTGCCCCATCTCCTGTCATTTCGGCTGGGCAGACGAGGGACGCTTCCATGAAAACTACGTACCCTGCTTATGCAGTCATTCCCTCCCTGGGCTAGACAGTGGGGGGCCATCTTCGAGAACCTGAAAGACACGCGGGGGTTCCTGGTCTGTTTCATGGCCCTTACTGTCCAGTGCAAAGGCAAACAGGCCTAGCTGGGGGAGGATGGTTGGTAAACTGGCCCCCAGGATAATACTCTGTGACTATCCAGTTAAAAAATAAGAAGGTGACAATGACCCATCAACCCCACTTCACTTCTTTCAGGATGCTGTAGGGAGGAAAGGTGCTTCCATGACCTAACCTCGGCCTCTCCTTTCTTCCCTCTTCACTCACACACATAGAGCTAGGCCTTTATACTACTGATTTTGAAGGACAGTTTTCAATGTCTAATCATCTGTTTAGGTGTGCAGTGGTTGAAAAAAGAAAGCTGAGTGCTAGAAGGAACATGAACCTCAACCGTTACTTATTGTTCTCATTGTAAGATATTTTAACCCTGTATAAATGCAACTTTTCCTTTAGCTTAATGGCCTGGGGTGGAATATTAAAAATATATATTAAAAATACAGTAAAAATCCAGAAAAATGTAAAAAAAAAAATGAGGTCGGTTCCATAAAGTTTTACTGCCTATACCACCATGTAACTACATTATAGCAAAATATTAAAAGAAACGTTCTTGCCTTTTAAAGTAAGTTATTGCACTTACATCTTTTTTGGGAGAGGAGGAACACGGATGGGAAGGAGATGTAGGGGCCCAGGCATGGGGCAAAATGGAGTGCAGAGGTAGCCGGGCACTCCCAGAACACCCTTTGCTGGCCCAGCCCAAACTGTTTGGTTGTTGTTATTTGCAATAAACTCCTTCTCCTTCCTCCTCTCAACTGGAATCTGTCTGTTTTGTTCCTGACTTGTGACAGATGAAATGTGATCAGAGGGGCCTCTGAAATCTCACATTAATTGAAGTCGGCAAAAAATACTAACAGTGCCCTTTTGAACTGCTGACACAGTACAGAAGGGATTACCAGGGCTAGATGAACAACAGGTGGCCGGCTGATGCTCCTGCACAAAGAAGGGGTGCGTGGCCTGTGAAGGTCTGGGACATACCCAGCCCCCTTGTCCCAGAGGACCTGTCTGCACTGCAGGGAAGCTAGAAGGGGGCAGGGGGTACCAGAACCCACTTCTCAGGCAGCCCAAAGGGTCGCAGCAGCAACTCTTTGCCTCCCCTGCATCTGGGGTGTGCTTGGCACAAACTGTGCCGTGAGGTCTTCACAACCAGCACTGCCAGCCCCTCGGTGCCACTGAGTACCGTTCTGTTCCCAGGGGCTGTTCTGAAAGCAGGAGAGCCAGAGCGCAGAGGTCCAGGCTGCTTGACACCAGGAGCACAGGGTGGACCTCCAGGAGAGGCGGGTCCCAGTTCTGGCTCTGCTACTGAGTGGGCAGGGGAACTGTCCTTCCAGGACATATGGCCAGACAACTTTTAAAGCAAACCTCTGAAGACAAATTATGAAGCAGAAGGAACCCAGGTTCTACTGTCGTATAGGTGTTTCCTTGCTTTCCAGCACGAAGGCGACTCAGGAAGAGGCAGTCAGCCTCCAAGGGACCACTGTGTGGACAGGGAGTCATTTTTGTTGACCAAACCAGCTGAGTCTAAGTTCTCACATCTGAAGGATAGAAACAAGCCCTGTCCCTGCTTAGCTTACCAATGGAGGGGGGAGGATTAAGTGGACAATGTCCATGCATGGGCTTTGTAAGCCGATGTGGCATAGTGACATAAGGGACAATGATTACTCCCAGAGAATGACATCTCCCTCCAGCTCCCAGCTGTGAGTCTGATAAAACAATAACAACAACAACAAGCTCCATTTTATCCTCTCTTTCCAACTATTTGGACATTGTTCTCTTGGAACCACATCTCAGATTTGATACCTGTGTCAGTGCATTCACATTCAGTATAGACCCAACTGGGTTTTAGGTTGACCTGGGCTGGGAGCTTGTTTTTTTAAAAAATGACACCTGTCCTATATTAGGGCTCAGGGTCATGGTAGCACTTGGACACTCCACACCAAATCACTGCCAAGTCACAGGGCAGGAATTGAAGCAGAGAGGGAGAAAAGCCATGTGCAAACCACATGCGAAACCACGGGGTGTTGTCTCTACCTCACACCCCTGCTTCTTCCTGTGGGAGCTGAGCACCCCCCAAATCCTTCAGAGTCCAGATGAGCACCACTGCTGAAGAGGAAGACTGGCCTGATGTGTGACTTAGGCATCACGGGGGATGCAGGTAGCCCACCCCTGGGACCTGTGCCTCCAAGTGGTCTCTGGGGAGAACAACGACAAGGCCAGGGCCAGCAGGGCCTCCTCTGACTGTGGACTACGGCTCAGCCCTTCACTGGGTCTGACCACCCAGCACAGCTTGTTGTTCCCCAAGCCATCTAGGCCTTTTCACCTGGCCACACCACTGGACTTGCTATCTCTTCTTAGAATGCCTCTATCTCCTCCCTAGATCCCCTCCAATGCACCCAGCCACTCTGCAGTGTATCCTCCAAATGATAGCACCCTCTGTGAAGCTCTTTCTTAAGCCCATGCCCTCACCTCAACTTCCACCCCTAGGTCAAAGGCTGCCCCTCTGGCCTCCACAAAACTGTTTGTGTCATAATACCATGATGGCACATGATACCGTATATCTATTTATCCATCTGACTTCCTCACATCCCAAAGAGGAGACAGGCTGTGTTCACATCCGAATGCCTGAGAGAATAAGAATGTTAGGTAATGTGCGAATGAGTGAATGAATGGGAAGGTGAGAATAAAGAGATGCTCTGTTTTGATTAAGGGTGGGAGGAGGGAGGTCAGAGGACACTCAGGGATTCGTTTTACAGACAGCTGGAAGCTGACTCAGCCCACTAGAGATCTTCCTGGAGTGTCAGAGCCTCTGCTTGACCATGAACCTCATCCACCCCATTCCTCCAGGGTTCACATGCATTCAAGATGAGCTGTGGCCACGGCAGTAAACCTGGCCTGTTTATTTAGTGTTGCCGGGGTTGGGACAGCACTGGTCAGCACCAGGCCAGCTCCCCAAGATGGCGCAAGAGGTCCTGTGTCCAAGAGTGCACATCTGGAAGCTTCTCGACTTGTCCCTGGGCTCAAAGCCCACTTTCTCCAGCATCCCTGGATAATCCTCATGCCCTTAAGCCCTCCACTCTCAACTCCAGCTTCAGCGACTGGCTGAAGACAGCTCCTTTCCTGCCTTGGTGCCAACCCCAGCAGAAACCACTCTTGCCTTCAGCTCATCACCAATCCCATTGTCCCAGGTCTTGCTACAGGCAACACAGCCAACCCCAGGGCTCCACAAGCTGGCTGGGCCATGTGACAGCAGAATCTTCAATCTGGCGAGCAGGGCGTGGAGTGGTGGTGGTACCTCTCCTTCCACAGGTCTAGACTTGCATGCTCAGCAGCTAAGGAACAATAGGCTCTCCACAAATAGCCAGTTCCCCAAAATAGGGCTGACGGCAAACTGTGTATGTGCACAAGTGAGAAGATGCAAGTTAGCGCCAGAAGACAATGGGGTGTGAGAGTTGAAATTTTCCCAGGAATTCTGTGTGATTCCAAACAGATTTTTTTTTAAGCTCAACAAAGACCAACAGGCTTGAGGAAGGGCAAACCTCCACAGGGAGCTTCAATTTATGAGCATGTGTACACCATGTGTTAAGGTGTTGCCTTAACTAGTTGGGAGAAAACCCACTGTACTGCCTGCATGAGATCTGCCCGGAACCCCAATCAGGATGTGGTTCTTAGATGTGCAGAGGACACAGTGTTCTTGCCTTGCCTCCTGGGATTTCTCTTTGGTTGCATCACAAGCCCCCTCTCCATCCCTTCTCTGTCCTCTACCCACAGCGTACCTCTGTAATTTCCAGGCGCTTCTGGAAAGGAAGGGGCTCCCTGTAGCTATGATAGTAGGGCCAAGCTACACCATGGGAAAGAATGAAAATAAATGAGAGTGTGTATGTGTGTGTGTGTGTGTGTGTTGAGAGGACAGGGGAAGGGGATAAAAGCCTAAGGAAGAATGAAACACAAGGCAAACCATAGCTCTTCTCCAAGATAGGTATGGACAGAAAGCACTGTCCAGTTGAAAGCATGGGAGAGCACTGGCCAGGAACCCACGTGGTGAAGCAAGAGACAGGAGACATGAGTTTAAGATCTGACTTTGAAACTTACCTCTGTCACCTTCGGCAAGCCACAAAAATGCTTTCATTTTCAATTTTTTCTTCTGTAAAATGGGGATAGCCAACTGTTTCCTGCTTATCTCATCAGGTGGTTACAAAGTCCAAAAGTTAAAATATTTGAAAATAGTGAAGAGTTGTACAGTGGGGGAATCATGCACACTGGAGGCTGGGAAGGCCAAAGGGTTGACTTCCATCCAAGTGGCTAAGGGCAGGGTGCCAAACATTGGATAACTGCTTCACAAGAGTGACACCATACTATGGAGCACTGGGAACATCCGATATTATGTTTATCAGATGGGCGGGGGTGGGGAGGCAGTGAGGGACCTGGGGGAGAGTAGTGTATTAATCTGCTTGGGCTGCCATAACAAAATACCACACAGTGGGTGGCTAACAGACATTTATTTTCTCCTAGTTCTGGAGGCCAGAAGTCCGTGATCAAGGTGCTGGCAAATGTGGTTTCTGGCCTCTTTCTGGCTTATGTTAATAGAAGACTGCCTTCTGTGTCCTCACATAGCCCTTCCTCTGTGTACACATGTAGATAGGTCTGGTGCCCCTTCCTCTCTTAAGGACACCAGTCTTATTGGAGTAGGGTTCCACATTTGTGACCTCACTTAACCTTTATTACCTCTTTAAAGGCGCTATCTGCAAATGCAGTTACATTGGGGGTTAGGGCTTCAGTATATGAAGGGAGGGCACACAACAAGCAGTGTGGCTGGTATGTGTTATAGGGGTGAGAGGAAGGCACAGAAATGGACAGGGGGCTGCTTTTCCCATCCCCATATCCAAAAGGGTCTCAGCATTCCCAGCAGCCTATCTGGTTCAGTGCCCTTTCACTTTCTACCCAGGCTACTGCTAAGTGGTTACATCTAATTCCCAGTCTCTCCCTGGTCCACTCCATCAATAATAGGGATGCCAAAACCCAGCTCTGATCCATCCTTTACCAGCACATTAACCTGAACACCTTCACACAGCCTACAGACTGGAGTTCCGGCTCTTTCATATAGCCCTCAACTCCTGTTCAGCCTTGCTGTTTCTAATTCCCCAGTCTGGGCTCTGTGCTCCTGAAAACCTAGGACATCCTTTATATTTTCCCATCTTCTTGTTTCCTTTCACTCCCCTCAGGTCGAATGCCTGCCCCAACATGCATCTCTATTTGCTAAGGATTTTGCAATTATGTTCAGGAGGGTTATCGGTCAACACACCCCTGTCCACCTAATGCCCATCTTCATATATTAACTCTTCACAGCCCCTTCAAGTGCTACCTCTTTGACCAAGTCAGAAATAATCCTACTCTCCCTCCACAGTGGGGAATGTGTGCAATTTGCCCTTTGTCATGCACTGCCTTATACAGCAGATAGGACTATAACTGATTAATCTCCTGTGTTTATCAATTCAACGATGAGTTCCTTGAAGGTGGAAAAGATGTCTCCTTTGCCTGTTTATCTGAAGCACCTGGCACGGCATCCCTCACATGGCCAGCATTTAATAAATGTCAGCCGCCTTGCTGGCAAGTCTGCATTCCATACCAAGAACGCACCAGACTGAGGCAATGGGACTGGAGGCATTCTAGATCCTGAGGCCCTAAGTAAACACCCAGGTTAAGGAAGGAAAGATATACCAGTCCAGGATAAAACCAAGGAACTGAGAAGATGATATTTTTTAACCATCAGCTTTTTTTTCTTTTTTAAATCAACACTTCATACATATAGTATGTACTCTTTTGTGTCTGACATTTTTTTTTTTTTGCTCACCTGTTTTGGAAACTCATCCATGTTGTGTCACTCAGTAGTTCAGTATTTGTATTGCTGAGCTGTATTTCATTGTATGGATATACCAGAATTTGTCTATCCATTCATCTGCTCTTGAACATTTGACTTATTTCCAGCTTTTGGCTATTCTGAATACAGCTGGCTATGGACATTTGTGTGCAAGTTTTTGTGTGGATATGTTTTCTACGTTTTTTTTTTTTCTTTAAACAATCCCGGTATGGAATTTTGTCAAATGCTTTTTCTATATCTAGTGAGACAATCACACAAATATTCTCTTTTACTCTATTGTGAATTACATTGATTTTCCAACATTCAGCCAACTTTGTATTCTTTAGTCTTGCTGTATCAATCTGCCAATATTTTGTTAAGGATTTTGCATTTATGTTCAGGAAGGCTACTGGTCTGCAGTTCTCTTCTTGTAAGGTTTTTATCTGGCTTTGGTATCAGGGTAATAATGGCCACTTAAAATTAATTGAAACATACTTCCTCCCCTTCTATTTTCTGAAAAGGGTTTGAATAAGATTGGTATTATTTCTTCCTTAATTGTTTGATAGAATTAGCCAGTAAAACTATATGGACATAGGTATTTCTTTGCAAAACATTTTAAATTACAGATTTCTTTAACAGATACAAGGGTATTCAGATTTTCCATTTCTTCTTCAGGCAGTTTTGTCAATTTGTGTCTTTCATGGATTGTGCTCATTTCATGTAAGTTACAGAAATTATTGTTATAAAGTTCATATTTCTTAGTCTGTTTGGGCTGCTATAGCAAAATATCTTAGACTGGTAATTTATAAACAATAGAAATTTATTGCTCACAGTTCTGGAGGCTGGAAAATCCAAGATCTAGGTTTTGGCAGATTTGGTGTCTGGGTAGGGCCCACTCCTTATAGATGGCACCTTCTAAGTGTCCTCACATGGTAGAAGGCACCAATGAGCTCTCTCTCAGGTCTCTTTTATAATGACACTAATCACATTCATGACAGCTCTGCTCATGAGCTAATTACCCACCAGATGCCCCACCTGCCAACACCAGTGAACTGGGGATTAAGTTTCAACACATAAACTTGGAGTGGAGTGGGGTTGTGTGTGGGGAGGCTCACAAAAATTCAGATCATAGCAATGTATTGTCCTTTTAATATGTTTAGAATCTGTTCCAATGTTGCCCTCTGATTCTTGATACTGTAATTTGTATCTTAGTTCCTTTTTTTTTCCTTTAGCGGTCTTGAGCAGTTATTAATCTTTTACAAAGAACCAGTTTTTGATTTTTTCCATTGTTTTCCATTTTCTACTCCATTGGTTTCTGTTCTTATCTTTATTCTTTCTACTTACTTTGGGTTTATTTTGCTCCTTTTCCTAGTTTCTTAATGTAGACTTTTTTTCTAATTTAAACTCTTCAAGCTATAAATCTCTAAGTACCCTACAAATTTAATACAGTTTTCATTTTTACTCAAAATATTTTCTAATTTCCTTTGTGTCTTTATTAATCCATGCATTATTTAGAAACGTGATTTAATTCCTAACTATTTAGGATATTCTCAGATAGCTGTTATTGATTTCTAATTTAACTTCACTGCGGTCAGGTAACTTTTTAATGTTCAATTCCTCTAAAATTACTGAGACTTATTTTTGTGTAACACATTTGAGGTAAATGTTGCATGTGCACTTAAGAAGAATGTGTATTCAGCTACGCAGATGAAGCGTTCTGTAACTGTCAATTAAGCCAACGTTGTTGACAGTGTTATTCATGTCATCTACATTTTTCTATCAACTTGTTATATCAGTTACTGAGAGAGGAGCATTGAAACATCTATATATAATTGTGGGTTTTCGACTTCTCTTTCAGTGTTAATTTTTGATTTATATATTTTGAGGCATTGTTATTTAATGCACACACATTTTTAGGATTATCTTGTTCTGTCTTCTTGATGAATGGGCCTCTTTATCATTATGAAATGTTCCTCTTGCTCCCTGATGATATAATCACTCTCACTTTTTCATGACTAATATTTGTATAGTACATCTTTTCTACCCTTTTACTTTTTAAACTTAACTTTATAGGGGTTTTCCTTGTAGACAGCATGTAATTGCTCTTGCTGCTTAATTCAGCCTGATAATCTCTGCCCTTTAATTACAGTGTTTAGATCATTTACATTTAATGTAATTGGTGACATGTTTGGGTTTAACCCTATCTTGCTCTTTGTTTCCATTTGTTCCTTTTGTCCTTTGTTTACTCTTCTTTTCCTGCTTTCTGATTGAGTATATTTTTGATATTCCATCTCCAGTATTGCCTTATTAGCCTTGTCTCTTTTAAAAGTGATTTTTAGTGGTTGCTCTAGAGTTTACAGCATGCACTTTTAATTTATCACAGGTATCCTACAGACACCTTCCTGGTTTTCTTCCTAATTCACTGGCAACTACTTCGTCTCCTTTGCTGGTTTTTCTTTTTATTCTCTACCTGTAAATGTTAGAGTGGGCCTAGTACTTGGGCCCCTATCCTTGTCGCCTTTCTAACTACACTAATTCTCTGGGTAATCTTATCAAGTCCTAGGGTTTTAAATCCCATCTTTATTTTCAGTCATAACTTTTCCTCTGAGCTCTAGATAACCAACTGTTTAAATGACACTATACCTTAGATGTCCAATAGACATCTTAAACTTAACATGTTCAAAGTAGAGCTCTTGATTTTTCTCTCTCAACATTTCCTTGCCCTCACCCTGTTCAGTCTGACACATTTCAGCTCATGGTATCATGCAGTTACTAAGGATAAAAACCTTGGAGTTACCTGTGAATCCTCTTTTGTTTTCATCTCTTAAATTTAATTCATCAGTACATCCAATAAACTCTACTTCCAATATAACTTCTCACCACCTCTGCTGCTACCATCCTAGTTTAGGTCACCATTTCTTTTTTGGGGTCCCTAAGAGTGTCCTAGCTGAATTCCTTTCTTCTACTCTTGCTCCTTACAGCCTACTGTCCACTCAGTAGCAGGGATAACCTTTTTAAAAATGCCATTCAGATATGTCACTCTCTTGCTTAAAACTATCCAGTGTCTTCCCATCACACTCATAGTAAGACTCTAGAATCCTTCTGGCCCATATGATCCTAACACAATTTGGTACCAGCCTACCTTTCTGGCATCATCATTTATCATGCTCTCCATACTCAATATGCTTCAGACATTATTCTTACAGTTCTTAAAATAAGCTGAGCTTGTTCCTGCCTGAGGGTCTTTATACCAGCTCTTCCCTCTGCCTGGTGTGCTCATGGTTCACTCCTCAACATTTACATTTGTGCTTAAATATCACCTCTGATCAACCTACCTAAAATATTTCCAAGTCATTATCCACATATAATACTCTGCTTTATTTTCTTCACAGCATTTATTGACATTTGAAATTATATTCAGTCACTTGTTTTGGTTATCTTCCTCATTAGAATGTAAGCTTGACGAAAGTAGGTACATTGTTTTGTTCAGTGCCATATCCTCACACCAAGAACAGTATCTGGCACACAATAACTGCTCAATAAGTATTTGTTGACTGAAGGAACCCATCACATCAGGTTTTTTTATTTTTTAAGGGAAAAGAATCTTTTTAAGACAATAGACTTAAAAACATAAATGAAAATTTACTTTCTTCTGGTCCTTTCTCTGGAAGTAAATTAAATTTTGTTGTCAGATGCAATTCTCTTCAGTAATAGCCTTCAGGTTCAGATTGTGAGCATGAAAAGATTTCTTTACTGAGTGATTTAACCAGAGTAATCTGTACCGAGAAGTAAATAGTCACAGCCCAAGGTGTGAAACAATGTCGTGTCCTGCTCATAATGGTCTCATGGGATACTTTTATTGTGCTGTTAAGGCCTAAAAGAACCAAAAATCATTTCTTAGGAAGTTCTCCCTCCAGGTATTTCCTAACCCCCAGACTTCCACACAGCATATAATACACTGCAGTGGACTTCCAAATGTTTCCTTTCTATTCCAACCTCATCCAAAGTCATCCTCTCCACTGAGATGGTATAGATGACATGAGAGTTGAAAGAGCATCAATCTCTTATTAATGGATATTCATCATTATGACTTCCAAAGAAGGGCCAGGGTACAACTGGCAACTGGAAGGTGCTATGAAAAGAGAAAAAAAAAATCCTTGAATTCTCCATGCATTAGACAAGATGGAGTTAATGGAACCCTCATTTGGCCAAGTTGTAAGATATCAAACCAACTGGTGACAAAAAGGCTGTTAGGAAAAAAATTATTGGAACTATATCCAGAAAACAGGACAAGGTATTTTGGTGCAGGGTAGACAGAAGAGAGGAGATCAAGGTGAGCCCCCAATGATCTACTAGAGAAAGACTATTGGAAATCCTATAGGAGGTGCTGCCACCAATGTACAATTTTCGTTAATTACCTCAATTGTGGCTGTTATCCCCTTAATGAGAAACATAACTTTACTTCTAAGCAGGCAGTGACGCTGGCAGAAAGTTGAAACCTGAAAATCAGCAGATACAGGGTTGCATATAACCCTTTCTATTGAAATTAAGCCACATAGAAAACACAGGGAGAGGACTCCAAATAGCTTCAGACAGCAGCCAGCCATGCAGGGCCCTCACCAGGCACCGGATGGACGCTCTCTGGACTCCTCAAAAGAGGCCCAAATCACAAGTGCTCATTTCAATAACATAAGAAAATAAACATGGGGCTTATTTATAGCACAGGAAAGGGACTGGGGCAAGAGAACTGCTCATTTGGTAATCCACCCTGACGGGGCCAGATAGGATCCAGACCCCCAGGCTCTCTGGTAACACGGTAAGCAGAAATAGGGGCCGGAAGAGGGCTGGCTGCCAGCATCACCAGGTACAATCTGGTAAACGATCTGGTTAATAAAAGGGGAAGAGATATGATACATCATTCCATCTCACCAACTCAGGCATAAGTGCTCTTGCTGTCTCCAATTTCTGGCTGAGGAAACTAAGGCATGGTCAAGGGAAGTCACTGTGAGAAAAGGACATTTTAAAGCTTCTTGCATCCTCCATACATTGGAGAAGATGGGGTTAATGGAATCCTCATTTACAGCTGGGACTAAAACATACATGCTTAGAGTCCTGGGCCACTGATGGACTCACATCATCTTACCAAGCTCAAGAACTCCCACTAGAACTGGAGCTCAAGAACAGGATAGGGACACTGTCTTAGTCAACTCTAATTGCTATATCTCTTGGGCCTACCACACTGCCTGGCAAAGACAACATTTTCTCTTTTGAGACGGAGTCTTGCTCTGTCGCCCAGGCTGGAGTGTAGTGGCACAATCTCAGCTCACTGCAAGCTCCACCTCTCAGGTTCACGCCATTCTCCTGCCTCAGCCTCCCGAGTAGCTGGGGCTACAGGTGCCTGCCACTATGCCCGGCTAATTCTTTGTATTTTTAGTAGAGATGGGGTTTCACCGTGTTAGCCAGGAGGGTCTCGATCTCGTGACCTCATGATCTGCCCGCTTTGGCCTCCCAAAATGCTGGGATTACAGGCATGAGCCACCATGCCCAGCCAAAGACTACATTTTCATGAGAAAATGAATAGTTAGCATAACAGAATGACTGAATAAATGTTCTCTTCCCTCATCTGGATCAGTAACTAGTTGGTTGGTCTTCAGCTGTGCTCACCAGAAAACCAAATGTTCCTTGAGTTGATGCTTGGGTATAGTAGCCAATGATATATTTGCAGCTATAAGTAAAATTCCAAATAAATATATTCTAAAGGGAAGGTTCTATATGGTGGCAAGGCCTGACTGGTGGCTTTGGTCTAAGACATATGGATCCCTCCTCTGTCAGCCACTCCCACACCACCTGCAATTCCTGAGAGGTTGTCCACAAGATGGGGCTTTGCTGAGGAAGCCTCTAGCAGACACAGCTGCCTGGTACTTCTTGAGAACTACCTTGTCTTCTGTCTGATAGTTCTGTGCCTTTCAGGGAGAGTGGGAAGAGATGCAACCAGTGGTCCAACCAACTGAGAGCAGAAGAAAGGAAAAAGTGCTATCCTGGGCCAGGCATGGTGGTTCACACCTGTAATCCCAACACTTTGGGACGCTGAGGCAGGAGGATCACTTGATCCCAGGAGTTAGAGACCAGCCTAGGCAACATAGTGAGGCCCTGTCTCTCCAAAAAAATTAAAAGATCAGCCAGGTGTGGTGGTGCACGCTTTTAGTCTCAGCTACTTGGAAGGCTGAGATGGGAAGACTGCTTGAGTCCAGGAGTTTGAGGCTGCAGCGAGCCATGATCACAGCACTACACTCCAGCCTATGGGACAGAGTGAGACTCTGTTTCCAAAGAAAAAACAAAAAAAACAAAAACAAACAAACAAACAAACAAAAAAACTCTACCCTGAAATGGTTGCAAATGTGAAGAAACAAAATGCCAGATACAGATGCTGGTGACTCAACTATTTCTTGAAAAGGAAAGAGGCCTGGAAGCTTGGGAGAGGGGGCCAAACTTTCTCTGGTCATCTTCCCACTGTTGCCAGCAATGGTGAGCCGGAAATTGAAAGAATGACACAAGGTTGCCTGTACAGACCCACACACCCTCCCAGGAAATTGGGGAAGCTGGGCATCCCTAACAGTCCATTTAATGGAGGTGGAAAAGAGGCTGTGGCTTGAGCTTACAATGCCCTCACCCAGTCTTCAGATGAACTCACAGCTCCCACCCTAAAATGAGGGGGAAACATTAAAATTTAGAGTGGGTCTTGCCTGCCTGACTTTCCTCTGCCAAGATAAGCTCAATAAGGCCTGTTCACAGATGATGCATGGCTGGTATAATGGGACCAAATGCTGCCCTTGATTCTACTCAGAAGTAGAAAGTGGGTGAGTACCAAACACAGGCCGAGGACAGGAGGTCCAGGGCTTGGACAGAGCTCAGGGGTGAGGTGAGTAGGGGCAGGCCCCACAGGTTTCATATGCCTCCAGGCCCTGCAGTGGAAAGCTCAAGTTGCTTTCAAAGTCTCTCTGGATGGAAGCTGCTGCCAATATGGTTAACACTCCTGCCAGAACTGCTCCTCAGGAAGTGGCTGGAGGAGACATGGGGCCAGTTTAGCATTCTCTACTCTGCCTCTCTGTGCCAGGGCTGCTTGGGGAACAGCCCACTGTGGCTTCTCTTGCTGCAATGGAAGAGTACCCGAGCCAAGAGAAATGGAAAAAGCAGCATACCCCCAAAGGAGCTACAAAGCAAAGGAAACACACCAGGCTCATGATGGGTGGCTGATGGGAAGTCTCCAACACCCAAAGCCTTTACTCTATCAGCTGGGTCCTCACAGGATCTAACTGCAGAGCTAGGAAGAGCCTTCCCAGAACCCAACCACTTCCCAAACCCAGTCTCTGCTTCATCTACTTTCTGATTACTATCTTGGCTGAAAACTATCAAAGGTTCTTGGATTTTAACCTCAAATCAACTTCAGAACCTGTGGCTAGAAACGTGCTATCTTTCAGTGATAAAGACGCTCTAGTTTCCTCCTGGCATGGTGCCTGTCAGAGGCTATCATCCTAGAAGGAAGCTAGGATCACAGGGTTATTAGCAACATCTTTGGCCAATGAGAGCAAAGAGGGAGCTTGTCTCTTCCAGCTCCCAGTCTGCGTCAGCACAGACCAGCATGATGGTCACTATTTTCCAAAGGCAGCAGAGAAACCAGCACTTAAAAACCACAAGTTCAAAGCCCAGCTGGAAGTAGATGAGGCTTTGGCAGAGAAACCAGGGTGGTCAGAGCTTTGAACTTGATGACACTGAGTAAAGGATACAGTGGCTGAGCGTGGGGACTCACGCCCGTAATCCCAGCACTTTGGGAGGTCAAGGCGTGCAGATCACCTGAGGTCAGGAGTTCGAGACCAGCCTGGCTAACGTGGTGAAACCCTGCCTCTACTAAAATTACAAACAAATTAGCCAGGCGTGGTGGCAAGCGCCTGTAATCCCAGCTACTCAGGAGGCTGAGGCAGGAGAATCACTTGAACCTGGGAGGCGGAGGATGTAGTGAGCCGAGACCATGCTATTGTTGCACTCCAGCCTGGGTGACAAGAGCAAGACTCTGTCTCAAAAAAAAAAAAAAAAAAAAGGATACAGCAGAGCATCACTGGCAGGAAAGAACACAAGATTCTGACAACTAAAGTTGCTGTTTTTCTCTTTAATTCTCCCAGAAAAGGAGGTTTATACCTAAATGTGTGAGGGTTGGTAAAATACATGAGATAAACATTTTAACAACTATGTAATGTTAATCAGCAAAATAAAAAAGTATTTCCAGCCCTGGCATTCCAAGCAGGCCCATCCCAGTTAGGCCCCTGGGGGCAAAGCCAGTGGCTCAGTGTGCACTTGGGCCAGGGCCAGTTCAAGTTCGTCTTCTCTATAGGCCAGTAAGATGTGTTTCTTTAAAAAGATTTCTTAATCTAAAACCAGCTGTTGTCTGCTGTAGGCCAGAACACGACATTTTAATTAGCATGATTGTTCTGCTTCTGAAACCAGGCTCTATGGCATCCCGAGGACAGATGATCCTGACCTAAGCTTATGGGTGAGGTTTGCTGGTTAGCAGCTCAGAAATACACGAACAATAAAGTGGAGTCCCTAGCCCACTCTGAATCCATGAATCGCCATCACCTGCTATATCCCTGTCTTGAATTTCTACGGTGACTGTACCACCTATCTGTTCATAGGGTAACATCACCTTTGAGGTTGTTTCAAGTGCCTAGGATATAATGCTCCTTCTTTAACATAAATTGTTTTATGCTGTGTTGCAAGATCTAACACCCAATATTCCTGGGAGTAATGAGGTACTTTAAATGGAGTTGTAATGCCTTTAAAGTCCAATGACTCCTATGACGATGATAAAGTCACACAGCTCTCTAGGGCTCACAATGAACTCAGATGAAAGAGTTCCTCTTCCCAAATCAAAGGACTCTCAAGATTTTAAAAAATAAAAATTTAAAAATGTACCCTTTGGGAGAGAAGCTGCATTAGAAACCAGCCACTAAGGTAGTGCATTCGATGATGAGCAAAAGGGCAGAAATTTGAAGAAACCAGGGCAATATGACACATACACAATGCCAGCACAGTCCATAGCTTTCAGCAGAGATTTCAATGTAAGACCCTCCCCTATACCTGCCCCACATCTTGGAAAACAAACTAGAAAACCCCTAGAAAGATTAGAGGTCCTCACTGTGCTTGTCAGCCTCTGGTACCTGGGTGACAACAGAAATATTTTTCCTGGCTTTCTACCATATCGTCCCCAATATTATGAATACATGAGACCAAAATGCTTTCCCATGTCTCCTACTGACCAGTACACATTACCCAAATCAAAAGTATTTGGTAAGCACCTGTGTTTGCTGCTGTCAGAAACTGAAAAAAATCACTTCAGTTTCTGCATTTGCAAAATGAACATCTGCAGCTTCAGTTTCTGCATTTGCAAAATGAACAAACTGGATGAGATGATCGCTTGCCCCCTTTGGCAATAATAGTCCATGATTCGATCACTTATTCAAATGAAAGAAGACAAAACTCTTATGATTTCCACTTCCAACTTTGCTACTTCTGAAACTTTCTTTGACCTCTCAAAGTCTGGGGAACACATCTGAAGTGACTCTTGATGAAACTACAGCATAATAACTGCCCACCTTCATGTCACTCAACAGAACAATGGATGGTGTATGACTGACGCTGACTGGCAAAACAACTAGGTTTCTGTAATTATATCCATATTCTAAGCAAATTGTTATGTATTTTGTGTTTTGGGGACATATGTTGTGGCTAAAGCCCAAACTGTGGCTAATCTTAATATCAGAGCCAGATAAATCTGTTTCGAATCCATAACATTTAACATTCGCCAGGGTAGATTTGTTCATCAACTGGGCTTAAAGAGGTATAATTCACACATGTGCAGTATTAGTAAATGCTGAAATTTAATGATTTAAATATACCAGCAACTGTTGCAAAGCAGTTGTATAGCAGCATTTAACGTTAGCCAGAACCTCCCTGGCTAATGTTAAGTTTATACCAAAAGAATGAGAGAAATTTTGGCATCCCCTTGGGATGGGGGTCACAATTCCCACAACTTTTACGGGTACCAGCTAGAGCGACTCCTTGCATGGCTAGTACAGACCCTCTGTTTTTCTCTGACAATACCTTTAAAACATTGACTGGATCTAATCAGGAAGCAAACAGATTCCTCTGGAGGTTTCTGAGTCATCTGTTCTTAAAATGGTTATGATTTGGGACCTTCTTACGCTTGATGCAGAGGGTATCAGACATTCCTCCTGGCGTGTGTTCCCAGACATGGGCAGAAGACTGTTGTCAGGCCAAAGACGGAGTTAAATATATCAAGGGAGAAAGGTGGTTCCTTGGACTATCAGGAATTGGTGTTTAAGACACAGTAGAAAAAGGAATAAAAAATAATTTTAATCATATCAAAAAGCCAAACCAAAGAGGAATAGCTCATGGAACTGACAGGATCCTGACTCAGCGGCTGGTGCTCTTCCTGTGCACAAGCCCAGCACTCCAGGTCCCAAGGCATTTATCAAATCCCACCAAGATGTTTGGCTTTTGCACCGAATTCTGGGTTTGGTTCCCTGAAAGAACTCATTGATGTAAATAACTAAAAGTGAGGTCTGGGTACCCTTTACATGATTCCCCAGACCTCAAATGGGCTAACACGCTTCTCTTCTCCAGCAGTCTTCCTGTCCGTGAAGTTTCCTTCCAGATTGTTACATGGAACTGAAAACAAAGGGAGCCTCAGCTGGATTTAAATCTGGAGCATGCCACAAAGTCTTCCACTTGGCATTTTCGAGAAGAACCCATCAGAGATCATAAGAAATACAAGAACAGAGGTTGCATAGCTCGAGGTGCTTGGATATTCATTCTAGGTTCTTGTTCTTGAGAAAGTGGGTTAGGTGGGTGCATGCCAAGATCCAAGTAGGTCAACCTTCCACCCTTAACCTACTACTCTGACATCAGAGTGCTGGGAGGCCTTGTTCTCTCCCTCTGTCCCAGCCTCACATTCAGACCTCCACCAATGACACGTTTCATAAGCTGCCAATGTTGGGGAAGCTCTTCAGCTTCTCAGGAAAGTCATCTTTGTACAGGACAGGGTCAGCTCGGTGTTCCACCACCTTGAGAGGCATGGTCCCGAAGACTGAAGCAAACTTGTTGATGCACTCTGACCTGTGGGATTTGGAGAGGAGGTGGGGAGGAGGGGTTTGAGCAGAATGAGAAGGATGGGGGCAGGGAGAAAAGATAGTATGTTCAAGAGGTTGAGAGATAACAGCAAAATACATAATGTTCAACATCAACAAAAAAAGCTCAAGTAGCCACAGTCTGCTCCCAGGTTCTTAAAAAGGTTGACAGGTGTGGAAAAAAGCGGTGAACTGGGGGTACTTGGACTATTAGTTCAGTGGGAGAACGTGAACAGGAGATGCTGCTTGGAGGCCACGGGCCTGCAAAGGTCAGAGTATCTTTTCCCCTCCCCCTCAAATTCCAGTCATTCCTCCAGCTCAGTGTGAGAGGGCCTCAAACCAAGGTGGATTAGCTGCCAACAATTCTTAACCCCATCTCTGCCAGCTAAGAGAAGGCAAAGGATGGAAAGAAAAAAAACTACTTGGATCTGAGCTTCAGTTTACTGAAGTTTAAAAGGCAGAGGAGAGATCTTGCTCACAAAATGATGAAAGGCAAAAAAAAAAAAAAAAAAAAAAAAAGGTGACAGGGCCAAATTTCAAACAATAAACACTTCATTCATTCAACCAACATTGACAGAGGGCCTGTAAGTGGCAATTTCTGGGAATTATGTCAATCTGCACAATCTTCTGTGAAAGCTGAAGTTCACATAGGACAGCCTTCATAATTTTCATCATTTTTGTCACTCCCATGTCAGAACTTTTAGCAACAACTACTTCAGTGCCAGTGCAGCACAGCACCGCCAGAGGAGGGGAGAGGCTGTCTCCCTATCTCCACCTCACCCCCAAAGTCAGCCTTCTCAGAGGTGAGCAGGTCAGGCATGTGTTCGGGAATGGCTCTGGTCAATCAGGCCAACTGAGTGTGACAGCTGGGTAATGAGGACGCTTCAGCATTAGGCCAGAGGGAAAACGCCTGGAAAAGCTGCTTTTGAAGTCAAGGGGACCTCAAGGATGGATTTCAGAAAGGTCAACACTCTTGCCTCAGTCGGGCCCAGGACATCTGAGAGCACTACAAAAAGAACAAACTTCTCTCTTGGTCATTATGTTTCTAAAAAAATTTGTTATTATTTCATTTTGAGCTTTTAACTCATAACATCATCATGTCCACCAACACCACAAAGCAACAACTACCATTTACTGTATGTTCCAAGCTGTGTTAAAATTGCTTTCTATGCATTAATAATGCATTTAATCCTCACAACAACCCTATGGGGTAGGACTATCATTCCCATTTTATAATGGGAAGACTGAGATACAGAGAGGATAAATAACATGTTCAAAGGTCAAATAACTAGAAAAAGCTAGAGCCAAAGCAGGCATTCTGGCTTCTGAGGCAAAAGTCTTAATTAGATGATACAAATGTACTTATTAACACAATTCTAGGGTCCAATGAAGGGGACTGGAAATTAACAACTGCTGAGCACCTATTATGTGACAGATAATTTACATACATATCTCATGGATTGCTTAAAGTAATCCTCCCCCATACTCATCACCCCCCTTGCCCAACTATTGGGTGTATAGTAGCCTCATGTTATGGGTTAAGAAATTAAGGTTCAGAGAGGTTAAGTAACTTGCCCAAGGACCCAGGGGTAGAATGTGGTGGAACTGGGTTTTAAACTCAGGTTTGAGCTGGCAATAGAGCCTGCTCTTTGGATCACACTCTACCATTACATGCCAGTGACTGAGTGTCCCTCCTGCTGGAAGTCTTTTGAGACTCAGGAGGTGGTGTTCCTAGTTCCAAATTGAAGGGAGACTGGGAAAAGATGGATGAACTTTAACAAAGTGAGGTGGACCAAGCGTGGGACAACAGCTTCCCTCTCTTCAAATTATGGGGTCAAAGCATGGCAGATAAAATCAAATCTCTCCAAGGTTTTACTTTTGACTGTTGTTCCGCCTGTAAATATGTCCAGATTCTTCTCATTTCTAGTTATGCATACAGACTCTGGCCGGCAAAGCCCAGCTGTTCCCAGCATAGGTACTAGCAAGTACGTATTAAAGAAGAATCCTGGTTCTTGGCAGAGGATAGCGGTTCCAAGGCCCTGTAGAGAGTATTGAGGACAATGTCTCCTCTGTAACTAGATCCGCCAACAGGAATGGGTCATAGGCAAGAAGCCACTGGGGCTCAGGCCAGCTTGATTTGTTGACAGCTGCCCCTGGCTAACCCAAGTCTAGTGAGTACTTCTTTCTCCTTCATACAGGCCCACACTGGAGAAGCGGCAGGCCTCCACTGAATGGTCAAGGTCCTTAACTCTCCTGCCAGGTAATAACAGTGCTTCCTACTTTTTCACACAGGGGGTCTGGGTTGGAGAGCAGGTTAGGGGAGACAGGACTTTGGCTGGTTGCCGGTGGCCCACATGAGCTGTTGTCAGGGGTCCAGCTACCATGTCAGTAACCATTCTCCTGTGTTGGTTTTCCAATCAAGTATAAACACACCAAGAACTGCCAGTGACTCTCTCTGAAGTGATGAAGGTGTCTGGGGAAGAAAGAACTAATGGTTTTCTATTTTCCTTTCAAACACATACCATTACTTAAAGTAACCAGGAGTCTTTAGGACTAACACTGGGGAAACCGGGAAGGAAACTAACATTCCCAGGCCCTGTGCTACAGGCTTTCATGTATCACTACTTCATTTATCACTACACATAACAGCTTGGGTATAAAGATGCTCAATAAATATTTGTTGAACCTATGAATGGACATTGTAATTTGACAGATATTAATATCCCTATGTTAGGAGATGAACAGATTGAAGTTCGGATAAGGTAAAGTCAATTTCCTTAGGTCAGACAGCTAATAAGTGTGGCAAACTCATCATTTGAATAAAGATTAGCCTAATTCAAAATACTATGTTCTTTTTTTTAAGTCAATACTGTCTGCCCGTCATATTGCCCTAACCTTGGTGAAGACACTTGTCAAAATGAACAGCGACACATGCTTCTGACTCTTAAAGAACTAACAGCGGATCCTGGAAATGGAAGCTGGGTAGTAATGGAAGCTACTCTCCTATACAACTGAGATTTCTGATCCCAGACCCCCAAATATAGGAATAAATGAGCTACTGAACCACAAAACCCAACACAAGGTCACACACACTTGTAAAGTGGCTAACTGCTTTCATTGTTTTGCATAAAATGTGTATTCTGCAAAGATTATTATTAAAAATAAAACAGCTGGGCATGGTGGCTCATATTTATAATCCCAGCTACTCAGGTGGCTGAGGCAGGAGGCCTGTCTGAGGCCAGGAGACCAGCCAAAGACAGGGGGAGGGAAGAGGAAGGAAGGATGTATTCTACAGTTGTAACATCATCTCTTTATCTACCCAAGATGGCTTAACTCATGTCTTCTTCCCTCCCTATCTAAATGCCTTATTTAATAATTCAGTGACTCAATTTTTAATATAAATAGTTTTGTTCCCAGTTGCTAATTTATTTCCATATTTGTTTCCTTCTATTCTCTGTTAAATTTCTCAAAAGCATAGTTTACATTCACTAACTCTACTTCCTCACTGTCGACTCATACTCTATAACCCTTTGGCTTCATACTCTATGACATTATTATTATTTTTTTACAGATAGGGATTTTGCTATGTTGCCCAGGCAGGAGTGCAGTGGCTATTCACACAGGTGCAATTGTAGAGTGATACTGCCTTGAACTCCTAAGCTCAAGTGATCCCCTTGCCTCAGCTTCCCAAGTAGCTGAGACTAGAGGTGCCTACCACCACCCCTGGCTATTATTTTTGTAAGGTACCAACAACCATTGAATTCAAAGACCTTCTCCAGCCTGCCTGTTCCTTGTTCCTTCCATGCTTCTGAGCACTGTATATCCTGGTTCTCTCCTGGCTTTTCCAGTGGTTGCCTCTCTGTTTTCAGTTACTCTTTGTGTCTCCTAAATGCCAGAATTTCCCAAGAGTCTGCCTTTGCTTTTCTTTAGTCAACTGCTGTCTCTGGACAGATGACTGCCAAATACAGTTAGCCATCCATATCCAAGGGTTCCATGTTTGTAGATTCAACCAACCTTGGATCAAAGATATCTGGAAAAAAACTGCATCTATACTAAACATGTACAGAGTTTTTTCATGTCATTTTTCCCTAAACAATGCCATGTAACAACTATTTACATAGCATTTATGTTGTATTAGGGATTGTAAGTAATCTAGAGATGATTTAAACTATAAAGAAGGATATGCGAAGGTTATATGCAAATCCTAGGCCATTTTATATAATGGACTTGCGCATGCGTGAAGATTGGTATCCTCCAGAGGTCCTGGGACAAATCCCCTGTGGATACCGAGGGATGACTGGGCTCAACATTTTTTTTTAAAGTTCTTTCTGAAATTCTAGTTCCACATATCTATATCTTGATATACATACATAAAAGTATATACAGAGACTGATTTGAGTAATAATAAAACTCTGGTCTTCCAAAAAAAAAAAAAAAAAAAAAAAAAAGCCAGGCAGGGTGGTTCATGCCTGTAATCCCAGCACTTTGGGAGGCCGAGGTGGGCGGATCCTGAGGTCAGGAGATCAAGACCATCCTGGCCAACATGGTGAAACCCTGTCTCTACAAAAATACAAAAAATTAGCCGGGCACGGTGCCACGTGCCTGTAGTCCCAGCTGCTCGGGAGGTGGAGGCAGGAGAATCACTTGAACCTGGGAGGCGGAGGTTACAGTGAGCCGAGATTGCACCACTGAACTCCAGCCTGGCAAGAGAGTGAGACTATGTCTCAAAAAAAAAAAAAAAAAAGTATATACAGAGGGAAAGACCCCCAAATCACATATCTTATTATTCTCCAACTTCACCCCTGATTAACATCACCTCCTGTCCCCATTAACGACACTGCTGAGGTCCAGCAGTTCACTCTAATCTCTCCCCTAATCAGCATCTCCTCCTAAACCTATTACACTGCTGAAGGTACTACTACCACTCAAAATCTTAAAGGTATGTTTGTCAACTCCTTCTTCATAGCCTCCCCACATCTCTTCAGTTGGAAACCAAGTTCAGGTACATCTCCCTTTGGGAAAAAAAAATCTCTTGTAATTTAATTTGTTCCTTCCTTTCCACATGCAGCTTAGTTAAAGGTTCTAACTAGTCTTTTCTCCAACCTCTTCACTCTTCATTCCACCCTGTGCATTACTTCCAAATTAATCTCAAAGCAATACTTTGATCCAGCTAGTCTCGTGTTCGAAAATTCTATAGCTTACCAGAGCCTGAAGGAAAAAAAAATCTAGCTCCTTATTTGGGGATTCAAAGCCTTTTGGAGTCCAGCACTAATAGGCCAGCATTCTAAGCTCTCCAAATTGGGCTTCTTCTTGTTGAACTTGCTGATCAGGCACCCTTGACAAACCATTCAGTTTCCACTGCTGAGAGTCTCTGATTCTGGCCCAGGGTTTTACTAGTTGGGATCCTAGTGATTTTTGAAGGATCACTTCAAGTGTCACCTCTTTTAGAAAGTTATTCTTAACAATGAACCTAGCAAAAAGTTACTTCTCTTTCACCTGATCAGTTACAGCCCTTTGAGCCTCTCTCAGGGCGCTCATCACAAATTGCATTGTTACATATACATGTAACACTGTTAAGGTCCTTGACACTGTTAAAAGTCCAACAGTTCGCTCCAATCCCTCCATCAGCATCTCCTCCTAACTATACATCCTACATATCATAACATATCCTATCATGCCTATAATCCCAGCACTTTGGGAGCCCCAGGCGAGAGGATACCTTGAGGCCAGGAGTTCAAGACCAGGCTGAGTAACATGTTGAGACTCTGTCTCTACAAAAAATTTAAGAACTAGTTAGCGTGGTGGCACGCACCTGTAGTCCCAGCTACTCAGGTGGCTGAGATGAGAGGACCACTTGAGCCTAGGAGTTCAAGGTTGTAGTGAGCCATGATTGTATCACCACACAACAGAGCAAGATCCTTTCTCTTAATAATAATAATAAAAAAGATCTTCCAAAGAGGAAGCCTCCATATCTCCCTTAGTTACTCACTCCAGTGTTTAATAATAATTATATCTAAATTAAATCTCCCTACTGCATTTTTTTCTTTTGAGATGGAGTTTCACTCTTGTTGCCCAGGCTGGAGTGCAATGGCACGATCTCAGCTCACTGCAAACTCCACCTCCCAGATTCAAGTGATTCTCCTGCCTCAGCCTCCCAAGTAGCTGAGATTACAGGCATGCGCCACCACACCCAGCTAACTTTGTATGTTTTTTTTTTTTTTTTTTTTTTTTTTTTAAGTAGAGACGGGGTTTCACCATGTTGGTCAGCCTGGTCTTGAACTCCTGACCTCAGGTGATCCACCAGCCTTGGTAACCCAAAGTGCTGGGATTACAGGAGTGAGCCACCACACCTGGCTCTCACTGCATTTTAAACCTCTTTACATTTGTTAAGATCTCAGTAGTGCTAGAGGAGTTGTTTAGCCTCAGCATGAACTTCAAGGCCACCATCAGGTCAACTTTTCTTCCTATACTTCCTTTCCTGGACCATATATCCGATACACCATTTTAACTCAGCCCTATTAATGACCACTTAGCTTACTGTTATGAATTTTCCCCAACCACAGACAATGGGGTAGGTTTAAATAACAATTTCTTGTACTCCAATAGAAGTTCAATTGGGGTCTCTTCCAAAGGAGCTACGACAGTGTATGTCACTACCCTTAACTGTGAAATACTTATGATACCAGTGATAATATATTATTTCACATCAACCAGTGATAATATATTATTTCACATCAACAGCTGGTAAAGGTCATGTCATCTGGGTAATGTTTATACATGAAAAAGATAAAGAAGTTATTTAGAGAGTAAAACATTATAGAAGCCAGGCCAACTGAAACAACTTTCTGCACACACACACAAAAATTCTCTAGGCTTGAAGAATTCTAATATAGCTGACAGATTTCAGAAATGAATTCTGCAAGCAGAGGCATATGAGATCTGTGAAATCTGAACTAGATATTTCATTCTAAAAGGCTACTATATCCTTATCTGAGTGCATTTTGGTCCCCTGACAAGCACTACTGGGATGTCAGAGTTTGCTGTCTTGTATAAATAATTGTCTTCTGAAAGTACTAGGCTTGATTCAGGCACTTCAAAGCTTGGGGACTTTTGGGGCACAAGTGAGAACTCTTAGGTCTAGTATAGTCTTAACGGAAGACATACATCTCCCACTCTTTTAATTCTTACCTACAAGGCCTAGGATTACATTCCACACAAAGGTGTGCTTGTTGAGAAACTGACTTGAATCGAAATAAAGAGAGTATTTCAGAGCTGTCTTGCCCCTCTGTCTGTAATATGAGGGCTTTGCTTTCGATCCTGTTCTTGGCAGGCATTTCCATAGTGTCAGCAAAGGTAATTTGTCTCTGGTGGGTTTGGTTTAATTCTTTCTAATCAAGCTTTTACTATAACGTGGAGCTATTACCCTGAAAAATAATCCAGTATTTCCTTGGAATTAACTAGCTTCCACTCAATGACTGTAGATGGTTAACTGCTTAGTCCACATGGAGAATTTGGCTTCTGGAGCTTAAGGCCCACTATATTTTTAAGACCCTTCCAGCCATTACAAATTGAGTGAGTAGCATTCCAAATTAATTCTTTGGGTGACCTGGGCTTGAACTAACCCAATTCCCACAGTGCACATGGAGGTGACTATGGCTACCAGCTGCTGTCCTTATATCTCCAACAAAGCCCCATAAACAGGCCTAAGGCAGGAAATAGAGATCAGAGGCTAAGGCGCACTTTTGGTTGGAGGCTCACTTACCTCTCCACCATGTGTGTTTGGTCTAGTGAAAGCCCATCTATGGCTGTGCACTCAGGACACTTGAATTTCTTTCGTGGGGTTACCTGCCAGAGGAGGACAAAAACATACCTGGCTGTCAGTGTCAAGGACAATAAAATCATGCTTGTGACACCACACTGCATTCTTTTGTGTTGTAAGCTGAGATGTTGCATGCGCGTGCACACACACACACACACACCTCGCCATTCCTCCATTCAACTCTGTCTGGCTCAGCCAACGGCAGAACTCACAAGGGCCCAATAAAAAAGGCTTGGAGGGCTTTTGCCTTCTGTAACTGGAAAGAAGTGGTGATGACAAGCTCCTTAATTCCTGTTTAATGACTGTTTTCTCACTGCCAAGGTCCTTGTATAAACACCATTTGTTCTTGTAGCCATAAGGGCGATGAAATACAGCTTCCCATAACTTTCACCGTAACCTTAGTTCCAACAGGCGCTCTTTCTCCTCTTTCCAGCTAATGGCAAATGCTATGAGCAGCACCATGCTCTTGAGGATGCCAAGCTATTTTGCAATTCCCTTGAGTCAAGAAAAAAATTGAATCGTCCCTCATACTCTGAATCTTTTTCCCTGACTCCCCACTACACTCTCAAACCTTAACTAGCGATCTCCCTAGCAAACTCAGGGGAAGCTGCTATCCCAACCTAGTGAAGATAAATAAACAGTGAAGAGATGGAAGGGAAAGAAAGCTAGATAACTAAGTCTAGGCTAAGAAGCATAGAGACACTGGGCATTACTGTCCAGAGTAAGCAGCCACAGCTAAAAACATGTTGAAGCATGTTAAAAAGCAAATTTGGGGCCAGGCACAGTGGCTCACACCTGTAATCTTAGCACTTTGGGAGGCCGAAGCGGGTGGACTGCCTGAGCTCAGGAGTTCAAGACCAGCCTGGGCAACATGGTGAAATGCCGTCTCTACTAAAATACAAAAAAAAAATTAGCCGGACATGGCGGCGTGCACCTGTAGTCCCAGCTACTCAGGAGGCTGAGGCAGGAGAATTGTGAATTGCTTGAACCCAGGAGGCAGAGGCTGCAGTGAGCCGAGACTGTGCCACTGCACTCCAGCCTGGTGACAGAGCAAGACTCAGTCTCACCAAAAAAAAAAAAAAAAAAAAAAAAAGCAAATTTGGGGATGGGAAGGGTCCCTTTAAAACAACTCTCACAATTTATGTTATTTAATTTTTTTTGTGGTCAGCTGTTCACTGAGTTATTTAGAGAGCTGGGGGACAGGGTGTGAACTGGGGCAAGTTTGGTGAGCACAGATAGTGATTTTTCCTATTCCCTATACACTTTGGTTTAATCTGGCTTCTCTTATCAATTAATAGCATAAGGAATCAATGGATAATGCTGTACCATGCTTCCAGCATAAGCTCACCTAGGAATTTGGCTTTCTAGGCAGATTGCTAGGGAACCTGGCATTGCCCATTTTAACACACAAAATTCTAATCTAGAAGCAAAAAAGACCAAGATGATTCTACTCATATAAAGAAGTGTACCTTCTCTACATATCTAGGGATCTTATTTGAGCAATGTCTAAATTTCAGGAATAAACAGGCATCTTTTACAGATACAAAAGCCTCCCATAGGATCTTTGTGTATTCTCAGCTTTTAATATGTTATGGGAAAGGTACTTTTAAAAACTGGTAATTGATATTTAAAAGCAATTAAATTCGTTGTGTTTAGGACAGCTACAGTTACATAACTGTATGAGGTGTACTATTTTCTCAACATCTATTAAAAAAAAAACCAGCTACCTTAAGAAAAATTTAAACTACATCCTTTAACTAAAAGAACTAGAACCCATATCAGCTTTGAGAATATAATTTTTTGATTTATAGACTGATCATCATAGCCTTTATTCTGATACTGAAGGTTAAAAACTGCAACTAAAGAAACTGTATAAAAAAAGAAAATATGTTTAAATTGTCAAAGCCTAGCTTCAATTTCCCAATGTGACCGCATCAATCATAGAACCTTAAACTAAAATAGAGCTTAAAGTTTATCTAGTCCTATATTTAATTTATAGTTACAAGAACTTCCTAGGCTCAGATAATAGATATTTGCCCAAGATCACAAAGCAAGTGAGTGGCAGAGCCTCCTACCTTGATAACTGCTTTTCCCGTGACGTTGGCCACCAGGAAGTTCATGGCAATATCTTCACAGTTCATATGAGCATCTACCCAGTTCTTGATATCCCCAGGCATTTTGTAGGTATACAGGTAATTAAAATACTGTCAAGTGAGACAGAAAGAAGAAATATTCAAAAATAGCAGTTCCCTTTAGCTGATAAATAAGGGGCAGCATAGCCAAGGCATGGGGACAAGCTTTCTCTCATAAGATTAATCACAAGGCTGTATTAATAGGAAGGGTAAAAGGAGGCATTAGAATGCTTTTGGTCAAGTGACCAAGCATGTTCAATATGGTCATTTTCTACCAAAGTGTGTGCTTTTTAAAGTAGAAGAAAAATGAGGCAATTCTAAAACTACCATATATATGAAATAGTGTAGAAATTATTGGGTCAAAAAAAATAAAGCATACATAGTCTACTACTGTAAATCCCATGAATTGTAAACCTTAGTTTTTGGGTTTTTTTGTTTGCTTATTACAAAATAAAAAAACCCATTTCTGGATCTAGAGACCTGAAAAATATGAGGGCAGTAGTGCTGAGCTAACAACAAACAATCGATATGAATACAGCTAAATTAAATTAACTGTGTTGAGCTGAACAGACCTTTCTCCCGACATCAGTTCTTTATGCTACTGCTGACAACAGACAAGTTATGATTGTTTAATTAAACCATATACTCCCAGGGAGCATTCTACTATTGAACTGAATATTCTAAAATCAAATGCATATTCCCCAATCTCTCCCTAATAAAAAAAGAGTCAAAAACACGAAGTGATGATTCCCAGAAGAGAGGAAGTACAAAAAGCTAATAAATACACAAAAGGAATTTCAGTCTTACTAGTAATCAAATCAAAGTTAAAACAATAAAATTCACTTTTACTTATCAAAATTGCTCATTTCTTTTCTATTAATCATATTTCATGCAAGAAAAGGCATGGTAAAACAGTTTTATATTTTGCTGGTGGGAGTGTAAATTTGCACAAACAATCCTGAAACCAACAGACACACACACACGTATACATACACAACATATATATGCTTAGAATATTCACAACATATATATGTATATGTGTATATATACATGTATGTACATACATCTTAAAAAACCCAAAATATTCATGCCCTTTGATATAATAATTCTATTTCTAGGAATCTATCACAATGGTCATGAGTACAAACAGTTATGAAAATGGACATCTATCACTAACATTAGATATTAAGCGTTATTTAAAATAGCAAAAATTTAGAAAGTAATATCCACGATAGCAAAATAGTTATACATGACTTCTAAAACATTAAGATAATGGTATCTTAATTATGCTAACAAGTAACTGTTTATGAAGAAATGTCAATGACATGAGAAAAGGCTCACAATACAATCCATGAAAAAGCAGGCTAATGAGAATATTTACAACTGTCTGTGTATACATACAAGTAAGTAAATAAATAAACGGCAAGCTGGAAATAGCACCTGAATGATAAAATGGTTATCTCGAAGTGACAGGATTACAAGTAACTTTTCTTCATTCTATTTTCATATTTTCTACTATGAGCGTGCATTACTTTTATAATTAGAAAAAGGATAGCTTTATTTGTAAAATACTGTCACACAATATGGCTTTTCTAAGCCCTCTTGGCAGGTATGAAAAATTAAATTGGGTCAAATAAAATGTGTATCATTCTCTCAGTTTTGTCACCTTGCCAGGACTGCGCCCCCTTACCTTGTGATAAAAAGCTGCCCCAGTGAGCACCATGGACACTTCATTCGTCCACTCAGACTCATACTTCCACTTATTCATCTCATGGTCCCAGAGATGCAGACGACCCGGGTAACCCACCAACCGGTCAGGAAATTCCCGCCAGACCTAAGGACAGACACATAATAACAATCAAGTCCCAATTCAGACAGCAACCATTCAGTGCTGAGTTATCCAAACAGGTATCAACAGACTTCCTAGGTTCAAACCATCATAACCTAAGAAGGTCATAATGGGATTCTGGAGATGTTCCATCAAACAGGTGTTAGTTATTCTGCCAAAACTCAAAGACAGATGCTGATTCTGACTTCCTCCCAATCTTCTTGTATATGCTTGGGAATTTCAATTAATGTGGGGGTAATAGCTTACTGAGTTGGGCCAAGGTAGGCAATCTCTTAACATATGATTAATGAAATAGGTTCCATTCTTAATGAATTCACAAAATGAAGGATAAATGGAACCCTGCAACTCAACTGCCCTGATTTGTATTAAATTGGTGATTATGAAAACTTATGATAAAGTCCCATTTCTTATTAAAAAAAAGCATCTATTTCTCTTGAGCATACACCATTCTTATGACCTACTGGAAGCCTAAAGGATAGAAGGGCTGTCTGATTCTGTAATCTGTAAAACAATGAAAACAAATACTTGCTTTCCAAATCTGGAAAGGTCCTTACATAAGAGCTTTGTTGGATTAAGCAGAATTGGGTATACTGGGGATGAGGAACTTCCAGTACCTTCTCCCATGTGTTTCTGTATAATTTAGTCTAACCTTGAAAAGATCCATACCATGAATGAGTATAACAATTTGTTGGCTAGTCTTGGTGCTTCTTCTCAGTCTCTGTTGCTAGTTCCTCAACCATCACCAGACTTCTGAGAATTCGGTCCTAGGCTCTATTCTCTTCTTCAAACTCTTTCTTTAAGTAGTCTCATCTAGTTTCAATCACTTTAAATATCATCAATAATCTGGTGACCTCTAAATTTATGTTTAGCCCCGAATGTTCCTAAGATAGCCAACCACTTAGTTAATATCTCCACCTGGATAAACAAACCTAACACGTCCAAAACATAAGTCTTGATTCCTTATCCCTAGACAAGTCATTCTCTCAATCTTCTCCATCTCAATAAATCATCCGGCCAGTTGCTCAAACCCAAAAGCTAAGACTCAGTCTTTATTCCTTCCTTTCCTCATGTTCAATCCATTAGCGAGTACTGCTGGCTCTTCTTCTATCTCTTACCACCTCTAGTGCCATTCCCTCTAGCCCAAACCACCACGATCTATCACCAAGATTACTGTGCTAGCCTTCTAACTTGTCTCCTTCGTGCCATTCTTGCCCTTCCAAAGCATCATTTGCACAGCATCCCTAAAAGGACCATTCCTAAAAGAATATTAGGGTATTCTGCACAGGGTAATTCAACTAGTGCATTCTATCCTATTTTATATCTATTTTAATATAGTTATTTTCATCATCGATTTCCCTAAATATATATAAAAGTCATATGATCATATGCCAGAGCAACTAGAGGCTTCCCCAACACACAAGTGTTGCTGAGTCCAGAAAGGACACTTCATGCCATTCCCTAGGGCAGAGCCAGTGTGTTTGGACCCTATGCCCTTTTCAGTTTCCTAGGGTTGCTGTTAACAAAGAACCACAAATTGGGGGGCTTAGATCAGAAACTAGTCTCAAGTTCTAGAGGTTAGAAATCTGAAAGCAAGGCGTTATTAAGGCCATGCTCCCACTGAAACATATCGGGAAATGTTTCCTTGCCTCTTCCTAGCTTCTGGTAGCTGGCTGTCAATCTCTGGCATTGCCTGGCTTGTAGATGCCTCACTCCAACCCTCCATCTTCACAAGGCCATCTTCCCCCCTGTGCAAGTCTATCTCTGTGTCTAAATTTCCCCTTTCGATAAGGACATCAGTCTGTGAATTAGGGGTCACCCTGACAACATTTTAACTTGATTAACCTCTGAAAATACCCCATTTCCAAATAAAGTCACATTTTGAGGTACTGAAGATCAGGACTTCAACAATTCAACCCATAATATCGCTCCCAAAATATTTAAAGAAAGGTCCCGCCCTCAAAACAAAACAAAATGGCTTCCTACTGCACTGAGAATAATATCCGAACTCCTTCACATGTCACAGAGGGCCCATCCACTCTTCACCTCTTCTCTCACCATGTCCCCTCACTCTCCAGTGGCCCTTCTGTTCTTCAGCCACCACTAGACCTCAAGCCCTCTGCACTTGCTGTTTCTTCTGGCTGGAGTGTTCTTCCAGCTCTTCCAAAGGCTTGGGTCCTTCTCATCTGTCAGGTCCCTGTTTAAATGTCAACTACTTTGAGAGGGCTTCTCGAACCTTCCTTGCTGAAGCAAACAGCACCCGCAACCAGCCACTCCTCGCTACACCCCTCCAACCTCATCCTTTTCTTTACCAAACTTTCACTTGCACCATTATATTGGTTATTTATTGTTTATTATGTATTTTCCTCTTGCAGAATTTAAACTCAAAGAGGACAGAGACTGTTTTATACACTGTGGTATTCCACGCACAAAGAACAGTGCCTGGTATGCAACAACATTCCACACACAGTTGTCTAACACACGAATGGGCAGAATCTCAGTGAGTAAAAAGCCAAGAATGAAGGGGACCAAAAATCCTTCTCTTTTCTTCAGAGAAAATATTTACCAGAGCCAGTATATTCCTTAATTCAGGAAGGAAGCCTGCAGCAGTACTGACCAGCAGTTACCATGAATAATAACGTGATATCCATTCTGTGTGAAGACCACAGTCCTAATTCCCCACTAAAGCACATGTTGTGACTTGTTTTTCCAGAAGCAGGTAAAGGGGCATTTTTGGTGAGACACTGCACTGTCTTGCCCAGTCCTCACTGTGACCATCTCCGTGTTTTTATGGAATGTCTGACCTAGGTCTTGGGCGTGGTCTGGGATCATGAAAAGAGCTTTCATTTGTGTGAAACCAGCTCACCTAACAGGGCTCTCAAACCCACAACCTTGGCTTCATTAACACTGTGTTGTAACCAACAGAGCTAATCGACCGCAGGCATCGTCATAATAGCTGCAGACAAATGAATCCATGTCAAACATTTTCTCAGACGTGTAATGCTGCTGCTGTGTTCTCTCTACTCTGGGATTTGTATTTCAGCAGATTAAAATAATATGATACTATTACAGTTTTATAGAGCCCAGAGCAGCAACACAGTATGTGAGCCATAACTTCTGTTTGTTTTGTGGGCCTGGGCAGATGCCATGAAATGTGCTGCCAGCTTCCTTTTCTCAGCACCAAGCACCTGCCTGTTCAAGTCACACCAATGCCATGATCACTGATTCATGGGGTTAAAGAGATTTCCGAAGGGCCCCAAGCACACATAACTAAACACCAGGGATGCCAAAGTGAAAGAAAAGGAGTAGGGCATGGGGAGGGGGCATCCAATTCAGTTGGCACTTCTGCTGAAGATGGAAGTTGCTTTTCTCCCCCTGTTTACTTTGAGTCAACACAGCTCTCTCCTCCATGCTAAGAAAAGTTCAAATCGCTTTCCCTAGGGATTCTTCTTTACAAGCCCCACTTTTGCAGCCATAATAATTACATTATTACTATTATTGGCTCAGTTGTCAAGTCCAATGCTGTTAAGATTTCGGTCCTCTTACTGTTGGCTGAAATCACTTATCAGACTCCTCTCAGGGACTTAATTTGGTGACAATGGGTCAGATACTAAACTATGCTGCTCTAAAAGGCATCAGAGGTGTCCTGAATTTCAGGTTGCTTTGGAGCCTTTATAGTGAGCGCTGTTCCTCATGCGGGGCCTCTCAGCCCTTGACTGATTCCAAGCAGCTGGATACAATCAAGATACCATCCTTGTCACTTAATCTATAACTCTGCAGCTGACTACAGGATCAAAACGGAGTGAAACAGAATGGGATGGGCCCTCTCTAATTGAGCCCTAGTGTAGTACGAAGTCGATTATGTATACAGTAAAGCATTTTCCCAGCCAGACGAGCAAGAGCTCAAACTCTACCCTGTCTCTTCATGGCTACCCACCCCTACTCTAATTCAACTTTTTTCCTTTTACCTTGGGGAAATGCTCTGGGTAAGCCTTTTGTCATTACTACCAAATGCCTTTATATATTGTGGTGTGGGCATTTGAAACTTCACAGAATATCCCTGGAGTTCCAGTAACAGTGCTTCCACAGTTATATTATTCACAAAGTCAATATTAAATTGTCTATACTGTTGAAATCCTCCATATATATAGTGCCCCCATCTATTTTAAATTGCACGCATCTTTGGGGACAGAAGCCTATCTCTGTTATAAAAAACTCTATGCCTAAGTTAGGGACTTAGCAATAATTTGGATAGTCCTTCCATTTGTGGCTATCCCACACCACTAGTCAAATGGGGATTGTAACAATGTAAGAACGTCCTCCAACTGTTTCTTTCCATTCTAATTTTTATATTTACATCATAGGGCTGTTGTAAGGATTGTGTGAAGTTGCATAGTAAGCATTCATAGGCTTCCATCAGACTTGAGATGTTTATTAACCCAACCTTTATGCTGGACACTCTTCCAGGTACTGGGGTTAAAGTGATGGACAAGGTATTCAAGGAGACTTCTCCCAAGGAGCTTACATTCTAGTGAAGGATCCTCAACACCTCTTACCTGTTGGTCCTCAACACCTCTTACCTGATTATGGAAATGTTCTGCTCTCTAGATTCTCAGCTATGCTTACTTGGCCATTTTCCAAGTTCTTCTTTCTTGAGCCTCCTGAGGTCTTTTGTCGTGTCCCATTACTATAGATAGGATCAAACAAATATCTTCTACCTTTGTGTAAAAGCCCACAGGGGGCAGCCTAGATTGAGTCTCACATCCTATAGAAAGTGGACCAGAGGCACATGGTTAAAGTAGGTCCAGGAAGCTCTGCCACTAGTGCATTGTGCAACTGACCTATTCAAGGTGTCTTGCTTCCATTTTGCCATCTATAAAATAAGGGATTGGATTAAGTGAATTCTGATGTCCTTTAACAGCTGAGATTTTTTATCTTCCTCCTCACTGACCTGTTCCCAGGGAACTAACCCACCAATTGTGATCTGTTTCAAGTTGTAAGTTTCTAAACAGCATGGGCTGCATTATCTAACTTTGTTTAAAATGCCATACACATAGAAGTACCCAATAAATGGTCCTAAAAAGAAGTTAATGCACTACCTTCTAAGCCAGCTTAGAGAGTGCATTTTAAACTCAGGGTGTGTGCTAACCGCAGTCAGATTCCGGAAACAGACTAGGGGGAGAAGGGGGAAGGTGTAACAACAGGTGGTGCCCATCTGGGACGTTCAGTTATGAAATCACGGGCCAGCACTAGGAGAAAAGCCACTCTGAAGTGGCTTCTACAGTCATCACACTGTCAAAGGCACAGTTCCACAGGGATATTGCTACTGGGTGAGCAATGTATCAGGACTCATGAACCAAGAGACAGACTAAGAAGTAGTGAGAGAAATGGAATTGGGGGTGCAGTCTATAGATCCAAGGCACATCAAATTTGGCAATGGCTTCATTTCCTTCCTTGCACACACTGCCTGAGTTTGGTCAATCCTTAACCATTAAAGTGCAACAGAGCTCTATGAACCAGCTCAAACCTTGCTGTCACATGGCTGGGTCAGCCAAGACAGAGCACAAGGAATCCAATATGCAAAAGCATCTTTGAATTAGTGGCCCTTCTTCCCTTCAGGCTTCGTCTTGCATGCTGCCCAGATGGGAAAGGGGCAGCTGGCTGGCTTCCAATTCCGAGCTGGTTTCCACAGAGGAGCCAGTTATAGGATTCACTCTCAGCCCTCTGGGAACAAAGCTCACCTTTTATTTTTGGAATTTCCTGAAATGAAGTGGAATGGAGGGACTGACTGCCTTCATTTTCAGCTTATGCTTTTAACTACAGTGGTAGTTGGCAGTTTTTGTCAAGGATGTGCTTTGAGAAAAGCCAAGGAGCCTTCATTCACTCCTGGGACACAATTCAATGCTGATACTAGCCATCTACAGCCAAGGAGCCCAGAAGTTGTCATGTAGAGTTCCCTAATGCTGACTAGTTTTGACAAACACATGGACAAACTGCATTATGGATTAAGATTTACCTGTGAGATCACTTTAGTCTGTCCGAGAGACCTTCCCAACCCCAGGCAGGAGCTTGCTTAAAATAAGCCACGCAGGAAAACCAATTACATGGGCAGGCTTCTGGGGTTTGGGCAGCATTCCCATTTGCTCCAGTCTGGCTAGAGGTTGGTACCTTGGTACTGGGGCACCTGATCTCCATTCTTTGCAAGTTATTTTTTAAGGCCAGGTGCCATGAAGATGGCAAAGAGACAGACTGGGGTTGGCCATAGTTGATAAAAAAATCTGTGCCATTAAATCTTTCAATAATTACCACTACTAGGAAGATACTGCCAAAGAAAGTGTCTTTAAACATGTGCCTCATCCTTGTATCTGTACCAGCTCACTGGACAGCATAACCATGAGCCTTCTGTGGATAATAAGAAGACTCACACTTTGGCAGTTGGAGCTGATGACCACTGTCCAAGCTATCTCAGAGATCTGCAACCTCAGAGATCATGTAGAAGGCAGAGGTGACTTGGTCCAGTTCCCTCATTGCACAGATGAGAAAACTGAGACCTGGAGAGACATGGTTCTCCCAAGGTTACAGTGCTGGGTCAAGTCTAAATTGGCCCGAACTCCCAGTCCAATCTTCTATTCATGAAGTCATCTGACTTCCTACTATGCTAATTCTAAAAAGCACCTTATTGTCCCCAAGCTCAGCCCCTCACCTGAAAACAAAGAAGTCAGATTATGATGTCAAAAACGACATTCAGGGTCAATGTTCTTCAGCTCTGTGGTGCCAGTGGCAGATATGAAGAGGGTCACAGGTGCCTGCTGAATGACCAGATTCAGAATAGAACCAGGTAGGGAGAGGAGGCAGGGAACACGAAAAAACCCTTTGCTCCCATCAGTCTTCATTTCTAAAAGCTACAGGCTCTTTGTGAATGTGGTTTCCATCTAGCAAAGAAAGCCATATGCTCACACCATTAAAAGAAAGAACTCCAGTCAGCTGTGCAGCAAACTAGTGAGACTCCACATCTGACATCTGAGGGCCTACTGGAACCTCGTAATCTGTGAGGCTCTGAGGCAGAGAAGGAAACACAAGCAAAAAGCAGCTAAATGAAAGATTAACCCCAAATACTATTTTTCATGAGGCAATGAATCTCTTGGGAGATAATAAGAAGGGAAGGAGAGATGAGAGTTTGAGGGGATGGGAGGAGGAGGAAGAGATGGGTCAGGATCAGGTCGTGGGTTTTCTAATTCTGTGCTCCCTAAGACCCAGTAAAGATGAAATCACTTTTATTTCCATAACCTCAGCTCCAGTGTGGGTCATACTATTTCTAAGTCTAATCTCAGGAGATTGCTTAATGAAGTTAAAAGGAGAATAGTCATCATAAGCCAAATGATGATTCTCTTTAAATCCTACACAACCAGTGGAAACAGAGACTTCAGTTTCTTATAAACAACTATTATTGGGCCTTCAAAATTTCAAGTTGATTTTGGTGAGGCTCAACTTAAATGACCAGGGATCAAAGATATTAGCTCTGTCCACCAAGGAGAAAATAAACTCTGCTTACTTCAAGTAGCTGCCCTGCTGACTTCCATCACTTGCAGTCAGGGACACTACAGCATATCCCCTTTGTTTTCTTATTACTGTGCAAAGGTACGAAATGACAGTGACCACAAACTCAGTAATTCTGGCTGGCTTCAAAGCATAAATCTGCTTCCCAAAACATTATTTAATGCGTTATTTCATCCTAGTGCCCTATATGTGTGCTTAAATCCCATAATCTCTTGGTGGAGAATCAAGCAGCAGAGGGACTTTTTCAGATTACTTATTTATTTATATCTCATCTATTTCCAAAAAATGATTTGGGGTCACTTATAATAAAAGGCAAAACTAAAGTCCAAAGTATCATAACAGATGATGTCCTCAATATTATTCAATATAAATATAAACACATATATCTAATATATGTACACATATATCTAATAAATATAGATATAGATATAGATAGATAGATCTCCAGATATACTCCATCTAGTTTTAAAATCTTAATTTTGATATTAAGATTCAGAAAAGGCAATCCAACATCAAGCTAAAGTCATACAAGTTTAGGGACGGAGAGATTTGAGTGTTCTTATTTTATTAATTCATTATGCATCTGACTCACAGATACTAAGCTCCCAATATTTTTTAAATTAAACATTTTAGTTTGAGATAATTATAGATTCACATGTAGTTGTAAGAAATAATGCAGAGAGCCTGTATACGCTTTACCCAGTTTCCCCCAACATCTTGCAAAACTATTGTATGACATCACAACATGAAATTGACATTGATAGAATCAAGGTACAGAGCATTTCCACAGCCACAAGGGTCCCTCCTGTTGAACTTTTAAGACACAATTGTCGGGCCAGGTGCAGTGGCTCACTCATGTAATCCTAGCACTTTGGAAGGCCGAGGCGGGTGGATCACAAGGTCAGGAGATCGAGACTATCCTGGGTAACACGGTGAAACCCCGTCTCTACTGAAAATTCAAAAAAATTAGCCGGGCCTAGTGGCGGGTGCCTATAGTCCCAGCTACTAGGGAGGCTGAGGCAGGGGAATGGCGTGAACCCAGGAGGCGGAGCTTGCAGTAAGCGGAGATCACGCCACTACACTCTGTCGCCAGGCGACAGAGCGAGACTCCGTCACAAAAAAAAAAAAAAAAGACACACAACTGTCTCCCTCCCTATCCCTGACTCCTGGCAAGCACCCATCTGTCCTCCATTTCTATAATTTTGTCATTTCAAGGAGGTTATATAAATGGAATCACACAGTATGTGACCTTTTTGGACTGGCTTTTTTCACTCAGCATAATTCCCTGGAGAATCATCCAAGCTGTTGTGTGTATCAGTAGTTTGCTCTTTTTATGGATGAATAATATACCATGGTATGCATGTGCCATAGTCTGCTTAACCATTTATCCACTGAAGGATGCCTGGGCTGATTTCAGGTTTTGGCAATTACAAATAAAGCTGCTACAAACATTCACATATAGGTTTTCATGTGAGCATAAATTATCATTCCTCTGGGATAAATGCCCAAATGTGTAATTGCTGAGTCCTATGGTAGTTGCATGTTTAATTTTATAAGAAACTACCAAAACTATTTTTCAGAGTGGCTATACCATTTTATATTTCCAAAAACAATATATGAGTGGTCCAGTTTTTCTGTATTCTCATTGGCATTTGCTGTTTGTATTTTTTTGGTTAACTTTAGCCATTCTTATAGGTGTGTAATGATATCTCATTGCAGTTTTATTTTGCATTTCCATAATAGTTAATGATACTGAACATCTTATTTGCCACCTGTATATCCTCTTCAGTGCAAGGTCTGTTCATGGCCTTTGCCCATTTTCTAACTGGATTATTTGTTTTTTCATTGTTGAGTTTTGAGAGTTTTAAAAAACATATTCTAGATGTTTAGCCCTTTGTTGGATATGTGGTTTGCAAATATTATCTCCAAGTATATAGCTTGTCTTTTTGTCCTCTTCACAAGGTCTTTGACAGAGCAAAAGTTTTACATTTTGATGAGGTCTCATTGGTCAATTTTTTTTTTTATGGATCATGCTTTTGGTGTCATATCTAAGAACTCTTTGCCTAGCCCTAGAGTCTGAAGACTTTCTCCTTTTTTCCTAAAAGTTTTATGGTTTCATGTTTTACATTTAAATCTGATTCACTTTCAGTTAATTTTTGCATGTAGTGTGAGGTCCAGGCCAAGGTTAAATTTTTGCCCATGGATGTCCAATCTTTCAGCACCATTTGTTGAAAAAGTCAGCAAGGAAAAGACCAGGACTTTTCCACTGAATATGGAATATGGAATCATACTTTGAACAACCCCTTACAATTCTACTGACAGGAAGTATATATAAATTCAATGTCCAAACACATTCAATTCAATAAATATTTATTGAGCAGCTACTATGTGTCAAGCATTTAGGCATACAGTGGTAAACAAGGCAGATACAATTCTTGCATGAATGGACCACACTGGAGAAGAGGCTTTCAATCAAGCCCAGATCTCTGCTGTGGATATATTTAGTGGCCGTGGTTGTGAGAAGTCAGTTTCTTCCTTCCCTCTCCAAGCACAGAGTGTCAACATGTGGTCATGACCTCCACCCAACCCCTGAAATCTTCAGCCTAAATGCTGGTTGGGAACCTAGAAATATTACTAGTAATGGTTGCCAACTCTTGATCTAAACCAGCCAACAGACAGTAGTAAATATATTTCATCATGATTAATGTGAACCCTAGGAACCAATTTTCATGCACCAAGAAATAAATATGATCGAGAGATGAGCTGTAAATATCACACTGATTAGTTTATCTTGCTTTCTAGAGACTTGTTTCACAGTTGTGACATTTCCAAGGTCTGGGACTACTCTGATCCTTCAAGTTTTCTTTCTCTTTATTCTCCCCAAATGTGGAATCACTATGTCTAATGCAATAGCAATCACCAACCACTGCCTGAAACTCACGATTTTGCAGGCAGTTGTACAATTTTGCAATGAATGGGTGCAGCTTCATATTCAGGAGAAATGATAGAGCTTTCCTCCGAAAGCTACATACACTGCCGTCTTGAGTGAACTGGGGAGTTCAGGCCTGGGGCTGCTCTGATTTACCCTGGCCCTGGGCCCAATCCTGCCCACACATCTCCTTGGAGCATCTCTATCACAATTAAGGCAGATAAACAGCCCATGAAGACAAATTCCCCACATCCCAAAACCATAAGCCAAATTCTGAAGCTCTGAATTCCTGAAGCAGCCAAAGCTCCCCTGTAATCAATCCCAATGAGACAGCAGGCAGCTTTTAAAACAATAACCCTCAAACATATGGATCCTTTCAGGGTTGGAATATCATTGCAGATATCTCATTTTGAACAGGGGGAGGGAAAGTACATATTCTTTAAACCATCAAATGTACCAACACCTCTTTAAAATAACGATCTCATATTATGAGCACTAGTTTGGAAGCAGAGATACGAAACCAGGTGGCCTCCATGGTGCTGCAGATAGGAAAGATCCTGGGGTGAGGTGAGGGTGCAGAACACACAGCGCTGGCCATGGAAAGGTCTGCAGGGCTCTTTCCTCACTAGGGCTGCTTGGCACATACTAAAACCAATGGAATGGGCTTATTTGGAATGGGGGTCTTCGAGGAGGAGAGACCCTCAGATGGGCAGATGTGCCAGCAAGCAGTATGTGCCCTCCTCTGTGGGGCAGGGAGGCTGCTAGTTCTACATTGGATGTTTCATTAATGGCTATATAAACAAATTCTGAACTTGTTTTAATTTGCTCAGTGGGGAAGAAAAAAGTGCCACTCTCTTGTAATTCCCAACTAGGTGCTTTTTTTCAATGATCAGATGTTATTTCAATGTTCAGCAAACATATTTGATTTCCTTCCCTTAACATTTGTTTGACTTGTTCTCCAATGGGGACTGGGTGCTTTAGAGAAGCTCTGAGAGGTCAGGCTTTACTGCGGCTTCCTTCAGCACCTCCCTGGGCTTCTGGCCCACTACTTGGGATCTTCTTTCAGCAGCACTTGCTGCAGCCGTGGCACACATGAACTATTTTCTCTCCAGGTCCCTGTGAGTCTTGGGGGTGTAAATCAATGCAAGCTGGAGATAGGACAGACCTAATAGATTATTTAGTTCTCCTACAGGCTGAAAAACAGGGAGCCTGAAGCAATGTGAAAAATACTCCAGGGAGATGATCCTCTAAGAAAGAATGACTCACCTCTGACCACAGTCTTCCATTTGTCTCTTTTGGGAAGCTCTAACTGTACCTGACAGGTGGGAACACTCACAGAAATGAGCTGTTTGTGGCCCATTCTCTTCTAAAGACAATAGTCTCTATAATGGCAACCCTTCAGGTACTTCCAAAAAGTGAAAAATGGAGGTAACAGACAGAGATATGCTCTTTTCAATACTGTACTGACATTATGGCCAGGCTAAGGAAAGGTACTCGGGGGAACTGTTGCTTACTCAGATATATACACAAGGCTCAAAGACAGCTCACACCCATCAACTTAAAGAACAGGGTACACAACAGGCCTAAAAAAATTATGGTTTTCTAAAAGCTCAACTTTGGCAAACTGGTCCTAGTTACACTGTAAAGCTTTAGTGTCAGACCTAGCACAAAAGTTGATCCAGTGCAGCTCTGGCAAGGTTTGACCTTGTGCACACCAAAACCAGGCCTGGCTCACTGTGAATTCCAGCACCAGCAACACACCAGCAGCCGTGCAAGCTGACTACTAGACTGGATCCACACTGCACTCTGGATACAGGCCACCATCCAGATAAGAGAAAGAAAGACTTTAATTCCTAATCTTCCCAGTCATCACTAGGTCAGACTTAGGCTCAACGATCTGAGTCACACAAGAGGTCAAGGAATGAAAATCTAAGGTGCTAGTTCCCACTGAAAGCTGAAATACTTTCAATAAGTATATTTATTGGAAGTGGATGCACTGCAGGTATGTACTTTGTTTTATGGTTCCTCTGTTAGGGATGCCCCCTTTTTTATCAGCCTCAGCTATGTAAGTAAGAACCGAGTTTCTCTCTGTCCAAGATGAACTCAAAGGGTGAGCCTTTCCTAGAACCCATCCATGGCAAGATGAGATAGGAGGTTCCATGTGCCATAAAGAAAAACCCTTCTGCAGAGACCCTCCTGGATTCCCAACAGACTGAGGCACATTTTCATATTTAAGATTCTGGAATGTAAATCTAGGGAGGTAAGCAGTTAATTTCTTATCAGAAGGATCATAAGCACAAGCCTGTGAGAAGCATGTCCAAGACTTGTTTTGCATTTTTATTTTTAATTATTTATTTTTTTGAGACAGGGTCTCACTTTGTTGCCCAGGCTGGAGTGCAGTGGCACGATCCTAGACTCAAGTGATTCTCCCACCTCACTCAGCCTCCTGAGTAGCTGGGACTACAGGTGAGCGCCACCACACTTGGTTAATTTTTTTTTTTTTAATTTAATTTTTAGTAGAGATGAGGTCTCACTATGTTGTTCAGGCTGGTCTTGAACTCCTGGCCTCAAGCCATTCTCTCACCTCAGGTTCCCAAAGTGTAGGAATTACAGGAATGGGTCACTGTGCTCAGTCATCTGCTAGTTTTTAAAGGAGGTTATGAAGTCTAATTCTAGGATATGTCATTTCTATTTTTCAATTGTTGTAGTGAGAAGAGAAAAAGTGGGATCATTTATTTAGAATTGCAGATTCTAGGCCGGGTGCAGTGGCTCACACCTGTAGGCCCAGCACTTTGGGAGGCCGAGGCGGGCAGATCATCTGAGGTCAGGAGTTTGAGACCAGCCTGGCCAACATGGTGAAAACCCCATCTCTAGTAAAAATACAAAAAAATCAGCTGGGCATGGTGGCAGGTTCCTGTAATCCCAGCTACTCGGGAGGCTGGGGCAGGAGAATCACTTGAACCCAGGAGGCAGAGGTTGCAGTGAGCCAAGACTGTGCCACTGCATTCCAGCCTGGACAACAGAGTGAGACTCCATCTCAAAAAAAAAAAAAAAAAAAAAAGAATTGCAGATTCTATAATCTCTTACTCTCCTTGAATACACATATAGATAGCCATAAGTTTTACTAATTCTGTTTAAAATATAAACGTTATACAGCATCTCAGCTCTGGAATTCTCCAATTAGTGAGGCCCCCTCATCACTAATTAAATCTGAGCTATGGAGTAAGCTGGTCTTTTCCTTCTCCTTGGTTCTTCAATCCATTCAAACACTAAGTCTATAGATTTTCCACTAGCACAATCTCCAGTCTCTGCAACCTCTAAGTCATCTTGTGATCTGATGGCTTTTACCATATACTTCTCTAAAAACCTACAACACCTCTTTTCTGCCTGTCACATTAAACTTTTCAGTTGACCTCTCAGCCTGCACCTCCGCTGGCCCTCTATTACCCTAAGCAGCCTAGCTTCCACTGCTCACCAAAACAAAATTCCTACTCTGCCACACCGCTATGATGATGGGTCCCCTGTACTACCACACACACCAAGCTCATTCTCCTTTGGTGTCTTTCTTCTTGGTGCTTCCTGCATCAGGAAACCCCACTCAAAGATGGTTTTATGTTCTCATGAAAAAACTGGGGCATTCCATGCTATTTTGCGGTCTTCCATGGTTCTTTGAGAGTATGTACTTGTTATTACCTTAGGAAGTTGTGAACAAAGTAATACAAATAAATTCTCACAATGTATTAGCACTCAGGAGGTTTTACCAGTGCTACCACCTACAAGATGCCCAGGTTGTAAAAGGGAGAGCATCAATATTTTGTGTGCCTAACAACACACAGTTGCTCTGGTGAACTCGTATTCTCACATGAATAGGAATTCATTCACTGACTTTATAATGAATATTCTTAGCCAAGAGCATTTCACATCTCTCAGGTGAAAATGTTCAACACTTAAGTGCTACTAGTAATTTTTATGGTTGGAAATGAGGATCAAAGAATGAAAGAAAAAATAAATTCACAGATTCATACATTCAGCCAAGTCTCCATGGCTCATTTTCTGCCACATGTTTTAAACTGTCTCTCTCAAAGATGGAGGAGGGGAGGAGGAATAAGTTGCTTTTTATTTCCCAGCTCTCAGATCTGAAATAAAAGCAGACAGACTTGGAAAAAAAAAATCAAACATTCAAGTAACACTATACACTGCTACTGTTCCCCTAGGAGTCCCTCGCAAATGAGTATCAAGAACTCAATAGATACTTTCCTAGTAAAATACATAAACAGATAAATAAATTATCCCAGGCTGAAAAGAATTTCCACATCTGGTAGCTCACTAGAGCTTGTCAAACAAGTCAGAAACACACAGGGCCAGAGAAGATCATTCCTAGCTCCTGATTTCAGGGCTGGAGAGAGAATGGAACATTTCCCAAAGCGCTTTGCCTTCCAATAGGAAATACGACCCATATAAACACACAAATAACCCCTCTGTTTTCTTCCAATTAAATAAATAATGATACCCGGTATTCGGTCCAAATGTCTGTGTGCTCAAGTCACAGACACTGGAAGAAAACAGGCTTTCCTACATGGTCTAGCCTTTCATTCCCAAGAACTTGCTATGGTGTGCCTTTAAGGATTATATTCAATGTACATTTAACACCCCAAAGAAGTAACTTAACCTCTGTGCACTTCAGTTTTCTCAGCAATAAAGCCTGAAGTGACAGGATGATCCTAAGATCTTCACATTCTGACACTGTGTTTCTTTTAAACAGAGCTTTCTGACTGGGGTGCTATGAATGGGTAATGCTCATGTAAAGAGCTAATCCTCACCCATCAGCAGTGAGGCCTCGGGTGGGTCACATCTAGTGTGCCGCAGCCTTGTTTGTGTATCCCAGTATAGTGTATTGGCATCATCTATTTGTGCAATGATTTGACAAAGGATGGAGAAAGGACTGTTGTGGCTCTAATAACTTTCTCCTGGAGAGTGATTCTAGAGTGCACTATCAATTTTCAAGCTAATATCCAGGTAGATCTCCCTCATCATTTATCTTACATCTCTTCCCTCTTACACTAGGCCCAAGTTTCTCTCATAGCTCTCGGAAGTGCAATCTGTGAACTGGCCTTTAATCACTGCTTTATGTTCCTTTAGCAAGACCTGGAGCCAGTTGCTTTAAAATGGTCTCTGTAAATCAATTCTTCCAACCCTTTAACATAAGCACTGCCTTCGGATGCCTTTGCATTTGTGAAAAACATGCTGGAAGTCTAGGGCTTGAATCTGCACGTTATTCCTCAGTACAGGCATCATTAGAATCCTGAACGAAATAAGATCTGGTTCACCATATTCGGCTCTCTCTCCTCCATTAAAATAACTTCTTGTTTTCTTTCTTCAATTTCAACATGCTGTTGGCTATCACCTGCAAATATACCCTTATCTTAACACATGCAATCTCTCTGTGTTCCGCAAGAAAGTGAAGGAATCTGACATTTTTTATGCATTGAAGTTTGGTACTTTTCCATACGGAATCACACCTTACAGATCTGCCTGTACTTCTGATGGCTTAGAATCATTACAACCAAAGGGATCTCAGGAAGTCACTTGGTCTATTCTTCTGCATCCAAGCAGACCTAGTAAAACCACTCTAAATGCTGGGGGATTGCTGGCTTCCTTCTCTTAAAAATTCCCAAATGGGGCCGGGCGCGGTGGCTCACGCCTGTAATCCCAGCACTTTGGGAGACCGAGGCGGGTGGATCATGAGGTCAGGAGATCGAGACCATCCTGGCTAACAAGGTGAAACCCCGTCTCTACTAAAAATACAAAAAATTAGCCGGGCGCGGTGGCGGGCGCCTGTAGTCCCAGCTACTCGGGAGGTTGAGGCAGGAGAATGGCGTGAACCCGGGAAGCGGAGCTTGCAGTGAGCCGAGATTGCGCCACTGCAGTCCGCAGTCCGACCTGGGCGACAGAGCGAGACTCCGTCTCAAAAAAAAAAAAAAAAAAAAAATTCCCAAATGGAAGACTCCTCTCTCTCCAGGCCTCTTAAAAATTCTTTGGGGCAACAGCTAAAAAGGTCTGCTGCATGATTTCTCTTTGATTCTCATATAGTAAATACTGTATTTAAACCATTTTTAATTTTAAGTAGGATAATGAATTTAACTATTACAGAAATGACAAAGGCTACAGAAAAAAGAAGAAATAGAGATGCTTATTTCAGAGAACAAGCAAGGGGATATTTTGATTATGCTAAAGGTGCTGAGGTAGCTAGACTTACCTAACTGGCCTAGTAAGAACATTAAATCCACAGGTGCATATGCGCCCTCTTTTTAATCACACACAGAACATTTACCAAAATAGACCTTTTATGGGGCCATATAGTTTCAATAAATTCTAAAATAATAAAATCGTAGAGTATATTTTCTGACCACAGTAGAATCAAACCAGAAATCCATAAAAAAACTATTAACTTAAAAATCTGACAAAAGTAAGCAATGTACTTTTATATAAATATGTGTCAAAGAAGATAATACAATGGAAATCAGAAAATATTTTGAGCTTAAAGACAATAGAAATATGACACATCAAAATCTGGAAATGCACCTAAGGCAGCAATTGAAGAGTAATTTATAGCTTTATATGCATATATTAGAAAAACAAATATTGAAATCAATGACCTGATCTATCAAGTCAAAAGGCTAGAAAACAACAGCAACTTAAATTCATCAAAGGAGAGAAAGAAATTAATCAAGAAAGGAGTAGTAATTAAATACAAAAAAAGCACAACAGAAAAATCAACAAAACTCAAAAGTTGAGGCCAGGTGCAGTGGCTCATGCCTGTAACCCCAGTGCTTTGGGAGGCCGAGGCAGGAGGATTGCTTGAAACCAGGAGTTCAAGATCAGCCCACAACAACATAGCAGGAGCTTGTCTACCGCCCCCACCCCCCGCCAAAAAATAAAATTAGCCATAGTGGGACAATTCTGTAGTCCTAGCAACTGGGGAGACTGAGGTGGGAGAATCACTTGAGCCCAGGAATTTGAAGTTACAGTTAGCTACAATTGCACCTCTGCACACCAGCCTGGGTGACAGAGTGAGACCCTCTGTCTTTAAAAAAAAAAAAAAAGTCAATTCTTTGAAAAGATTATGGATAAACCTCCAACAAGATTCATCATGAAAGACATAAAACAAAAATTGCCAGTATCAGGAATGAAAAAGAGTACATCATTCCAAATCTTACAGGCTTTAAACAACAAGAGAATATTACGAATGACTTTATACCAATACATTTTGTAATTTAGATAAAATGAACAAATTCCCTGGAAAATACAATTTATCAAAACCAACACAAGAAGGAAATCTGAATTGTATTAGAGACATTAAAGAAATTGGGTCTGTAGTAAATATGCAAGACTGCTGGTTGGGAACGAAGGGAACATGGAATGGATAGAAGAAAAAAGTTACGGCCGGGCATGGTGGCTCACGCTTGTAGTCCCAGCACTTTGGGAGGCTGAGGCGGGCGGATCACGAGGTCAGGAGATCGAGACCATGCTGGCTATCACGGTTAAACCCCGTCTCTACTAAAAATACAAAAAATTAGCCGGGCGTGGTGGTGGGCGCCTGTAGTCCCAGCTACTCGGAGAGGCTGAGGCAGAAGAATGGCGTGAACCCGGGAGGCGGAGCTTGCAGTGAGCCGAGATTGCGCCACTGCACTACAGCCTGGGCGACAGAGAGACTCCGTCTCAAAAAAAAAGAAGAAGAAGAAGAAGAAAGTTACAAATATCACCTATGGTCTGGAGATCAAGCAACAGAAGCAAAGAATGTGGCACCTATGCATATTTTCTCCTTTCCTTATGTATATATATTTGGATATATAAACCAGTTTATTTTTCCTCTTTTCTAATTACTATTTGAAATAAGAAGTATTGCTACAATTTATTCAGGTTACACAATTTATGTAAATTTATACTATTTATTCTTTGGATGTTGGTGGTTGGTTCAGCTTCTTGAGTCTGTACATTTATGTCTCTTGCTAATTTGGGACGTTTTTAGCCATTATTTCTTCAAATATTTCTTCAGTCCCACATTCTTTCTCTTCTTCTAAAATTCTAATGACACAAATATTATATCTTTTGTGATTGTCCCACAAGTCTCTGAAGCTCTGTTCATTTTTCGCCAATCTATTTCTTCTCTGTTGTTCACACTGGAGAATTCCTATTGATTTATCTTCAAGTTCTCCAGTTTTTTCTTGTTATCTCCATTCTCCTATTGAGCCCATCCAGTGAGTTTTCAATTTTAGGTATTGTAATCAGTTTTGAAATTTCCATTTAGCTCTTCTTTATATCTTCTGTCTTTTTACTGAAACTTTCTGTTTTCCATTTGTTTTGACAGTAGTCATAATTGCTTATTAGAGGCTTTTTTTGTGATAACCTTTTAAAAATCTTTACCAGATAATTCTAACATCTGTGTCACCTTGTTGGCGTCTGTTAATTATCTTTTCTCATTGAAGTTGCAATTTGCCTGGTTTCTGGTATGATGAGTAATTTTGGAACATTCTGAGTATTGCTATGAGATGCTGGATCTGTACACTTTCTCTGTTGGTCTGTTTTCTACTTCACTAATTTAGCATTTAACTAATTTAGCTTTCTTCCTTCTACTTGCTTTGAGTTTAATTTACTCTTCTTTTTCTAGGTTCTTAAGATGGAATGAACTTTTGGTCACTGCTTTTAGACTTTTCTTCTTTTTATAATATAAGCATTTAATGCTATAACTTTCCCATAAGCACTGCTTTAGCTGCATCCCACAATTTTTTTTTCAAGTTTTGAAATAGAGTTTACTTACAATAAAAACTATCAATTTTAAAGGTATAATTCATTGAGTGTTGACAAGTGTATATAATGATATAACCACCACCATATCATAATATAAAACATTTCCATCACCTGAAAAGCTCCTTCTTGCTTTTTTGTGGTCAATCCCATCCCCCAGGCCTGGCAATGTAGTTTTTTCTACTCTAGAATTTCATATACACGGAGTCATACAGTCAGTAGCCTCCTACATCTGACTTTGTTCACTTAGCATAACACTTCTGAGATTTATTCATGTTGCTGCATGTATCCATTTCTTTCTTTCTATTGCTGTGTAGTACTCCCCTGTATAGATACTCCACATTCTGTTTATCCATTACCAGCTGATGTTTCTAGTTTAGGGATCTTATAAGTCTTTATGCAGACATATGTCTGCACATATATATTTCTTTTGGAAGCTGGGTCATATAAAAAATGTTCTATATGCCGAACTGTTTTCTAAATTGGTTGTACCAGTTCACATTTTCACCAGTAATGTATGAGTTCAAGTTGCTCCACAGCCTCACCAACACTCAGTATTGTCATTCTTTTTAATTTTACTTATAGCCATTCTAGTGGAGATATAGTGGTAACTCAATGTGCTTTTATTTTAAAACTGTTGTAGTGACTATGATGTTGAGGACTTTTTTTGTGTGTCATCTTGTACCTCTATATCATCCTGTATTTATTTATTTATTTATTTATTTATTTATTTATTTATTTATTTATTTATATTTTTATTTTTTTAAGACGGAGTCTCTCACTGTCGCCCGGGCTGTAGTGCAATGGTGCGATCTTGGCTCACGGCAACCTCTGCCTCCCAGATTCATGTGATTCTCCTGCCTCAGCCTCCTGAGTAGCTGGGATTACAGGCTCATATCACCATACCCGGCTAATTTTTTGTATTTTTAGTGGAGATGGGGTTTCATCACGTTGGCCAGACTGGTCTCAAATTCCTGACCTCGTGATCCGCTTGACTCAGCCTCCCAAAGTGCTGGGATTACAGGTGTGAGCCACTGCGCCCAGCCTATACCATCTTTTAAAAAATGTTTCAAGCAGTAATTTTTGCTCAGTCTACCTTTCCCCCTCTGTTTAATCCTATTCTCTTTCAGCTTTTAAAAAATGTTATTCTTATTGACAAGTAATAATTGTATACATTTGTGGGGTACAATGTGATAGCTCCATAAACATTTACATTGTAGAAGAGCAAATCAGACTAATCCATCACCTTGCATACTTATTTCTTTGTGGTGGAAACATTTAAAATCCACTCTTCTAGCAATATTGAAATATAACATATGTTATTATTAACTATAGCCACCTTACTGTGAATAGATCACCAGAACTATTCCTCCTGTCTAACTGAAACTTTATACCTTTTGACCAATATTTCCCCTTTACCTGCCTTTCTCTCCAACCTCTGGTAACCACCATTCTACTCTCTACTTCTATGAGATCAGACTTTTAGATTCTACATTTAGTGAGATAATACAATGTTTGTCTTTTTGTGCCTGCCCTCTAGATAGCATAATGTCCTCTAGATTCATCCACGTTGTCACAAATGACAAAATTTCATTCTTTTTTCAAGCTGAATAGTATTCCATTGTGCATATGCATCACATTTTCTTTATCCACTCATCTGTTTATGGATACTTAGGTTGATTCCATATCTTGGCTATTATGAACAATGCTGTAATGAATATGAGAGTGCAGCTATCTCTTCAATATACTGATTTCAATTCCTTTGGACATATACCCACAAGTGGGGTTGCTGGATCATATGGCAGTTCTACTTTTAGTTTTTTGAGGAACCTCCATGCTCTTTTCCAAAATGGCTGTATCAATTTACATTCCCACTGACAGTGTACAAGGCCATACATGTGTGGTCCATTTCTAAACTCTTTATTCTGTTTCATTGTCCTATATATCTAAATTTATACCAATACCACCACGTCTTGATTACCGTAGCTTTATAGCAAGTTTGAAAATAAGGAGTGTAAGTCCTGCAACTTTGTTCTTCTTTTAAAAAATTGCTTTGACTTTTTCAGGTCTGATGTGTTTCCATTTCAGTTTTAGCTTGTCAATTTCAATAACAAAAAGACTTCTGGGATTTTGACTGTATTGTTTTGAATCTATACAATTTGGGAAGAATTTACATGGTAACAATACTGAGTCTTTGGATCCACAAGCATGGTATATCTTTCCAATTATGAAGTTGTTCTTCAATTTCTCTCGGCAACATTTTTTAGGTTTCACTAAACATATCTGGCACACATTTTGTTGTATTTTTCAAGTATTTCAGTTTTTATGCTACTGCTAGAGTATAAGTAACATTCCTTGTCCTTGTGGCTTTTTGGAAATATAGTTGATATACAATAAATAATTTATTTAAAGTGTATAATTTGACATGTTTTGGCATCTGTATACACCAGTAAAACCATTACCCCAATTAAAATAATGAACATATCCATTTCCCCTAAAAGTTTTTTGTACCCCTCTGTTATTCGTCCCTCCTGCCCTTTACAGCCTGACCCTCCCCACTTACCTTCCAGGCAACCACTGATCTTTCTATCTCTAGGGTTAGTTTGTACTTTCCAGAATTTTATATATATGGAATCATAAAGTATGTTCTCTTTTTCATCCTGCTTCATTAACTTAGCATAATTACTTTGAAAACTGTCCATGTTGTTGCATGTATCAATAGTTACTTCTTACTTATTACTGAGCCATATTCTACTCTATGGATGTATCACAATGTTTATCCAGTTAACTGTTGATAGACATTGTTTTATTTTCTCCAATTTTTGCCTATTACAAATAAAAGCTGCTTTGAATGTTAGCGTACAAATATTTGTGCAGACTTTTGTTGTCATTTCTCTAGGGTAAATCCCCATGGGAAGAATGGCTGGTCATATGGTAGATGTATGTTTAACATTTTAAACTCCAAACTGCTTTCCAAAATGGATGTAACCAGATTATGGATCACAGTAAAGTGGAAGGGCATACAGGCCAGAATAATCTTTTCTATATCTTTCATACGTGTGTTGGTAAGGGAGATTTATTCATTCATCAAATGTTACTGAATTAACTACTGAATGCAATGAACTGGGTTAGGCACAGAGGGCATAGCAATGAATAAGACAGCCATGGTTCCTGCCCTTTGGTGCTTACATTCTAGAAGGAAAAAAAGACACTATAACAACACAGTTCACAATTATTTGCTCACAAAGAGGTACAGAGTACTCTGAACCCAACCTGACTGAGGATTCTCTGAAAGCTTCTTTGAGACAGCAACAGCCAAGCTGAGTGTTGAAGGATGAGTAGAGATTAACAAGACAGATATAATCCCAAGGGACTGTGATAACACCACAAAATAGTAGTTCTGGGATCCAATATAACTCCCCTAGGATGCAAATATTTACTTATTTATTCCCTTAATCAATCAAGCCTGCTCCCAATTTCTGCATGAAAATACTAGGCTTTGGGATAAAAAGCAGGATTTAGGAGCATCATGATCTTCTGTCTCTTGATTCAACACTAAACTGAGTCCCTTCTTCAAGATAGAAATGTTCCTTCTGAATAATGAAAACAACAATCTCGTTCATGAATCATAGTAGAATCATGAATGGAATAATGAAAATAGCAGTAGTCATAATGATAACAGCAGCAGCAGCTAACATGGCATCTGTAAAGTGTAAAATCTACTGTCTATCACACAGGAAGTGTACTTACTGCCTTTTGGTGCTTACATTCTAAAAGGAAAAAAAAGGCAACAAACAACACAGTTCACCATTATTTGCTCACAAAGAGGTACAGAGTGCTCTGAACCCAACCTAGACTGGGGAATCCCACTTTCCATGTGGGAGGCACTATGTAATTTCATCCAATGCAAATAATAACCTCATGAAGTAGATATTGTCATTACCATTTTATGTAAGAATGAACTATGATCCAGAGAGATTAAATAACCTGTCAATCATCATAAATTGGTCAGTGATAGAGCAGGAATTTGGGCACGGAGGCCCTAAAGCACCAATGGTAGGGGTACCTAAAAAATGTATTTGTTTGTCTTAGAGTCAAAATAATTTTGTGACAGGCAAAAGATATGCTGATGGCTGTAAGTACTACTTCTGAGGACCACTGATCTCTGGCAAATGTCACTCACAGTAAAATCCTCAGGGAAGGCAGCACAGTGTCAGAAAAATTCGGATTTAAATCCCAATTCTTCCACTTATTAGCTATGTGACTATAAGCAAGTTATCTAACCTTACTTAGTCTCAGCACAGAATAAGAAAAACATACCTGCTTTGCAGGCCTGGGCCAAGAGCATAAGTAATGTATGGAAACACTCGGGACGTTGACAGAAACATAGTAAGTTGTATATACAAGGTTGTTATCAAAGTTGTTCCTTCCATAGCATCTGGATATTCTGACTAACAGAGATAAGAAAGCTTCCTGATTTCACTCTTCTAATGATTACTTCTTTAGAGGTAATATGGAATCAAACACAAGTAATCAGAGGAAAGAGGTAAAGATTCGAGCTCAGTCCCTTTAAGTGCTGCAAAACTTCCTCGCATTAACATAGTCTTAGTTGCTTAAAACAAACTCAGGGTTGAAAGAAATCATAGAAATACATTTAGCCCACCCTTCTTTTAGTAGTCTTCCTTTAGACCAACTGAAAATACTTAAGAGACAGCCCTCTGTCCATCTTGGTCATGTCGTTTTGAACATTCCTTTTTTCCACCTCTCTTTTGCCACAAAAATAAACACATGGGTAGCATTTGAAGCCATTACATGCAATGAAGAGAGAAATCACTCGCAAAAAAAAAAAAATTAGTCTTTTTGCCATTACTTGGCTAGAAAAACAAGTAGGCAATTTGTTTTAAAAATAGGAATAATAGTATACTAAATATCATCCAACACCCTAGACACTGTGCTGTAAAAGTCATCTCCTATGAATAAAAATAAATCCAAAAAGATGAATGTATGTTTTATTAGCTACTCTCATGCCTTTCATTGGCCAATAACAACATCATCCAGGGCATCGCACATCAATCTATTAATCTATTTCATAACAATTTCTTTTACACTCAAATGAAGCTACATTTTTTTTAAAAACCTAGGAAAACTTGAGCTTTTAATTTTTAGTGGTGGCGATAGTGTCGGGGGGGAGGGGATTCCTTTTCCTTGTCCTTAAAATCCACCTTCAATTTAAGTGTTTAAAAATGTATTTCTATAATAAATACATGTACTAAATATAGCTTCATTTTTAAAAATTTATGATTTAAGAACCCCAAATTCAACAAATCCTAAGTTAGCTAAAGAAAATGGTTACCTTGCTCCCCTTTCCCCTGAGCCAGCTATAGCTAAATGACTTGAACACTCTGCATGCTTAAGTCTGATACCACTTTTACCCGCAGCCGCAGGCCTCCGCCTGTTGTCATCATGCATCTCACGTACACCCTGACAGGGCCCATCAATTCCTATTGCTTTTCACCAGGCCTGGACTCTGGCACTTTCCCCTGGGGAGACCTTTACTGGTCTCCATACTTAACCCTTGAACCCAGCCTAATCCATCAGCCTCATTGAATAAACGGTGATAGGGAATGTTTCTCCCTAAAGACAGGCAGCCAGCCTCTCCACTTAAAACTCAGAAAGAAAGCCATCAACAGGGTCTGCTTTGTTTGTCAGTGTCGCCAGCTTCTTCACTTATTGATGTTTTTATTGTTGCAGCGCCTAGCTGCTTGAGTCAAGGGAAGTGGTATTCAAGGAGACATCAATTAAGTGCTTGTTAAATGCTATAGATGCTCTTTTGAAATTGTCCCCTGGGACTCTCCTTGGGAGTTCCCAAAACCAGTGGAGGGCACAGTTGCCATTTTGGAATAGGGTTTCTCCAGTGCTTCAAAGAACAGCTTCATAACCCACACTCTTACGCACACCTTTTGGACTCTACTGGAAGATTTTAGAAACTCTGACTTTTAAGAAGGAAATATAATACTCTTTTTTAGAAAAGACAAGCAGTCATAGGAAGTAATATTAAACATATAAACACACTGTGTAAAACCTCCTTACCTCATAACCAAATTGCAGCTCGTCAGAGGTCAGCATAATGATATCATCATCAATGGCCAGAACAGCTTCTGTCTCGATTTCATCATAAGGGAAGAAACGGTTACTTAACTTGTTTTCAGCAGTCCTCACAACTTTTAATGGAACCCGGATTTTGGGCCAGAGAGAATCTGGAAAAAGAGAAAAGGTATTTACTATTCTCCTAACTTTTGTGAGGAGATAAAGTAGTAAAAGCATGACATCACAAATGAGATGGGAGAATCAGCTTGTATCCACGGCTCTCATCAAATCCAAAGGTAGAACTGTGTCAGGGGAGATTCTCACAGATGCATCTTTGTTATAATAAAAAATATATATACTGCACGTACACATATATACAACATATATACACACATACTATATACATACATATTTATCCTCTCTAAATCCTTGTAACACTACTAATTCTCAATACTGTCCTAACTAGAATGAACAAATTGGCTTCAATTCACAATTGAGAGGCAGAGAAGCAAAACGACTCGACCAAGGTCACAATGACAGGAAGAGAAATAAGGTCTGCATAACCTCATTCTCAGGATCAAGACTTTAATATCAGAACTCTACCCACCTCTGGTAAATACTCTGCAAAATACTTTCAGATAAGTATATCCTAGCTGAAAACTTGCCTGCAGCAGTGCTAGGAAATATAGTGCATGTGCCGAAGGTCCCCGACGTGCCCACCTCCATCATGCAGTCAAACAGCTTTTGGTGCCGCTAAAATCCACCACTCATCAAAGTATGTTTTATTGAATGAGTGTAGCTTCCTTAACTCAGCACTTTATCCCCTCCCCTCAACTCACTAGGTTTGGTTTCTCATCATGACCAATTTACAAAGTAAATATCAAATTTCTAGGTCCAATTATGTGGGATTTTCTAGTATACTGAAGAAACACCAACCCATGACGTGCCTTACATTTTTTTCCCATTCTACTTTATGAAATAACTGGGTAATTTAACCACAGGTTCTTTGTTTTAAAATGTTGCATTTAGCATAGCATGAAATTCATACTTCTTTGGTACAGTACCCATGTCCATAGATCTCAGAGGGCAGTTTGTTCTTTACACATTTGTCAAATGAGAATAGGAAAGCTAGGTATCATACTGCTTTCAAAAAGTCCATCATGTAATTGTAGAAAAATCTCATTTCTGTGGGTCTTGAAGTCCCAAAGCGCTCCTGGCCACTCCAAAGTCACCATACTGAAGAAGAAGTATGATAGAGGGAAAGTCAGTAGGAGAAAAGCTGCCTTAACTGACTGCAGATAAAATGTTTTACTTCTGCATAGTTGTAATATAACTGGTTGTAGAACACATTGTTGGGGGCACTCCCAGGGTCTTGGAAGAGGCCTGTGCAAGTGAGAGGCCCTGTATTCACGGTCTTAAAATAAACCTGTGGCACAGAGCCTAAAAGAGAATGGTCAGCTCCAAAAAGTGTGTTTGGGGAAGGGCTGAATCCGTGACCAAAGAAATAACCCTATAGGCCACTGCCTTTTCATCAATATCAACAGTTATAGTTTCATTCTTGGCACATAATCGAAAAATATCTTTGGAATAATGCATGAACACATGGCTGAAAGACTGGAGGCCTGGGTTCTGCATTATCTATGGGATCTTAAGCAAGTCCATTCTTCTCAGCATAAGAATAAGTAGAGGGAAGGGGAGAAAGGGAACTTTGTTAAGCAACTAATATATGCCAGATGCTTTACAGATGCACTGTAATTCATTCAATCCTCCTGACAACCTTATGAGGCAGGAATTATTTACAAACTAGTATTTTCATGGCTCAGAGAGGTTAATTAACTTGCCCAGTGATACACAGAAAATAAATGATAAGGCTAGTATTTGAACCTAAGTCTGTTTAGCATTAAAAGACCAAAAAGGACCTGCAGCTTCAGAATCCCATGTTTCTCTGGATCTGGAACAAAACTAGTAAGGTTCAATCACTTTCTCCAGCAATCATCCTTATTCTTGCTTGATCCCCACTCCCTATTTCAGATAAATAAAATCCCTGTCATACATCTACCATTCCCAAATCCTTATAAAATATGAATACATTATAACAGTCATCCTCAAACTTTTTGGCACCAGGGACCAGTTTTGTGGAAGAAAAATTTTCCATGACTGTAGGGGAAGGAGGGGCGGGGATGGTTTTAGGATGAAACTACTCCACCTCAGATCATCCGGCATTAGATTCTCGTAAGGGGCGTGCAACCTAGATCCCTTGCATGAGTAGTTCACAACAGGCTTCTCGCTTGAGTGAGAATCTAATGCTGCCACTGATCTGATAGGAGGCGGAACTCAGGTGGTACCCACCACTCACCTCCTGCTGTGCAGCTTGGTTCCTAACAGGCCACAGATGGCTACGGGTTCATGGCCCAGGGTTGGGGACCCCGCCCTGTAACATCTAAAATGAAGGAGGTTATAGCCCTACCTACCAGACCGGTGGTTTTCAAAATTTTTGGTCTCAGAATCCCTTCATGCTCTTAAAAATTACTGAAAATCCCAAAGAGATTTTGTTTATATAGGATACACACACACACACACAAACACATTGTCTATTTACTGTATTAAAAATTAAAACTGAGGAAATTTTAAAACATGAAAATATATGAGCACACATTCCATTAGCTGTGGGAAATGATGTCACTCATGACCTGTAGATTCTGGAGAACTCTACTGTACATTTGTGAGAGAATAAAAGAAGTGGGAAAGAGAAATAATGACTCAGAGTGATTATGAAAATAATTTCCATGTCCTGGATCTCCTGAAAGGATCTCAGGGATGCTCAGGGTACCCAGATTACACTCTGAAATCTGCTGAGTTAGACTCTGTTCAGATTTGGGTACCACAACATTAAAAGAAGTACCAACAAGCCCAGAAAATAGTTGAGAAGAAATAACAAGGACAGTGCAGGCATCTGTATCCAGGCTTTCTACAGAATGCTTAAAGAAACTAAGTGTGCCACTTATCACTTTATTGCCTCTCAGTTTCAACTGTAGTCATCATTGCCCTGTTAGTGATAGCTGAACTGGACCCTGTAAACATCTCTTCTTTGCCAACTGGCATGGCGTCACACTGTGTCAGTACAGGGCACTGAAGGGCCAGTGCAGCGCATGGGGGTGGCTTTCTTCCTGGTTCTGGTATGCCTTTTTTACTTCTTGCTCCAGTAGTGCCTGGCCAGCAGGCAGGCAGGCAGGCAGGCAGGGGCACTTGTCTCTAGCAAGTGTAAGTAGCACCTCTTCCCTGGGGCAGCTTCCCAGGAGGTTCTAGCACACCCCAACTGGCTTCCCAGTGAATTTAACAGCACCCCTCCAGGAAGCTTCCCAGCAAGTTATGTGGATGCCCCACCAGCAACTCAGCCACAATTCTCCCTGTGGGTAGTTCCAGGTGAGCTCCACTAAAGCCCTAGCCAGTTTCCCAGCAAGTTCAATAACACTCCTGGGGCAGATTTCTGTTGAATTCTGTGTGTATACGAGGGCATGACTGGGTTTCCTGCTTGTCAAGTTTGGCCTGTGGCACCTCAGTAAACTTTACTAATCCAGTGGATGTGATTAGTAAGGTGTGAATCTCAGATCTAGCTGGGGAAGGGGCTCTCCCAAGTTTATTTTCTGTAACCTTTAGAGTTCTCTTTACCCTGTAGTAGGCAAATCCTGTTACTAGTTAATAATTCTTTAGATTAAATTTTTCCTGTTCAAATTATCATGTGGTTTCTGTCTCCAGAATGAACCTTGACTAATATTCTTGGGATATCAGAAAGATTATCGAATGAAAAGGGAATTGTTCTCTATGGTCTCTAGAGTTAGAAGCATGACAAATGGAAGGGTAGAAGTTACAGGGAAACTGATTTAGACTTAAAATAGGTAAGAACTTCCTGATGGTATAAACTGTTCTAAGATGTGTTGCCTTCAGCAGCACAACATGCCCTTTTACTTCAAATGCACTAACTTAGGTCAGATTTCTACTTGACATCAGGTGGAAAACTAAACAAGATGCCTCTATGGCCTTAGGATTCCATGAGGCAGCAAAACATCACAGAAAGAACACAGTCTTTGGAAACAGCTTCAGATCCCAGGTCTACCACTTGCTTGTCATGTGACCTTGAACAAGTTAAACACTCTGAGCCTGCTTCTTCAACTATGAAGAAGGAATAACAATGACACCATCTTGACATGATTGACTGTGAGGGTGAATGGGAATGCATTTAGCAACACAGTGCCCAGCACACTGGAGGTAGTCACTAAAATGTCAGCCATGCTTTCCCTGGAAAGTCTGTGTCTACCTACAGAACCAGAGCATTTTTTGAACCCTAGGTAGCAGTGTCAAAGTGGTACAGTTGAGATCTGGTACATCACCCTGACAACCCAGTGGTATACCCCTGGCCCAGGCCTTCCATATCCACTTTGAGAGAAGCAAGATCCCTGCCATGAATCCTCTAAACTCTCACACACTAATAAAACAAAAGAACATGGAACTTTGGTCATGTTAATTCCACAAGGCAACAAGCAGCTCCTCTTTCCACTATGTAGAGAAACTAGGCTAGCTACTTTGATTAAGTATGAACGTACCTCTATACTGGATGGAATCTGGACTTACAATTGGCGAATGTGTATAGCATATTCAACCCATAGACAGCTTTCCGCACTGTTCATCTATATATGTCCAAAGAATTACTTGAGACCATGTCCACAAAGAACTAACTTGCCTCTGTAAAGTCTTTGAAGGGGAAGTTTTAGAGAACAATGAAGACCCAGGAGGATGATATGGGGTGCAGGTAGAAATATAGAATGAATCATGGCTTTTTAAGATACATGGTTACTTTTCCCTGTTGCAAGTTAGGTCTGAGTAGCCAAAAGTCGGCTTTGGCAAAAGGCATCTCCATTTCAGTGATCAGCTACCACCAGGCAGAACTCTAAATAGAATTCTCAGTTTCATGTTTTCCCTTTGTCAAATTAAATGGCCTCCATGAAAGAGAAGTACCATTCTCTCAGGCTTCTGACAGTATCCCTTTCGTGGAGGCCAGAAATGAGAGGGTAGCAATCAAAGAATAAGCATTAAAATTATATCCTGCCTTTAGATAATCCTGATATGGAATTTTGATTCTGGAAAGGTAACCTTTAAAAAAATTAGGACTGGAGCAGTAGAAGGAGAAGGGAGAATGAGGTAGGAAAGAAAAACATATGTGAAAAAGAAAAGAGGATTTTTCTTTCCCATTAGTTTTTTCAAAAAAATAGATTTACTTTTCTGTCTCTCTGAGTCCCTGACAAAGATCTAGTTCTTCTATATGATCCCAAATCAAAGAACTGACAACACATGATGATTTTCCTACAACTAAATGGTAATCTAAATAGACACAGAGGGGCTTAGTGCAAAGGGCATGAGCTTTGGATCTAGAAAGATCTGTGCTGATTTCTGACAAATTACTAATCTGAGTTTCATTTTTCTTATTTTTGTAAAATGGGAATAACAACAGTTTCCTTGCAGGTTTGTCCTAAGGTCTAGAGATAATAAGCATGTAGCACAGTTCCTGTTCCTAGGATTAAAAAAGTATACAATATGGTTATATCACTATCATCTTCACAAATGGATTCTTGTGAAGTCCTATGAACTTCACTTCTCTACTGATAACATGAAGAGGTCTAAACAGAAGAATATGGGGTGACCCCTAGAATGCAGACAGAAACTGTGTCATAGCTAGAAATCTTCAGGCCCAACTTCTATTGCTTAGCCTAAATGGGGTCTTTCTTCCTTACTCCTTTAAATTCTAAATGAAACAGCATGCCCTTGTATCTTATGTCTCATCCTGTGAACCTATAACAGACGAAATAGAAATGTCACCTTCCATTCATACAAAGTAGCCTGAAAAATACGATTTTTCAAATGCGTTGCAGAATTTATGAAAAACAAACAGCTGAGCCAGGTGACCTGATAACTTCACAGTATGAGCTTTAGTCCAGCTCAAAGGAGAAAAAGAACTCCTTGTGTTAAGGATTTCTTTTTTTAAGTATATTGATTAACGGTTTTCTCCATGTTGGATGCCAAGAGAAATGTGAGCAAAGACATTTTTCTCCAACTTGGCAAAGGTACTACAAAAATGGTCAGGTTGACTGAAGATGACCCCAAGTCCATCCTGCCAATCACTATCATAAATACAACCACAGATTCACAAAATAAATTATCAGATTATTTCCATACAAACCTTAAGCCCACTTCAGAATTGCCTGAGTTGCTGGTGTACAGCTGGTCTCATGACCCAACTCCCCGCAGTCCTAGAACTCGGCTCAAAAGGAAGGTGGCTGCTGGTTTTACTCCCCTGTTGACCATCCTGGGTTGCTGACATGCTCAGCCAACCCCACCCTGCCTGCTAAGGACTATGCAAACCACAGTCTGAAGCTGGGGGGCTCCTGATGTTAATTCAAATTTAAAACTAAAGTCAGTTAAAGGAAGAAAGGCAGTAGCCTGCCTTTTCTTCTGACAAAGCTCAAAATCAATGTGATGAAAGCTCACTGGAAATTTCAATTGCCTAGTCTAAGTATTTACTTAAACTTAAAACCCAGAAATTTGGACTTAAGTGTAACCAAAAGAAAAAAGTATTTGGTTGGGTTGGAGAATGAAAAAAAAAAAAAAGTGGGAAGGGGGGTAGATTTCTGCCTACACAAATCCTCCCAGCAGCAGACATGGTAACCACAATATTTATTTTAGTAAATGTAGAGAAAGCGAAAAACATCACTTTTGCCTCTAATATTTCAAAGACTTGGACTTGCTTTTTTTTTTTTTTATAATATATATGTTACTAATGCTGTACGTGAAAAATCAGATGCATTTGCTGGCATGCGGACCAGAGCTGACAGCCTCATTTACCAACTGAACAAACACCCCACAGAAGATTAAACATGGTTCATGTTCTCCCCAAACAACCACATCGCCAGAGCCAGAGCCCTGACCTAAAAACCACTGTTAGTAAAAAGCCAGTCCAGTCACTACACATGTCAAAATTAGGGCCTCATCAGTTAAGGGCTCTTTTTCCTCCCTAGAGTCAAAATCTTTTAAAAATAAACTAAAGTCTTGGTCATAAAATTAACCACTACATTTTAGCAGGGTCTTACCAAAAATTAAAACTGAACACCCAACTCCAAAATCTGGGCTCCTGCTACTGCCTTTAGTTGTGCCAGTGTAGAGGCTTAGATCAAGAAGGAAAAAAAAATGTATCCTTTCTCACAGTTTGCAATGATACCTTCCCCAAAGAAGTGACACAAATTCACAATAAATAACTCACCTTATGCCTAAAGTGGCTAACCAGGAGTAATAAGGAGAAGCCTCTTTTGCATTTAGCACTAGAATTTGCAACTCTGCCTTTCAGGCAGGATTGCAGGAGCAGGCTGAGAGTCTCTCTGAAAGCTGGTGGCCTTTCCATGCAGGAGCAAATACAGGCCTGTGACTACTGCAAGACACAACAGGCCACTCCAGACCCAATGAGAGGCCCAGCCTTCCTTCTGCAAACATAGCCCATCCTTTATAAACGAAGGGACTAATTAGCAATGCAATACCATCCAATTCACTTCACTCTGGAGAAAGGCAATTGGTATGAAGAAATCCAAGTCAACAATTTCCTTCTTTACATAGTTCCTTATAATTGTCTCTCTTTTCCTTCCTTTCTGTATTCTCATCCTCCCTTCTTAAATGATGCCCACATCTTCCTTTTTCTTTTACCCCTCCCTTTCCTTCTCCCTTATTAAGTATCAAACAAAACAAAAATCCAGAAAACTGGCCATGTTATAGTGTTGAGAAAGAGAAAACAAATCTTGGCATAGAAAGTTAATTTTTAAAAATCAGGGAATAATACAGGACCTTCATTTAAAATAGCTGTTTTATTTACTCAAACTGTGGCTCCCTAAATCTAAAAAGAAAGCATATGATTCTCTCAGAGAACAAACATCCCATGAAGTAAAGGAGAAACTAAAGAATTTTCTCAAGGCAAATTCTGATTTGCCTAACAGAGCCAGAAATATGGACTTCTTCCAGCCTAGACTATAGATCTACTACTGGCAATTTTCAAGGTTGACTTTCCCGACTTCAGTATATCCAATTAAAAGAGACTAGCCATAAAAAGTGCAGATACTACTGTCAGGCAATAAACTAGACCTTATCGGTGACAGTGGTGCACATTACTAACTTCAAACTCATTCATTCCTTGCTCTAATCCATCAGAAACTTCCTGGCTTTAATAGGCTATAAATGGCAGGAGCTTTGAAGTCCCTGGGATTAGGATCAGTAATACACAGACTGAATGAGAAACCAAATGCAGGTGGAACATACTCTGTGCGTCCCGAATTAAAAACAAATCCAATGAATCAAATAGTCCTCAACCCTAGCTGCCAGCCAGCAGATTACAGGGGTGGCCAAGGCAAGGAACAAAGTGATTAAGGAAGAACCAATGGGAACTTCTAGTGATTGCTCTCTTTAAGGACCTGACTTGAAGTCTGGACAGGGTATGCTTTGCTGCTGACTTTTCCAATCAGAAGTGAGGCCATCCCTTTTTTTTTTTTGAGAAAGTACAGCATCAGAGCAGAGATAAGAAAGGAGAAAACTAATGCCTTTTAAACTGAGTTTTCATGTAAACAAATCAGCTGAGATGGCTGAGGGAAGCTGAGATCTGTTTTCCTAAGGCTGATAGCCTTTGATCCTGTTGATTCCTAAGCCCTCAAACACTTGTGGCTACAGAGTATGCCAGGGCTTGGAGTTAAATGGGCCACCCTAGAACAAGAATGAGATGACTGAGAAAAATGGAGGCATGCTGTCTCAGAAATGGTATTGCTATTGACAAAGCAGGAAAATTTATTTAAAACAAAGGATGTGAATAATTTGGCCATCCAAAATTGATCCAGCTGAGAGAGGCACTAAGGCTTCTTACCTTCTGGAGGGTTTTTATTCTGATTATTCCAGACGACAAGTAGTTTGGATAGACTGGGCACCTTGGACACTTCAGTGATGACCCGGAAGAGGCTCTCTACTCGGTCGTAGGTGAGGACTATGGCGGTGAACCCTTGAGACTGTGGTGGGATCAGCGGGAGGAAGAGTGGATTGCTCACGCTGCCCCACTTCTACAAGAGGACAGATTAACACGGGTCAGAAAAGCAGCTGTAACAATATGGCTGACCCAATATCGTCAGCAAACCCAAACATGGCAGGCTTGGTGGCTTTTACCAGGACAGATCCCAGAGCTAAGCAACTGCTCAAAGTCTTCCCCTCCTCAAAATTTGCATGGACTAATTAAGTTTGGTTCTGATATCACTGGAAAAGGAGCTGAGAACTTTTGCAGCTGAGAAAAGAATTCTAGTTAAACATGACAGATTAAAGCATGCGTTTATCTCCATTCTCTCCCCAAACCCAATAAAAAGGCAGTTGATGAATATAAAAGAATATAAATCTACAAGGACAAAGAGATGGGAGAAGAGACAACAGCTGATGGGCCTATTACGATATTTTTGAAAGCTGGAAAGGGCTAGAGAAGGGGTAGCAGAGGAGGAGTGAGAGTGGAGACCTGGGCACCTACCAGGAGGGGAGGCAGCGATGGCAAGCAAGCCAACCTGGGAATTCACAGGGTTCAGGAATGAAACTCACAGATACCTTGTGAGGTAAGAGAAGCGGTAAGGTTGAAAACAGGAAGACTGTTAAAAATCTGTTTAAGGAGCAGTTAGAGGCCCAGATTCACAAACCCTCCCTTGATCCTACTCAGCCAGAAAAACGACTCTTCCCTCACCCCAGCTAGAGAAGGGAGGTTTCCTCTCCAAGGAAACTGAAGCTCTAGACAGGGAAATACAGGCACAGAGGAGAGGAAAATACAGGCTAAAAATCTACATTCTGAATGGTGGGCCCTACAGCCTTCTTTCCCCTTTAGTTCCCAAAGCATTGGTAGCCATGTGGTTAGCTCGGCACCCCAACATCTTACAGTGAAGTCCTCCAGGCAACAAGCTGGCCTTCACACAAAGAACTTCCGATCAGCTTTTCAGCGCTTCCCTCTCAATCATGAGCAGATTCTAGAATCACAGGCATTTCAAGAGCATCTTCAGCATGAATGTCAGAAACCAAATGAATAAAGAAAAAAAGGAACTTAGAAGTAACAGAAACAACAGAAGCAGCAGAAGGAAATTCAAACAGCATCAACAACAAATTGTAGCCACTGGCAGATAAGATTCTTCATCCATGAAACAAGAATAAATTGCTATTTTTATTTTAAAAGCTCTACCAAAGAACAGAAACAACTCTTCAACATTAAAAATATAATAGTTTAAATTATTTTTTGAGGGCAGGATTGCTACCTGGTTGGTCCTGTCAGTCGGGGGAAAAAAGGTCAGGATTGCAAGATAAAGATGACAAAATATTCCAGACTGGTGAACAAAAAGGCAGAGATGAAAAATAAGGACAGAGAAAATGAGAAAATCTAGAAGGTCCAACATCTATTTAATAGGAGATTCCAGAAAAGAAAACACAGACTATGGGAGAAGTAAATCTATCAAAGAAATTAAAGAAGTTCTCAGTACGTTAAGATATAAGAGGCATGAATTTTCAGATTGCAAAGGATTAACAGAAGCAGCACAGTGAATTTTTTAAAAAGACAAAAATAAAAAAACAAAAACCACTGCCATATCAAAGTGCATATTTCTGAACACAGAGAATAAAGAGAAAATGTTCACAATGTGTGAAAATAGGTGAGGAACATGTGAGTTCAATGTACAATTCTCAAAAGTTATCAGTTAAATGTGAAATGTTTTTAAAATAAAGTTTAAAAAGTGATGAAAGAAAGTCAATCTCTTTGCTACCATTAAAATATTAAGTACTTTTAATACAGCAATGTAAGCAAAAATATTTTTGCACTGATAATAATTAAGATTATTTAAATGTTCTTATATATTTTACCAGCTTTATTAGGATATGATTCATATACCATACAATCTACCCACTTAAAGCATATAATGGTTTTGGTATATTACATTGTTCACTTTTAAAAATTGTGGTAAAATATATATAATATTAAATTTGCCATTTTAACCATTGTTAAATGTGTAATTCGGTGGCATTAATTACATTCATATTCATATGTTATCATGCAAAAAGCCCAGGACTGAATTCCATCTTTGCCAGAAGGTGGCTGAGAATGAAATGTCCTATCTGCTATTATGGCTGCTGCATACTTCCCTAGTCTTTTATACTCTGGGATTGCCAAGGTTCCCTATCAATCTCATCCATATCACTGATGGACACCCATCACCAACTTTGTGACAACAGCTGTCTGCCAGATGTAACAGTGTGGGATGAGAAATGCACACAAACCCATGGAATACATATGGGATGGAAACTCAAAGAAGCTGAATGGGATTCCTAGGGTCCTAATGTAATCAGGATATTAAAGCCAAAATGTCCACAACATGCTATAATTAGATTTCACAACCAAGAGACACAATAGGAAACGCCATCTTTTCTTTTTCTTTTTTTTTTTGAGACAGAGTTTCACTCGTTGCCCAGGCTGGAGTGCAATGGTGCAATCTCGGCTCACCTCAACCTCCGTCTCCCGGGTTCAAAAGATTCTCCTGTCTCAGCCTCCCAAGTAGCTGGGATTACAGGCATGCACCACCACACTGGGCTAATTTTGTATTTTTAGTAGAGACCGGGTTTCTCCATGTTGGTAAGATTGGTCTCGAACTCCCGACCTCAGGTGATCCACCTGCCTCAACCTCCCAAAGTGCTGGGATTACAGGTGTGAGCCACCGCGCCCGGCCAGGAAAGGCCATCTTTTCAATGTTGATCTTCTGTTTCCATGACATCACACTTTGATATTAAGCTGTAGTCTTAGGAAGGTGCCTGGATTTTAGTATTTGTACCTTAGCAACTCATTGTACTTCTAGAAACCTTTTTGAGTTTTCTACCCCAAATTTTATTCTTCATCTCTTCCTGACCTTTATGGAAACTGAAGTCAGAAAGTAGCCCTATATTTAAGTCATAATTAATCCCCAGGGACCGTTCATGGTCTATGTGCCATCACTATCCCCAACCCACTCACCTAACCCTCTTGACACAATACTCACTAATGCCTGCTTGAAAAACACCATTTTAAGTGGAAAAGAAACAAAAAGATTCCTTTAAAAAAGTGTATAAAATGATTTAATGTGTGATATTGAAACAGTCAAGATTTACTGAGTACTTACTAAGTGCAAAATACTGTGCTTTACATGTATTACCTCATTAGATATTCACAACAACCCCCAAGATAGATACGGTTATTGTTCTCACTTTACAGATGAGGAAACTGTAGAACTAGAAATAGCAAATGATGTTCAAGGCTATATAACCTGTAAGTGATGGAACTGAGATACAACTCAAGCAATCTGATTTCAGAACACCAGACGGTAATGGTTCACAGCCCTTCCCTATGCCCTCCTACATACATACCCAAACTGGGTATGCATTACCATTTTATAGACTTTGGAAAATTCAAGTGTGGGGAACTCCAGAGTTTGCTACTTCTAGCTCTTTTCTAAGACAAAAATCCTAAAAGTTCTTGATCCTTGTTAATAAAATCTGGGCCAATAAGCAAGAACCCACCCCAAACACTATGATTTCAGAAAGTCTATGGAATAAAAACACACCGAATATATAACACTGACACAAAGTGTGCACATAAATTTAAAAAGGTAAATACACCACTAAAACAGAAGGAAAAACTATTAAAACTCCAACAGAATGAGGTCTGTTCTTTGGGAGAAGAGGGGAGAATGCCAACACACTTAAATGTCTTTATGACATTAAGAAGAGAGGAAAATTCCCTAAGAGATGCAAAGCTTAGGCTCACAAAACGAATGCCTTGGCATTTAAACTGAGGCAGCCCTGAAAGGCATCGCAGCTCTGATTTCAAGGAGCTGCCAGGGACATGGAACCAGAGTCGCTGGCAAGACAACAGATCGGGTCTCATCCCACATGCCAGCTCCACTTGGGAAGTGAATCGGTAGGGGAGGAGGAAGGACAGGAAGGAATGGTTGGCTGGGAAGTGGACAGTAACTTTTCTTAATGTTGTTTTTCCCCACTGCCCACTTGCATCCCAAATAGGGCTTGAGTACTGGAGAAGCAGGGAAGGCAGCATGGGGGGTATGGACAGCATGGAAAGGAGCATAAGGAGAACTGGATCTTGCCAATACCGTCCCTTAAAATCCAGAAGTGGAGATGAACACAGGAGGCAGTATGTAAGCTTCTAAGCATACATCTACTCAAACACAGGCTCAATTATTTACTGTAGAACACACCACCAGGGTTAATGCAAATGGCTTCAAAATTGAGTTAGCATGTTTGAAGTCAGTTTTGGAATCACAAGTTCTTAATCGGAATCCAGGTTCTTTCACTTGCCAGCTGCATAGCCTGGGCAAAGTACTTAATCTCTCTTGTACCTCAGTTTCTCTGTCTATAAAAATCATCATATAACTATTACCATCTTTCTAGGTAGTATTACTTAGCATAAATGAGGTAATATATGTAAGGTACTGTCATGTAGAAGCATTCAATAAATTGTAGCCAATGGTTGATCTTGTGTGAGTTATAATTTCTCCAGGCTTTACGTTCCATGTGTCTCAAAAGTGGATAGGAGGTAGCCTAAGCAGTCTTGAGATCTCTTGCAGCACAAGAATTCCAAATGAATTGCAGTACAAGAATCCCAAATGAAGTCCTTATTTCTCCCTCTCTTTACCTTATCATGTTTCAAGGTCCTGGTTTACCTGGATTCTCTACCTCTACTTCTTCCTGTCCAAATATACTGTTTTTATTTCCATGATTTTCTCTTTTCCTTTCTATTCATTATGTTTTGGCTATCCTGAAAGCTCCACGAAGGCAGGAGCCAGAACACCCACTATTTAGAACAATGCCTAGTTGTTCAATCAAAACTTGTTTTTTAAAGAAGTAAGTTAAAGCCAAATGACTCAGGCCTGTTTTATCAGTCCCCCTTATGTATAGATATGAATAGCTGATGTACATTTAAATGACTAAAATTATGAGTTTTGAAATGACTCCGAACCTAGTTAACTCATTTTATACATACTTACCAAGAATCTTACTGTGCTGTGTTCTGAAGAAGTGTAGGATTTTATAGAGATATTTAACAGAGGGCTTTAATCTGGGCCTTGCCATGTACTAGTCTTGTGACATGTACAGTTCTTTGAGTATCAGTTTCCTCATCTGTAAAACAGGGATCATGATAGTATCTACCTCCTAGGGCAATGATGATTAAACGAGATTATGTACATAAACATTTAGCAGAGGGCTCAACACAGGATCCTATGAATTAGAGTTTAAAGCAAACAAAATACTTCCACTCTTCTCGATTTGTATTCATCTTGCCTACTAAAACACTGGTATTGGTGATTCAGCAATCATTCCCACTAGCTTTATTTCTGGTACTCATTCATTCAGTCAACATTTCCTGAACATACACTATAAGCCTGGTATAGTGTTAAAGATGCAAAGATGAACACTTTCCTTCCTCTCAAAACACACATAACCTAGTGGGGAAGACAGCACAGTAAAAACACAAATTACAATGTAAACTAACAAGTAGTAAACAAAGAATGAAAGGTACTCCATAGGTGGAAACACCGAGATCTACACAATCACCTCTCCCTACCTGGAGATGAGGAGGTCTGAGCAGTGCCTTTAAGAAGAAGCAGGAGAGGGCTGGCCAAAGAAGCCTAGGGGCAAGCTGAGCGGCATGTGCAAAGATTTGCTGACAAGACAGTGAGCCATCCAACAGGGCACCTCACAGCTTGCTGGGAGGAGAAAGGTCAGACAGCAGAAATGAGAGGAACTCAGGTAATGGCAGGTTAGAGCTCTATTGTGAAAAGCCTTAAATAATATATATTTTTTAAGTTACACAGCTAGCTTTTTCGTTTCTTTTGAAATTTTCTTTTCCTGGTCATTGTTTTAGTGACAAATTGACATGGCTACCGTTATGCTCTATTTCAAAGAGTCATAAATAGGAAATGCTGATCTACAACTAAGCTTCTGTGTCAATTGCTTTTCCCTTCCTCAAGCATAATCCTATTTGCCTTTGGAGCTCAGTGACAGCGTGGAGAAAGGCAGCTTTAATTGGGGTGTTACCTTCACACAGACACTCCACCCCACTAGGGTAAGGTCAGCAAACTAACCTCCAGAGAAAAAAAGCTTCCTGGGGAGGAACATTTCAAAAACAGCATTTAGTCACCTCTGAAATACCTTTAAGAACTGACCCCCTGCTGGCTGACCAAGGAGAGTGTCTACAGTCTGGGACCTCTTGACCCCACTTTCTGCATGAAATCAAGCAAATTTAAACCTCCATAATTTACTCAAGACTGGCTTCTGCCAGGGAAAAGGCAAACAATGCTGGCAATTAACTCTGCTACCTGATTAAATCTCCATGATGGCAAGATAGGGCATAAAACCAGGCATCCAGCAACAGAGCTGGAGAAGAGGCAAAGCTCATCTATCGCAGCTATGCCTTCAAAACCTTGGCTGTCAATGCAATTTTCAAATACACTGGATGAACCTGTTCACTCAAAGGTAGGAGGAGATACCAAAAGAATAAGTGTGTATTATTCTGACAATGTGCTGGCCTTTGGCCAAAATGCCTTGCTCACCTCTTGCCCATTCTCCCACCGTTTACTTCTCACTCCTCCAAATTCAGTACAGAAGCGCCAATAAGAAATCTCACATTGTTAAATTGCAATTGCATAAAAGTAATCCCTAACAGCCACGAGAACTGTCAGGTCACAATGCCAGCTGCAGAAAAGTTCTTTTATTCTGCAAAGCCCTGGTGTAAGAACTAGTAGTGTGCAGACACTAGTGAGAGGGATGTGTGGGCTCAGGTTTCAGGATGCCTTGAAGGAAAGGCCTTGGGAGACTAAGCTTAAAGTCAGCTACCAGTTCAAAGGGGTTTCCCCTTCAGGAAAGAGATTCAAACTCAAGCAACTAGTTGTGCCTTTGGCATTCCCAAACACAGGAAGTTGCCTGAGCCCTTCCTGCAATCCTGATTTGCTTTCTTGTAGTTGAAAGGTCATGGTAGCTGTGTGAGCCTAACCAAAACCATTCTAGGGTTACCATACAGAAAGCAGAGAAAGGTGGTAAACGGGTGGCCTTTGCTAGCCATTCTGAAGCGTTCTTGCTGATGCTACTCGGATTGTGAAATCAAGAGCAAGGAAAACCACATTTCATTACCAACTAAAAGACTCTTTCAGCCTAAACCAAACCAAACTGTAGCACTGAAGAAATCAAGCTGCAATACAGGATGATCCAAATTTTAATTACTATTCCTCATCACATCAGAGATTTTTTGTCACTATGTATAACTTCATGTGAAAATAAGAGAATTCAGCAGATATTTGAGTCAACCTATATCTGATTTAAATGAACGTATTTTGCCTAAACAGAAAAATGAGAAGACAGAGAAGAAAGGAAGAGAAGAGGACAGGCCTGCTATACAGAAGCTTTTCAGCACCTAGTAATGAGAAGCCTTACCTATTCCTACCTTGATAGAAAGGGCAGTTTTCTTGGTTGTTTTGAAGTTATCAACCCTTACCTCAATGTGGTTTCAATTATGAATTACCAGACTAAAAGGGGAAAAAAAGCTTTGATTTATTCTTTTTTGCTCCAATTATGCATGATGTGTTTCCACTGAAGACTTTGAAAAGTATTTCATCATGCCTCTCATCCAGAAGTGGTCAAAGGGCAAAACCAAAAGGAGTTAACCCTTTCATTTCTCCTTTAGGTTCAAAGAGACTCCCTATCAATGGATATAGGACAAGGCCTTTGAAGCAGGGCAATGAAAGAGTTAAGCATTAGCATCATATTACTAACGTGCATAAGGGTGGTGTCCCTTGTCCAAAATGGTGAGATGATATTTATGTTAATGGTTACTGGGAGATTTGAAAGGGGCAATCAGTAATGTGGTCCATGTTGCCTTAACCATTAAACCTCTACAGCCCCAAATACCCACAGCACAGCACTCCACCAGCCAGGCACATGCTGACTTGCAAAACTAGAGAATTACTGAGACCTAACAATGTCTTCAAGTAGCATCTCTTAGCTCAAGAGAGAAAAGTTTTGGGGACAAGTCTGAAGTTTACCTGATGCACATGTCTATTTCATTTCACTCTCAAATAATAACTGATATGGTTTGGATTTGTGTTCCTGCTCAAATCTCACATTGAATTGTAATCCCCAATGTTGGAGGAGGGGCCTGGTGGGATATAAATGAATCATGGGGGTGGGTTTCCCCCTTGCTGTTCTCATGACAGTGAGTGAGTTCTCCCAAGATCTGGTTGTTTAGAAGTGTGTAGTACCTCCCCCTTCTCTCTTCCTCCTGCTCCAGCTATGTAAGACATGCCAGCTTCCCTTTTGCCTTCCGCCATGATTGTAAGTTTCCTGTGGCTTCCCCAGAAGCAGAAGCCTGTACAGCCTGCAGAAACAAGAGCCAATTAAACCTCTTTTCTTTCTAAATTATCCAGTCTCAGGTAATTCTCTACAGTGATGTGAGAACAGACTAATACAATAACTGACTGTTCTGAAAAACAAGAATAACACTGAAGGCCAAATCTCACTGACCAACCATTAAACAGACATGTGAAAAATGGAGAAAATCAAAGGCTAGAAATCCTCTTAAGGCTTCAACTAAGTAAGATAGTTAATTATCAACTTAAAGCTCCTGAAACCTATTTACAGCAATTTGCTCATAAGTGAGTTTTCTAAATGGTGGCATCACATTTGGGGGTACTGAACTAACAAGTACCATGACTGATATCTGAAGAAACTGAGCCAGAGACTAACTCAGGGTCACAAGAGCAGGCCAAATATGTCTACTGCTATTCTCTTTTTCCTACAGCTGCTTTTAAGATCTTTGCTTTTTCTTTGGTTTACTGCAGTCTCATTATGATTACCAGGCTGTAAATTTACTTTTACTTATCCTGCTTGTGGTCTGCTAGTCTTCCTGGATCTGCGGCCTGTGTCATTCAACAATTGTGGAAAATTCTCAGCTCTGATCCTTTCAATAGGGCTTCTTTCCATTCCCCACCTCTTCTTCTGGAACTCAGCTTAGACGTATGTTGGACCTTCTCTCTCTGTTCTCTATATTACTTCACTTCTTCATATTTTCCACCTCTTTGTCTCTTTGGGCTGCATTCTGAACAATTTCATTGACTCTAATAATCTAATCTAATAATTGCAAGCCCTTGCATGTCTGTTTCTGGTAGTTCTCGCTCACAATATTGCCTATAGCTTTATGGTTGTGAGCTGCTAATTGTCCTCAGACACTTAATTTATAAGAATTATTTGAGACCTGGACTGAAAATATGGTCCTTATGACAGGGTTTGTGTCTGCTTCTGCTGGTTCCTATCAATACAAAGCCACTTTCAACTAAATTCCCTTCATAAGGCTTATTTGGATGATAACTGTAGTATGAATCCATGTGGGGGTGGCTTGTGATTGCAGTTCTTAATCACAAGGGTCAATACAGACAGGTTTACTCCTTCTTTACTCTTTCACTGAAGACATAATCTTTTAGTTTCCTAGCTTCATCCAAGAAGTTCTTGTGAGAGTTGGATGGGCCACAGGATTTAAATCCTAATCCCTGTCCCTTACTTCACAGAGTTACCAGGTCAAAGCTCCAGATCATCAAGGTCTACAAAAGTCTCCATGGCAAAAGCTGATTTTGGCTCCCACTCACCTCCCAGGATACCAAGTTTCACTTTGATTTGGGGATTAGCAAATACCTTACTTTCCTGCCAGCTCAGCAATAGGTTAAAATTGCTTTATAATACTTCATTCAATATTTTAGTTGTTCACTTAAGGAGGTCACTTAGCATATCTAACCTATCAGAAAGCCAGGGACAGAAGTCTTTTTTATATTTACACTGCCACTGTACTTATGTGTCATTGTGTTCCCTGTTTAACTTGGGGGCCAAATTTGGGTACAAGATGAAAACAATTATATGAAAAGAAAGCAGTATAATAGATGGAATGATGGGCACAGAATCTCTGCATTAGATGAATCAACATACTTTTTTGGACCTCCATTTCCTCATTTAAAAAAAGAGGTGATCAGTGGATGGGCCTTGAATATAAATATGTCTCACTTCCTTCATCTGTAAGAATAGAGCTAACGGAATGCTACCTTTTGTTGTAAGGAATAAACAAGAGAAAATACATAATAAGACCTATCTGGGCACAAAAAATACCCTCCTGTATTTTTAATTTTCCTCTCCAGAGTCCCACCCAATTCTAAAATTTATGTTTCCATGTGATACAGCATTATACTATCAACCTTATAATTATCAACACTTCACTTCTCATAGCTCCACACCACTTACAAAATGCTTCCATGTATATCATTAATTTCTTAGAATAGTTCTCTGAAATAAGTATCCTCATTTTACAGATAAGAATAATGAAATTCAAAGAGATAAGAAACTTGCCAGGGTGGGAGGATTGCTCGAGGCCAGGAGTTCAAGAGCTGGAGGCCAGGAGTTCAACATCAGCCTGGGAAACATAGTAAGACCCTGTCACTACAAAAAAAAAAAATTAGCTGGATATAGTGGTGCAAGCCTATGGTCCTAGTTACTTAGGAGGCTGAAGCAGGAGGATTGGTGGAGCCCAGGAGTTTGAGGCTGCAGTGAGCTGTGATCATGCCATTGCACTCTACAAAAATAAGATTTTTTAAAAGTAGCACGGCATGTGGTGCACACCTATAATCCCAGCTACTCAGGAGGCTGAGGTGGGAGGATCACTTGAGCCCAGGAGGTCAAGGCTGTAGGGAGCTATGATTGTGCCGCTGCAGAAGGGAGGGAGGGAGGGACGGAGGGAGGGAGGAGGGAAGGAGGGAAGGAAGGAAGGAAGGAAGGAAGGAAGGAAGGAAGGAAGGAAGGAAGGAAGGAAGGAAGGAAATTTTGTACAAGGTCAAGCTAATAAATGGTTTTGAGCTCAGGTTTGATTCCAAATGTCCTTTGCAATGGCCTTAATTATAATCAGACATAATCAGATAATCATATGATCAGAAAATAATCAGTTGCTAATTGTTACACTATTCTTCTGAAGCTATCATTATCCCTAATTTCAGTCCTACAGATGGGCAAATTGTTGCAAAGAGAGATTTGGTAAGTAACCTCAAGTCACTCAGATCATCCTCAAGAAAAAAGGGATTGAAACGTGCAGTTTAGGAATTTCTGGGCTACAGTTAGTTTACTGGAAGGCTCACAGGTTAAACCCATTTGAATGCCTCTTGAAAATTCCTGTTATTATCTGAGTTTTAGCTACGTCAATTTTTTTCTTCATATAGCACTGAAATTCACATTTGGCTAAATGCCCACCCTTCTTCCATAAAGCCAAACTACTGTCAAGGAGAGCAAGAAAGGTTGCCACTGATTGCTTTTCAGGTAGTAGAGGAAAAAGTTGACATTTCATCCTCCTCTTGCTTGGAAAGAAAGCCAATCATTTATAAGAACCCTCATCTGGCTGCAGCTTCCATTAGTGGGATGGACAGAAACCATTTAAATGGTTCAACATAAGCCATATTAAAAGAATTTGGAATGAGGGAAGAGAGGGTTCCATATGCTGATACTTTTAATAATTCATGAGTTACAGCAGTCTGCAAGTAATAAATTTCACTAAATATATCTATAGTATGATTGCTTAAGATACTGGCAAAGATAACATACCATTGATTTTATTGGTTTATAATTTGATATGTTAAAAATAACAGTTCAGCTGTTTTACAGTACAAAAGATTTAGATTATTTAGAACAAGGTCTTCAATCATCATCCTTGGACCTGCTACTTCATAAATACACTGAAAATACTTAAATGCTTCAGTGAAAAAACTAGTGACTTATCTGATTCAAACAAAGAAAGCCAATCTATAAACCAAAGACAAAGTGTCCAACAATGTTCATGATGGCTTATACTACTACATCTTATGAGAGGTAAAACAAATTTACAGTTTCAACTGATTCTCCCATACTTGAAATGCTCTGACAGTTTGAAAGAGTAGCTCATTCTCTGATCTGGGCATAAAAATGATTGTTGGTAGCCCCTGACCATATTAGAGAGGTCATCTATGGTATAGGGGAAGACTTCATTGGCTTGGTAAATAAGAACTTTGGGGAGTGATTAAATTACAGCTTATGGCATCCAAGCTCAAAACACCAACACAGTTATAACCAAGAAAACCACAGTTTCTGTATAGTTTGAGCTGTTAGGAGCCTAACACCAAAATGAAAGTTGATACAGAGTGGAAAGAAGAGACTCCACAATAAAGTGATTTCTTAAATATTAATTTCTCTGGAATTCCAATAAAGCATATGTTTTGTCTGCTGTGCTCCATCTCTGCTTCTTCCTGAAAAAAAGGCATGAACCCACAAGGGCAAAAAAAAACCTTTTATTGGAAACAAGAATGGACCAGAGTTCAACAAATTTTTGGAAGGTAAAACAGATGAAGCCTTCCTTTTTCAAAATCCTCTTGCTATAAAACATAGAAATGTAGTATAAAATAGAACAAAAATTATTTTAAATATACAGCTGAGGTCACTGGAAAAGATAAGTCCCTAGGGACCAAAAATGAAGAAAAAACTGCAAATGAAAGCTGAACGCCCAGGAGCTAGTTGGCACTGTGGCACCGCAGAGGGCCAAGCTTGTTGCAGGGGTTGGCAATGTAGTTGGTTTTAACGCTCATGCTGGAACAGGAGACTTGGTTTTGGGCACAGGAAGTAAGGAAGTTAGAAGTGAGACTTGTACATTAAACCAGATCCCTTGAAGGCCTATACAATCAGTGAAAGAGTGGGCCAGAAAAAGTCTCTCACTAGTACACAGAAGCAACAAAAGTCACTTTTCTTTCTCAACCTGAGCTTGGTGATGTGGGTGAGGGGGAATCCTCCTGGGGAATTTTTTCTTTCAATTTATGTTTGCTTATTGTTTTGCAACATTTTGTTTTGAACATCAAGCACTGTACCAAAATATGAGCCATTCATCTTAAGACAACTGTATTTACCATAATGAAGAGTACTACACTAGTGTTTACAATTAATTGCTGACAACTTAAAAAACTGATCAGTGACATTGCTGTCTAATAATCAAATGCTTCATCACAGGCTGAATGTAATTATTATTATTATTATTATTTTGAGACGGAGTCTTGCTCTGTCGCCCAGGCTGGAGTGCAGTGGCACCATCTCGGCTCACTGCAAGCTCCACCTCCCGGGTTCATGCCATTCTCCTGCCTCAGCCTCCCGAGTAGCTAGGACCACAGGCGCCCGCCACCACGCCCAGCTAATTTCTTGTATTTTTAGTAGAGATGGGGTTTCACCTTGTTAGCCAGGATGGTCTCCATCTCCTGACCTCGTGATCCACCCCCCTCGGCCTCCCAAAGTGCTGGGATTATAGGCGTGAGCCACCGCGCCCGGCCCTCAATGTAATTATATAAAGAGAAAAGTTCCTCCTCCCTTTCTTACCTTCAAACCAAACAAAAAAAAGTAGTTCTCACGTGGAAAGAGCACTTACTTTAAGAAAAAATGTAATTTTTAGCTAGTTTTATTAAACCAAGAATGCTCTATAACATGGGAAAACAAGGCTTCCCAGCGTAAATATCATGATACATGAAAAAATAAAATTCCCTGGAACAGCATGTTTTCACCAACTTGCAGAAAGAGAAAGAGCTTACTGCTTCGTAACCAAGTCAGCTCTGTTTCCCTTGGGAGCTTTTAACAGAGGCTGGGGCTCATGCAGGTTTGGGGTTTCAATGAATTATCTGAGTGGTTCAGAAACCTCCAGTGAGACATTAATGTTGAAGAAGCAAAATAAACAAAAACAAATTCTCTGGAAAATACCTCCTTATCCCAGGATGGGAGAATTTCCACAGAAAACCTCACATGTGAGATGAACTCACATTCCAAAATTATAAAACATCTAAGGAAACAATGCAACAAGAGCAGTGGACAGTAGACAAATGACAAGATCAGACCTCACAGGAATTCAGAAAATTGGATGAAGAATATAAAGTAAGTGTCTCAAATGATTAAAGATATAAAAGAAGGAATTAAAAATGTGAGAAAAAAAGATGCTATGAAGAAGGCCAGGCAGACAGATTTGAAAAATAATCAAATAGAACTTCTACAAATAACCACTGAAATTTAAATCATGATGAATGGGTAAAAAACACATTAGTCAAAGATGAAGAAAATAGGAAAATAGATGTGAAAAAGTTATCTAGCATGCAGCACAGAGAGAGAAAAATGTGGAAAACCTGATGAACGAAACAAAACAAAGCTGAGAGACATAAGGTAAGGACAGAATAAAAGGCCTAACAAAGATTTAATAGAATTCTAGAAGGAAAGATTAGTGAGAATTGCAGATATGTAATATTCAAAGAGAGAATGAAAACTTTCCAAAAATGGATTAAAGAAGAACCTTTAAACTCAACAATCTTCAGGTTTAAAAAGACAAATCACCCTCAAAAAAATTAGTAACTTATTTGAGAAGATAGAGAATAAGAACTGGAAAATCACTATTTGGCAACCACTATAACAACTGATTCAGGCAAGAATCACCAATGGATGCTAAAATTCTAGTGGGTGAAACTTTGAGGAGTAACAGGATATTCACATAGTCTCAAAGTAGTACCCCACAAGACACATAATAAAAGGAAAAGTAGTAACTTGGCATGACATTGGAGAAACTCCCAGAAACCTGTGATCCAAGTTATCATCACCAGTAATAGGACAAATTGACATCATGTGTTCTCCAATATGATACATTGAGAACACATTACTTATATGACACTCCTGTCAAAATGCATAATTTGAATCTCATCATGCAAAAGCATCAGACAAACCCAAATCAAAGGATATCTTACAAAATAACTTACAAAATAATAAACCCAAATCAAAGGACGTCTTACAGAAATACATGTGCTCTTCAAAAATGTCAATTTCAGGTAAGAAAAAGAAAGACTGAGAAATTGTTCTAGACTTAAAAAGGAGGCTAAAGAGACATGAATGCAATGCATGGTCTTGGATTTTCTTTTGTTCTAATGGACATTATTAGGATAACTGATGAAATCGAAATAAGATCTACAGATTAAATAATAATATTGCACCAATGTTTATGTCTTGACGATTTCAATCACTTTATTGTGATTTTGTATAAGAAGTATTTAGAGATAAAGGTGCATTATATCTGCAACTTCCAAAAAATTCAGGGGAAAAAATACACATACACATGTACCCAGAGAAAAAGGAATAAAGCAACTGTGATAAAAGATAAACAGCTGAAGAATCTGGGTGAAGAGTACACAGAAACATTTAAGAAATCTGGGTAAAGAGTGTACTATTTTTAGAAATTTAATTCTGAAATATGTCAACGTAAAAAGTTAAAATTTAGAAAATATAGTTTTTAGATCAATTTAAATAAACAAAATATAGATAGGTGGACAATAACCTACATGGCAAAGCAAAAAAAAAGCTAAAGCTTCCAAGGATAATGATAATAAAACTCAGAAATTGGAGATACTTGGTATCCTGGAAGAAGGGGCTCTGGAAACAGAAATAAGGAACAGTTGGTCTCAAGATCCCTTAAACTTAGCACTCACAGGCCAACCATCTCCCTGTTACCCCACCCCTCAACCTTGACAGGAGAAGGGAGGTTTATATTCTAGAAAAAATGATTGAGGGAGATTCCGGACTCAGAGACCCCAGGCACAGAAAGCAGGGTGAGGCACCATACTAAATATAACAGATTAAATAATAATCTGTAGGATGAAGGATGAGAACCCGACTCCTTCCTCTATTCGGCTCCCAAAATACCTGCAGCCCAGAATTATTATCCATCCTTTCCCCAACCCCCAAAACAGAAAGATTATTCTCTGATCAATGAGCCAGTCCAAGAGAAATAACCCATGGATGCCAATACTTAGGCAATCAGGTCCCCATCCTCTTAACCTAAGTGGAGCCCATTGCTTGACAAGCCTTATTCATGTATACAGAGCTTCCAATCAGCTTTCAGTGCTTCACTCTCAAATAAGAGCAGACTGCCAATAATCATCAGGTATTTGAAGAAAGCTTCCAATAAGAAAAATAGCAAACAAAAACTGAAAAAGGAATTCAAAGAAACCAAACAATAAAAGGAGCTGAAGAAAACTAAAAACTAAAAACCACAAATAATATCTTCAGAGAGAAAATACTCCAACTTTAAAACAAAATTAGGAAGTTATAAGATTAACTAGAAGTCCAGGAAAAAAACTCTCAGATTTTAAAAGTAAACAAAATATTAAAAATCAAAAGAAAGGTCAGAATACAAAACTGAGAAAATATCCAAAAAATTAGAAGAAGACCGAAAGATGGTAAGGTACGAAAAACAGCAATCAGTCTAGCACATTCGTCATCTATGTAACAGACGTCCCATAAAGAAAAGAGAAAACAGAAAAATAAAATAATCAAAGAAATAAAATACAAAAATTTCTCACAACTGAAGCACATGGATTTCCAGTTTAAAAGGGTCCAAATCAGTATCCAGCTAGCAGAAAACACCCACGTCAGGGCGTATCATCATAAAATTTTAGAACACAGAATTTGCCAGGAAGGAAAAAAAGGTTACAAAGGTCACACAAAAGGACCAGGAATAAGAATGACATCTCACTTTTTGAGATTAAAATGAAAAACTTAGAAGATAATGGAGCAATCCTTTCAAAATTCATAAGAAAACCCACCTCAACCAGAATTCTACACTAGCCCAATTATTAATCACAAGTGTAACAGAATAAAAAACTTTTTTTTTTTTTGAGACGGAGTCTTACTCTGTTGCCCAGGCTGGAGTGCAATGGTGCGAACTCGGCTCCCTGCAACCTCCGCCTCCTGGCTTCAAGTGATTCTCCCACCTCAGCCTCCCGAGTAGCTGGGGTTACAGGCACACACCATCATGCCCAGCTAATTTTTGTATTTTTGTAGAGATGGGGTTTCGCCATGTTGGCCAGGCTGGTCTTGAACTCCTGACCTCAGGTGATCCGCCCGCCTCGGCCTCCCACAGTGCTGGGATTACAGGTGTGAGCCACCGCGCCCAGCCAGAATAACTTTAGGACATGTAAGGTGACAGAAAATGTATCTCCCTTCATCCATTTCTTAAGAAGCTTTTGGAAAAAAACCAAAACAGAGAAAGATGTTACAATATGGAAATAAAAAATCCAACAGAGCAGAGACACAAAGGGAATTCAGAGTGTCACAGTGAACTGAGAATCAGGATGACCACTGCACAGGAGACCTGGAGAGCAATCACTGCAGACTGGAACCGAAGAGAGGGGCTACAGGAGAGATGACTCCAGAAAGAAACAAAAATCCTGGACTTCACTTGTGCTTGATCATTTTATTATTTTGTTTGGGAATCCAGGAAAATTAAATTAGTGATAGGAACATGGAAAACTGCGGGAAAAAACAACAGGCATTTATTAGCTCTCTGGAAAATAGAAAGCTGTACAAGAAAGAAAACAAAATCCTTGTTTACAACTTTGTTCAGTTGAAAACAACATTTATACAGCTCTAATAATGCATATAATAAATACCACTTTAATGAAAAATGATGACACAGTCATAACGGTAAGATGGAACAGGAGGAGTGTATAGGGGAAGTAGAAACAACAGGAGAAAAAGTGCTAACTTGAAGTAAAAAGAGGTTTCTGAGTAAGAAATTTAAAAACAGCATTAATGGGGAAATAGGAAGAAAGTATCAGAGAAAAGTTAGAGTTAAAAGCAGTTACTCCTTGAAAACAGGCCCTAATTTTCATTCTATGGTTTCTTTTACTTGAATTTTTAAGCCGCACTATTTTCTAAAACACAAAACCAAGAAATATAGCTGAGGGAAAAAAAAGGGAGAGCCAAAAGTCAAGAATCAACCTCTGGTTGAAGCAATGTGTAAAGTTTTCTAACCTGCAGCTGTAATGACCCATTTATTAGAAATTTACACTCAAATATTAATCAATTGGGAGACACATAAAAAATTAATCAATTGGGAGACACATTAATCAATTGGGAGACACAAAAGTCAAGAATCAACCTCTCATTGAAGCAGTGTGTAAAGTTTCCTAATCTGCAGCTGTAATGACCCATTTATTAGAAAATTATACTCAAATATTAATCAATTGGGAGACACATAAAAAGGACAGAATATTAGAAACGGAAACAAAATTCATTATCTTGAGGTTATAATACTTAATTATCACATTTCCCTGGTAAGTTCTATTATTGAATCATTTAAGCAGACCTCAAGGGAGAATTACAATGGCCCCTGAAAAAAGGGGAAAGGGAATTTGATGTGCTAATATAAGTGATAGTTGGTACATGAAAGATTACTTTGCCAAAACATTCAGTATGTTCTTAATTAATCTGCTGCCAGATCAAGCTCCCACGGACTCTGAAAAACTATTCTACTCACTGCCCTCCCACAAGCTGTGTGATGTAAGGAAGCAGTCAGGTTTTGATTCATGAAAGCTAGAGCCATAAAAGTGAACTCTAAGTAAGCAATGAAGGCAGGACTGCATCTAAGGAAACAATGTGTGTAGATTCATTCATCCAGCACCACCACTGGGGCTGCCACGCAGATGTGTGTTACACAGGCACATTAGTTTATCTCTGCTACAAAAGCTCTAGTATGCTCTTCTGATTGACAAGATCATCTTAGCAATATCCTCGAGTCCGTCTTTTCATATTCTTTATCTATCCTCCCCATCTGGATCTGGCTTGTGATTTTCATTTTCTTTACCATTTTCTATCTGACCATCAGAATTGGCCAAGTTCTTTGCTTGGGGCCCCAGATCAAGCTCTCTGTGTCTTTCTGCATCTCTCCATCTGCAGACCCAGTTCAGCTTTCCTTATTCCCTGGCTGCTGACATCCTGAGACTTTCTAGCTCACTTCCAAAGAAGTAAAAGGTACTACTCAAGGAAAGGTCTGGAATTTAGGGTAGCATACTGGATCACTTGTGCAAATGTGATCCTATAAATGTGATACCTATAAAAACAATAGACTTCAAAAAGCTTAAACTTACCTTAAATTCAAGCTAAAATTTCTAAATTCCATACATTTTTTTTTTTTAATCATATCTAGGCAGTAGGAGGAAGATGGAGAGAATAAGCCAAGAAGGCCTCCTGGGGGGCAGGGTAGGCTTTCAAATTCCAGAGAAACATTCCACAACTTACAGGGTGCTGAGTTGAGTTACACAGACTGTTAACCTGGTATCTTTTCAACTTAGAGTTCTGCTTCATACATCCGAGCTAGTGCTTCTTCAGCTTGCAGAGTGATTTATTGCTTGTTAGTGTTTATAGCTGAGTGATATTTTCAGCTGCTTGTACAACCACAACCTTTGTGAGTGAGGGCCACCGTCTGGACATCTAAGTATAGGCAGCCCTGAGTTTTTCATGTAGCTGAGACAGATTTAGTCTGAACCCAGCCTCTGGATGCCTCTAATCCAAGCCCCGCAGGGTTAAGAGGAGGAAATGGATGAGGAGAAAGGAAGAGCCTTCTCCAGGGAGTGAGTTAGGACACTCACAGTGAATGAAATCCCACATCAAAATATGGTCCCTGGACCAGCAGCATCAATATCCAACACTTGAGAACTTGCTAGAAATGCGAATTCTAGGTTCCTACCCCAGACCTACCCAATCTGAATCTCAGGGTGGAGTGGCAGCACTCTGTATTCTGATGCCTACTAAAGATTGAGAACCACTGCCCCATGGCACACTCTACCACATTTTGCCCACAGCTGTGATTTCTGATCCCCCTGGGTGATTCTTGCCAATCAAGTGCTCTTATGCAATACTCTCATCTGGCTGATCCCTTGCCCTTTCTATCTTCAAAAACTAGAGCTAGACTGAGGCTTAGAGGAAGTCCAGGGAAGTATCTAATCCTCATCTGAGGCTTTGATTGCAGTGAAGTTGCCACTCTGGCTAGATTTCATAGAAAAAGCTCTTGTTTTTCAACCTCATTCTTATTCTGGGTATAATAATTCATTTTAAGATGCTTCCCCATTTTTCTCATCAATTTTTGTCAATGGCCATAAGAACCCCTACTCTCTTCTCTTTCTGTTTTAAATCTGGTAAAGTAAATGCAGAAAGGAAAAAAATCTGGGGTATCTTTATTAGTGTTACCTATGATAGCAAACTTGGAAAAAAAACCATCTATCAAAAATGTAAATAAAATTATAACATTGATAAGATGCAGTATAATCTTTTAAATCACATCATAGAAAAATAACATGGGAAAACACTCCACTCTACATAATTTTCAGACTATATTACATTTAGTTTTTAAAAAGCTGTCACTGAGAGGACATAGCTTTGGTGACACATGAATTCACTGTTTGAAGCTCACTTGTCTCTGTCTCTGTCCTCCTACATATGTTCACATCTGGCAGAGAAACAGAAGTAAAATGAGGAGGGTGTCCAAGGAGAACCCTAGCTATAGAGGCTAGCCCCAGATGTGCGGATGAAGGTCTGCCAAGAGGCAAGACCAGAAATGACATAAAAGTTAGAAGTAATATAGGATATTTAGGGAGATGACAAAGCTTTGCTGATATTTGCAAAAAGGAGAGAAAAATAAAAGCATGAAGAGACTGAAAAGGCATAAAAATATAGGCAGCCTTAACATGAACAGCTAAGAAAATTAATATAAAAACATGCACACTTCCCCTAATAAAGAACCTTAACTTGGTGATAAATTCCTTTCAAAAAGAATTCCTTTCAAAACAAAAGGTCAATCTCTCCAGTTTAGACAGGTGTATTACTTTAACATTATTTCCAAGTTTTACTGTGTCAAACTTTTTCAGGTTCTGAGGGTGTGGTGCAACGTGGATAATGTCATCACCCTAGTTTTACAGATAAGAGTGACAAAGCATCTAGTGACATGAATACTCTGCAAGGCCACCTCTCACTGTCATAATCATCGACACACGTAGGCCTTTTTTTTTTTTTTTTTACATTAAACTAAGGCAGCTGCATCTAGCCAAAATATGACTCTGAACTCTCACCTCTCCTTCTCCAGTCTGAGCAAGCTCTGTGCATGGCTGGAGACCCTAAGAGTGTATCTCTGAAAACCCCAGACCACCCCTTGATTTACTGACCAAGATCCACACCTACTCCCACCTCGGAATGTCAGACATCATAAATTTGATGGAATCTAGAGAAGAGACTCCCCTGCAGGTTGGGCTCATAGTAATCTCATCTAGAGTAGGTTAAATATTTCTGAGGGAAGAGGAGAAGTAAACTATAAATAAACCATCGCTATTCAGGCCTCCCATCAGTTGCTTTCACTGAAGATGGAGAAATGTATAACCCACTGCTTTAAATCAGGGCTCTTGTCACCTGAGCTAGAAATGTGATAAATACCAAAGTATCCTAAAAAGGATTATTTAAGAAAGAGTTAAAAATATATAGAGAATATATTTTCCAGTTATATACCTTGATTTATGCTTTTTATGCTTATGTTACCTCTCAAATTGTTAAGAGTTTAGCACTTTGACCATTCTGTCCTGAATTAAAACATATCTATTTCAAAACTGCAAAATTTCATATTCTATTTTTCCTAGCCTACCTATATTCTTATAAAAAAGAACTAAATTCCAACCCTTTATTCTTATTAAACATCTCTTAGAGCTTTAGATAAAAGTATAGGATAAAGTCCCACTATTGCTGTACTTTCTGTCTGGGTCATGACCAGACAGAATTCTTTATGAATTCGCCTGCACCAGTATGAATTCTCCTGCAGAGGAACAGATGTAATATTTTTCATCTCAAGCTTGTACCATTTGCTTGGAACAGTAGTAACATTTCAGCCCAGAGGAGGCTCAAGGGCTCCCCTATAATTCCATAGGCAATTCAAGATAATCTGCACGTAGAAGACCTGAGTTATCACTTGTTCACACAACTTGCCAATTACTTGCCAACTTGCCAATGATCTTAGATAAGTCATTGGGTTAGTCTCATTACAACCACTTTACAGATGAGAAACAATCTACCACTTTCCCTACCTTTCCAGCAGGATGTGTCTTAGATGGCTCAACTCCTAGTCTGCCAATCTTCCTCCTTCCTTCCCTTTCTCCCTCTCTCCATCCCTCTTTCTTTCCTTTATATGTCAAGATCTTCCTGTCTGAATTAAGTTGTCCTAGGTATTATGAGAAGCACCAAGGTCAGAAATGACCTTAAGGTGCTTAAAACTTTACAGGAAATTCTACTTCTATACATGTTAAGTGATGGAAAAGAAACACAGATAACATGCTCTAAGAGTTACTTCCTGCTGAAGGGGTTGAGAAAACCTCCTGGAGAAAGTTTACCAGCCAGCTGCTGAAGCCTGTATAAATCTGCAGATGATGGGGAAGAAAGGTGTGCCAAGGAAAAGGCTAGCAGCCACAAAGGCACAGAGGATGAAAAGCAGGGGCACACAGAGGAAGGATTGAGTTGTGCTGCCAGAAATCTAGAACTCTTTGAAAGAGAACAGGAAAAAAAAAAAAGAAAAAGAAAAAAAAGAAAAAAAAAGAAAGGTAGATTGTGGAGGGCCTTGCTGTTAGACTGAGTTTGGACGCCAATACCATCCTCACCCATGACTCCTCATGCAACCAAATTCCCTATCTGGATAAACCGTACAGTATACCTCAGTCTTCTGAACTTCTCCCTCACTTACCAATTAGAACAGTCCATTTTTCCAGATACCACTCAAATGTGTCCTCTATTAATTTTCATCTGCATTTCTCAAACAGTCTACTGCCTCCAGTCTGGTCCCACTGCCATGCATCATCCATTCTCCACACTAAGATGAGACTGACCCAAAATGCAATCTTATCACATTACTCCCTTGTTTAAAAGGCTTCAGTGATCACTTGTTTCTCACAGATAACACTCCAATGCCTTATGTAAGATACACGGTGTTTTGTGATCTGGACCCTCTCCAGGCTTCATCCTCTGCCTCTCCCTCCCAAGCTTCCTTCACTGTTGCCACACTGAACTCTCTGAAGTTCCTTAAACTACCAAGCTCCCCTGTCCCTCTGTATCTTTGAATTTGTTGTTCCTTCTGGATGGAATTTTTCTTCCTTTCTCTGACTAGATAATACCTACCCTTTTCTTTTAACATTCAAATCATGATTTAACATTGTTCTGGAAGTACTAGCCAATGCAATTAGATAAAAGAAAAAATAAAAGTTTCAAATACTGGAAAAAGGAAGCAAAATTAGCATTTGTAGATATAATTGTATATCTAAAAATATAAGAGAATCAACTAAAAAAAGTAAACAACTGTAGAGGTCAGTAACAGAATAGTTGCAAAATTAATTTACAAAAGTCAAAATGTGTCTGTACACAAATGGTAACCAGTTAAGAACTATAAGATCAGAAAGTATTCTTTTATTAGAGTATAAGAAAAAATTTTAAATCTAAGAAATATTTACCAAGACTTGTAAAGGAATATATATATGTACACAAATATATATATATATATAAAATGTAAATTCTACCAGAAAGACAAATCTTTCTTCTAGATAGAAAGATCCATTGCAATGCAAGTTTCCCAAAGGCATGGCTCCTTCTCTGCCTTGTTCATTCAAAGTACCAAGCACCCTGCCTGGAACAAGGCAGGCATTCAATAAATACCAACTGAACAAATAAATGTCTAAAACAATCTAAAAGTGCAATGTGATAACAATAAAAATACAAATAGAATTATCTGAGAAAACTCGACAAAGATATCAGTCTTTCCCTTGAAAAATACACATGAAGATCATTTCTCACCTATGAGATGAGCAAAAGTTCAAGTACCCAGCATTGCTGAAGACATGGAGAACTAGAACACCCAAATGTTATTTGTGAAACTATACATTAATATAGTCTTTTGAAAGGGCAATTTGTTAATATCTATCAACATTTAAAATGTGTATTTTCTTCAAGCAATTTCTTAGTTGGAATTAATTCTGTAGATATGTCCACATATTTATGTGTAAACATATGAAAGTATGCCCCTTGTTACTGTTAGAAAGAAGAAAAAAAGGCCGGGCGCGGTGGCTCACACCTGTAATCCCAGCACTTTGGGAGGCCGAGGCAGGCGGATCACAAGATCAGGAGATGAGACCATCCTGGCTAACACAGTGAAACCCCGTCTCCACTAAAAACACAAAAAATTAGCCGGACGTGGTGGCGGGCGCCTGTAGTCCCAGCTACTCGGGAGGCTGAGGCAGGAGAATGGTGTGAACCCAGAAGGCGGAACTTGCAGTGAGCCGGCATTGCGCTACTGCACTCCAGCCTGGGCGACAGAGCGAGACTCCATCTCAAAAAAAAAAAAAAAAAAAAAAAGAAAGAAAGAAGAAAAAAAAAGAAAGCAGTCTAAATACCTATCAATAATAGACCTATTACATACGATATACCCAAACAATTGAATACTAATACAGCCATCCTAAAAAACTGAAGGAGACCTATATGGAATAAAACAAAAATAAGTCTATGATCTAGTGCTAAAATAAAAAAGGCAGAAAAACATGTTTAGTATAATCCCATATATGTTTTAAAACTACAAAATTATGCTTACATTCTGAGATGTTACCTTTGGTAATGGAGTCGGGGAGATAGAAGCAAACTTCACCTCAAGCAAAACAAAAAGATGTTTGCTGTTGTTTTTACCATACGCACATACTGACTTCCTCTCAGGCACTCCCTCTTCAGGAGGTGTCCCAGTGAGGAGAGATGCCTGTCCCCTTTGCATCCACAGCACTCAGTACACCACTCTACTCCACTACAGGACCTCTACATTCACAGCATTACTTGCTAGCTTCCCAAATCAGCGGAGAGCTTCTTTGAAGGCAGGAACTGTCTTCTTTTTTCTGTATTCTCAACACCTCTCAGAGTGCCTAAAACCCAGTAACCATTTCAAAAAGGCTGGATGAAAGAAGGAAGAAGGTGGGCAGGAAAGGAAAGAGAAAAGGATGGTCCTATATGAAGATTAACCAGGTAGCCATATACAGCACTATTTAGAAAAGGTAGAATCGGGGCCTGGCACAATGGCTCATGCCTGTAATCCCAGCACTTTGGGAGGACAAGGCAGGTGGATCACCTGAGGTCAGGCGTTCGAGACCAGCCTGGCCAACCCTGTCTCTACTAAAAATAAAAAAATTAGCTGGGCTTGGTGGCGGATGCCTGTAATCCCAGCTACTGGGGAGGCTGAGGCAGGAGAATCACTTGAACCTGGGAGGCGGAGGTTGCAGTGAGCCAAGATTGCGCCACTGCACTCAAGCCTGGGCAACAAGAGCGAAACTCCATCTCAAAAAAAAAAAAAAAAAGAAAAGGTAGAATCAGGAGACAAGGAGGGCTGAGAGGTCAGAAAGAGAGAGACAATTAGAATGAAGAATGGAGAACAGTCTAGTTCTCTTACAGGAATGCCTTGACGTCTGTGAGCTGGACAGCCAGGTTCACTTCAGAGCAGCTAGGAAGTAGTAATTTCCAGCTCCAAAACTTCAGGCATTTTCAGTGAGAAAGAAGCTGTGCCTAGAAGCCACTGCCACAGTTTCTACAAGGACACATGTGCCTTGTGATTCCTTCACACAAGGAGGAAGGCCCAAGAGCAGCTTCTGACTGCTCCATCTCTTTGCTGGAAGTAGCTAGAAGCCTCTGCCACAATCTTGAGCAAATGACTATAGCAATCCGTAATGCCTCTAGATCACTTCTGCTTATTATTTTCCTCACAGAGTGTTGGAAATATTAATTGAGGTAATACACGTAAAGCACTTAGCACAGTCCCTGGCAGAGTAAGCACTCAAAATACAAGCTATTATTATTACGTTGCTTACAGAAGTTTTTCAAAAGCTCTAAGCATTACAATTGCAAAAGTCACCGGGATGTCTTTGATTTCCAACAAGACCCATGCCTCCTTACTTATCTCTGCAATAAATAGACAGTCTTTCTAAGCACTTAAAACACACTGGAAGCTGCTGCTTCCGTATTTTTTACTTTTGTCAGTGTTTCAAAATTATGCTGCCCTTATCAGGCCCCAAGTATAAAAAGCACACTCTCATCTTAGAAAGCTAGAATTTAAATAACCTTTACAATTGTAGTACATTTTTCCTTCCACCCACCCTGACAGCTGGACCATGCCTCATGTGGCTAGCACTGGAATTCACTTACCACAGCAGGAGGGTCATTCCATTCTTCATAGGAGATGGCAGCATATGGATAGATCCGGTCATTGATAATCTGCAGGGTGGCCAGGGCAATGGCTTTAATTGACTGGAAGTACGCTTCCCAGAACCACCGGGCCTATAAAGAAAATAATGCTGTTTTAAGTGAGCAAGCGAGACAGAGTGGGAAAACTAGATACTCTATCATAGTCAACTCCAGGTTAGGCTAATTCCTTTATTCCCAAAGTTGTAGGGATGGGGGTGCCTAGGGCATATGCTCCCTGCTGTTCAAGCCAGCTGCCATCAGAAGTTGGCATTTATCAAATGCAGTCAAAATAAAATGTTAGCAAGTGAAATGCACATTGGATTCAATTAAGATAGAAGATAAATTATGTGATGATGAGAATAGCCATGTGTTATGGCAGAGTTTATAGTATTTTGTCTTATATAACATAAAGTGCACAAATCTTGTGTACAGCTCAATGAATTTATACATATGTACATACTCTTACAATTAGTATCCAGATAAAGATATAGAACATTCCAGCATTCCAAAAGATTCCCTCATGCTATTTCCCAGTCAGTATCTCATCCCTCTAAGAATAACCATTATGCTGATTACAATTGTGGTGTCTGCTCTTGAATTTCATATTAATGGAATCAAACAGTATTTACTCTTCTGTGTCTGATTTGTTTTGCTCAACACTTATAATATCTAAGTCAGGTTATGGTATCAAGGTTATGCTGGCCTTATAAAATGAGGTGGAAACCATTCTCTCTTTTTCTGTTCTTCGAGAACTTTTATGCAAGATCAGCGTTATTTCTTCCCTGAAAGGTTTTAGAGGAATTCCTCAAAGAAGCCATCTGGGCAAGGGTATGGGTGGGTGGATTGGTGTGTGTGTGTGTGTGTGTGTGTGTGTGTGTGTGTGTGTGTGTGTGAATGTGAACGTTTTAAATTATGGATGAATTTTCTTTCATAGCCATAGGATTATGCATGTTTTTCTGTGTGTATATCAGTTTCATAAACAGTGTTTTTCAAGGGATATGTTCATTCCAACTAATTGTTAAATTTATTGAAATAAAGCTGTGCATTCACATCCATTTAACACCTGTAGAATCTATTGTAATACATCTCTTTTCATTCCTGATACTGTTGTGTTTTCTCTTTGTACTTGATCAGTCTTAGTAGAGCTTTATCAATTTTGTTAATCTTTTTTTAAAAATCGACTTTTGATTTTGTTGATTTTCCACAACATAATTCTTTCTATTTTGCTAGTTTTTGTTCTGATTTTATTATTTCCTTCTATTTTGGAGGAGTTTAATTAATTTTGCTTTTAACTTCCTAAAATTAAAGTTTAGATCATGATTTCAACCTTTCTTTATTTTTAATATAGGCATTTAAAGTTATAAATTTCCCGCTATGTGCTATTTAAGTGCTTCCTGCACATTTACATATCATTTTCATCATCATTTAGGCAAACAATGTTCTAATTTCCTTTGTATATTGTTTAATTTCCAAATATTTTTATTTTTTCTATTTATCTTTCTGTTACTGATTTCTACTTTGACTGCACTTTGACTGCGCTGTGGTCAGAGAACGCATGTGATTTCAATACTTTGCAATTTATTTAAACTTGATTTATGGTCCAGCACATTGTTTATTTTTATAAATAATCTATGTACACTTAAAAAATGTATATTCTGCAGTTGATGGGTATAATTTTGTTTAAATATTCTATATCCTTATTGGTTTTTGTCTGCCTGCATGTGTGCCTATGGATTGTGTGGGGTGTGTGTGTATATTTATATACATATATATGTAAGTATTTCAAGTTTATAAATATACATTTCAAATTTGTACCCTCAAAGCTTGTCTATTGCGAAAAGCATATACAGGTTGAGCATCCTAAATCCAAAAAATCAAAGCTAAAATGCTCCAAAATCCAAAACTTTTTGAGTGCTGACATGATGCTCAAAGGAAATACTCATTGGAGCATTTCAGATTCCCTAAAATCTAAAAAAAAATCTGAAATCTGAAATACTTCTGCTCCCAAGCATTTTGGATAAGGGATAATCAATCTGTTACTGGGTTTTAATATATTATCTCATCCAAAAATATTTGGTTCCTAATTACAAATATAGTCGATTTATACTTAATTTACATTACTGATAAGGCTGAGTAAATGTATGATTATTCTATTTGTTTCCTATTTATCTCTTCTTTGTTACTTTAGTTTTTTCTCACCTTTAGAATTGATCAAAAAATTTTTATTATTATTCCACATTTTTGTTCTTCGTTAGGTTGCTAGTTATTTAGTCTTTTGTTATTGTTTGAGTAGCTTTCCTAGCAACTACAGTAAACATCATTGCTTTATTATATTACGTCTCAAACTAACGATTTTATAATTTATCAGCTCTCTCCTATCTGCTGTGCTATTATTGTCAAATATTTTTCATCTACATATTTTAAATCCCACAAGACATGTTTTATATTTATTTATTTTTATTATTTATTTATTTATTTATTTTTGAGACAGAGTCTCACTCTGTCACCCAGGCTGGAGTGCAGTGGCGCGATCTCAGCTCACTGCAACCTCCACCTCCCAGGTTCAAACGATTCTCCTGCCTCAGCCTCCTGAGTAGCTGGGATTACAGGCACGCACCACCACGCCTGGCTAATTTTTGTATTTTTAGTAGAGATGGGGTTTCACCATGTTGGTCAGACTGGTCTCAAACTCCTGATCTTGTGATCCGCCTGCCTTGACCTCCCAAAGTGCTGGGATTACAAGCAAGAGCCACCGCGTCTGGGGACATCATTATTTTTTAAAGTAAATTTTCACCGTATATTTACCCTTTCTTTTCTTAATGCATATCTGAACTTCCATCACATATCATCTTCCTGCTAATTGAAGAATTTATTTTGTTATTTATTTCACTGTAGAATTCGTGGGTGACTCTTTTATTTGTTTGAAAGCTTCTTTTTACCCAAATAATTTTTGAAGGATACTTTTGATAGGTAGAGAATTCTAGGTTAGCAATTTTCTTTCAGAACATTCAAGATATACTTCTACTGTGTTCTGGCTTCATCCAATTTTTCATTAATAAATCAGCTGACAATCTTACTGGTGCACCTTTGAAGACAATATGCTTTTTATTTCTGACTGCATTTAAGCTTTCTCTGTCTTTGGCTTACAGTAATTCAACTATGACATGCCTAGGTGTGGCCCTTTGTATTTATCCCACTGAGGATTGTAGCGCTTCTTCAATTTGTGGTTTGATGCTTTCCACTGATTTTAGAAAACTTTCGGACAATATTTCTTAAATATTATTTCTGTTGCACTCTCCTCTTCTGAGACTCCAAATATAAATATATGTGAAATATATTTCATAATGTTTTCAATATATCTCATGTATCTCTTATTCTCTTTTCAGTATTTTTTCTCTCTGTGCTTCAATCTGGGTGTTTTCTACTAACTTTTCTTCTGGTTCAATAATCTTCTAGCCCTTTTTCTTTGGTGTTTAAACTGCTATTAAACCCATGTATTAAATTCTTAATTTCATTCCTATATTTTTCAGTTCCAGAATTTCCATTTGATCTTGTCAAAAGTAGATTTCATATCTTTGTTGAAACTGGAAACCATCATTCTCAGTAAACTATCGCAAGAAAAAAAAACCAAACACCGCATATTCTCACTCATAGGTGGGAATTGAACTACGAGAACACTTGGACTAAGGAAGGGGAACATCACACTCTGGGGACTGTTGTGGGGTCGGGGGAGTGGGGAGGGGGGAGGGATAGCATTGGGAGATATACCTAATGCTAGAGGACGAGTTAGTGGGTGCAGCGCACCAGCATGGCACACGTATACATATGTAACTAACCTGCACACTGTGCACATGTACCCTAAAACTTAAAGTATAATAATAATAAAAAAAAGAAAGTCTCCTTCTTTTCTTCTACTTTCTTGAACATAATCAGTTTTTGACTGATAAACTCCAATATCTGAGTCACCTGTAGATATCTTTCTACTGTCGTTTTTCTCTTCATTTTGGTCATTTGGTCTCAATTTTAGCACACTTCTTAATTTTTTATTGGATGGCAGACATTCTGTTTAAAACCTGTAGAGGTTCTGGATGATTCAGATTATCTTCCTCCTAAGACTGTAACTTATTCTTTTGGCAGGTGTAAGAGTACAGTCAGGCCACTTTAATCCTGTCAGAGGTCCTGTCAGAGCCCTATGTCAGGGCTAGCTTATTTCAGCTTTCCCTTATGCTTAAAGTGTGGTCTTTCTGAGGCCTCCAATTAAAGCCTGGGTTATTTGTATTTGCCAGGGCCCCTCTACCTTGGCAGGCCTTGAATACCAACCTCTCACCAGCACTGTATATGGCTGCTGAAATATCTGCATTGCTCACTACATTCCCAACTGCTGCTTTTTACTAGGATTCTTGGAGTCTTGCTCTGATCATGTGTACCTTAGGAGTTGGCAAACACTCTAAGGGAAGATTACGAGCACATTTTTCACTTTCTTCCTTGTGGTTTTCTTTCTCCTGGGATTTTGTGTTTCAGATCCCAAATACTTTAATAGGCCCTAACTCCAACCTCTAAGTCCTGTAGGACTGCTGCTTTCTGCTGGGACCCCATACTCTTGGATAGAGAATTGGCAAGTACCGTCAGAGAAGATGCCAGAGTGACTATGTAGCTCAATTCCAAGTGCTTTCTTCCTCTCAGGAATGGTATTCCCTCAAATACTGTGTTAGTGGTTCTACAATGCCTGTAAGCAGTTGTTTTAAATAAACTTTTATAATTTTTTCTTCTTTTGGCAGGAGGGTTGCTCCAGTATCAGCTATTCTTTCCTGGTCCAATATAGTCTTTTGAAAGAAGGCAGTTTCTTATCCGAGCAGAAGTTAAACTCAGTTCCTAACAAAAGCAGGATGCTAGTCTATATGATCTCTCCAGCTTCATTCAGATCTATGATTCCACTCAAAACCAGAGGCTATTTGGATTTATGCAAGGGAGTGAACATGTGAAAATTTAACATGGGGAAATTGTAAAGTAACCCAAAAGGGTGAAGGAAAAAGATACTTTCTAGTCTAGATGTGCTTACTCTGCTTCTGTTTCCTGGGCAAGTGTTCTATCCATGAGTTAAAAGCCTAGGGTAACTTGAGTTATGTAACTAATATCATCTCCACTAACTAATAAGAAGAAAGCAAAGCATGCACAATGAGAATGTCTCCTACTCAAAGAAAAGCTGAAATACAGATTTAGCTTTCAAGGGTATCTGACTTTCTCAAGTTGTCCAGAAGTTGGTCATCTGGGTACACAGCTGGCTGCCTCCCTGCTACTGCTTCTTAGATATGCCCTATTCACTACAATCTCAATCCTGCTTAAATTCATGTTACTGCTTTCTCTCCTATCATCCAGCCAAAATGTTTACATTTTATGAGACCTGAAATAACCCATCTTCCCTATGAAACCTTTACTGATCACTTTCTGTTATCACCAATCTCCCCTTACTATGAAATCCCTTAGCCCTTACAGCCTTTGCCATACACATTAGTTGTTATATACTGTTCTATAATTGTTTTTCTGTTGTTTCAGAGGATTACTTTTTTCTCTCCAGCTAGACTGTGAGTTCCTTGGAAATAGATACTGGTATTTTAAAAATCAGCATCCTTGCAAATGTTAGTGTTCTACCTGCTGCAGAGCACTTTTATATTCATTATTTCATCTGCTCTTCACAACCAGCTTGTCACTTATTTGGGACAGTTTCATTTTATAAATGAGGAAACTAAGATACAAAGATATTAAGGAGCAGAATCACAATCCAAATCCATGACTCCTAACTAAATTCAGACCTTTTTTCTACCCCATTCCAGAGCATTAAGAGCACCAGCACATAGCAAGTTTTAGAAAATCACCCTTTTTCAAGAAACTGAAAGGTGTAAAAATTTACAAAGCATCAGGCCAAACATAAACACATATATATCCTGAATATTTATCTCCTTTTCTACCCAACTGGGTCTATCATCATATATTCTTTTAAGTCATATTCAAATTAAACCACATTCCAACTTAAGCATTCCAAAGCCTTATGCTCACATATAATCACAGTGGAGACGGCAGCTTTTGGGATTTATAGAAAACAATAATTGGTAAGAAATCCACCCAGGACACCAGCCAAAGGCACAAATGCACAACTGAACTTCTAATTTAAGATGTCTCAAATCATCTCACCCTGTCCACCAAATTGCAATTCACTCAGAAAGGAAGCAAGTTTTGCCAATAATCATAGCTCAAGTGCCTCAGCCTGGGGATAAGTGAACTTCTCAGGCTTAATTGTTTCTGCAGGTCTTCTGTAATACCTTGAAATGTTCAGAAGGTATTATAATTTATAGCCCCTCCAGGGCTTAGTATAGCCTGCTTGTCCACAGAGAGGAAGGAGTCTTCAGCTACGCTGGCAATGTACGAAAGCACCACTATTCTCATCCAGAGAGCAAATGCAAATAAGTGCTTATTATGGCTTTTTCTCCCCTAAAACATGGTCCACATTTATATCTATCTTAAAAGTGTGGGCCGGGCGCGGTGGCTCACGCCTGTAATCCCAGCACTTTGGGAGGCCGAGGCGGGCGGATCACGAGGTCAGGAGATCGAGACCATCCCGGCTAAAACGGTGAAACCCCGTCTCTACTAAAAATACAAAAAATTAGCCGGGCGTGGTGGCGGGCGCCTGTAGTCCCAGCTACTTGGGAGGCTGAGGCAGGAGAATGGCGTGAACCCGGGAGGCGGAGCTTGCAGTGAGCCGAGATCCCGCCACTGCACTCCAGCCTGGGCGACAGAGCGAGACTCCGTCTCAAAAAAAAAAAAAAAAAAAAGTGTGAATGAGAGATTCTTCAGCAGCTATGCAAATTCCCCAGTCACTCTAAACTGTGGAAGGTACACAGTTGAAGAGTTAGGTTACAGGTGAATAGGTCACACCAATATAACCTTGAACAAAGCATTTAAACTTTCTTGGTTAATCAGATTCCACAGTGATTTTGTTTATAAAACACACAGATTTCACAGCATAAGAACTATATAATTCCTAGGATATTTTCAAACATGAGAATTATAAAGCTTCTCTAGGGCAGGGACTGGGCCAGCTTAAAACCATCATGGGCAAAATGGAACTCCAAATTGAAACTGCTATCTCAGTTTATACATAAATTAAATGTGATTAATTTCTTAATTTTCAGTAATGCAAAGGCAATGGGATTAGCAATAATAAGTATTTAAGAGAAGCCAGTGTGGCATAGTGGAAAGAACAACAGTTATAGAGCATCTTGAGCAATTTTAAGTTACTTAACCTCTCAGTTTTTTGAAATAAGAGAAAACAGCCCACTGACATAAAATAAAGCTGTCAACAGAACCTAACTCAAAGATGACCAAGATGAAGGAACTATTAGACAAGGACTTTAACTATAATTAATATATTAAAGGATCTAGTGAAAAAGGTGGACAACTCGCAGGAACATATGGGAATTTTTGGTAGAAAGATGGATAATATAAAAAACAGTCAAATAAAAATGCTAGAAGTGAAAAACCAGTATTATAGATGAAGAATTCCTTTGACAGTCTTAGCACACTAGACAGAGCCAAGAAAAGAAAGAGAGAGCTTGAAGACAGAACAATAGAAATTATCCAAACTGAAACACAAAAAGAAAAAAGAGTGGGAGGGAAAAATCTAAAACAGAGTACTCTAGAACTGTAGGACGATATCAAACACTCTAATATAGTGTAACTATAGTCTCAGAAGAGGAGAGAGGGGGAAGTGGAGAACAAGGCAGCAGATGTATTTAAAGGAAAAAGAGCTAAGAATTTTCCAAAATTAATGAGAAAACAGCAAAACACAGACCCCAAAACCCAAGAGAACCAAGACAGATTAAATAAAGCATTCACTTGCTCCCTCAAGAAGTTTAAGAAACAGCTGCACTGTTAAAAAGGCAAATCTTCTCCCTCTTAGCAAATGAGGAGATTCAAGAGATCCGAGCTACAGGAAACTTACTCTTAACACACTAACATTGACAGAACCATTTATTTCAGGTGAACAGCTGGAAAATATTTCCATGCATCACGGATTTATTTTTCAAAGCTGTGTCTGAAGATAAGCCTGAAAACTTCCAAAGAGATTCTAAGCCTTTCCAAATACATATGCCAAAGGCTAATTATTCCTTTTCATTTGTTGGCTTTAACAAAATAGTAGCAACGAGCATTCCCAACTTTCCAAAGCCCTGTGTCCAACAGGCTCTTTGGTGCTCACTGGTCCTTTTGACAGCACAAGAGCAGGGAGTCTGGTGTCCTTCTTGGACAACCTCATAACAGTCTGAAGGTCCCAGAGATAGGCTCTAATAATCTTCATCTGACAGCTCAAAAAGCTCAATAATAAGGCCAAATTATAACCCAAGCATCCTTACTTTTAGTTTAGAATTACTGTAAGCAAGATTTTTTTGTTTATTCTTTTACATACTCCATTTTCATAAATATAAGAGTTACCTGACAACTAACTTAAAATTCGAGGGAAAAAAATATCAGCAAAACCCTTTAAAGGCACTTCTTGTGGACTGGAGGTTTTTGAAGACATTTACTATGCCCATGTTACCAGTTTCTCCAGAAGAGCAGAGGAAGTTCACAAATATCTGATATCCCTTTAACTTGGGGATCCAACAAACAGCAATTAATAGAACTTACTTTCTTTAACATAAAAAGGGATTTTGAAGCAAAAAGGTTAATATACCTGGGATTTATCCACATACTAATCATTTTCTTTACTTAAAATATTTATTTTGTTAATTTAGTTGTATGTAAAACACCTTGCCGCATAAAACATGAGACGGCTTTTTTTCACTTCCTTATTCATGAAGCTGTTTTATTTGCCTTCTCCACATGCAACTCCTGGAAACATGTTTCTATTAATCCAGTACATTTTCCCAGCCCCACCATCTTCACCTATCAGTTACATAAAGACAGTAATTTAGGAACCCACCCATATGGCACTTGCTGAAAGTTTATAGAAAGCCACACACAATGGTTCACCTAACTGCAGCAGAATTCATTTTATAAGTTTTTGGTAGGTTTCAGTATTTGTCTATTGCTTTGCTATGCAAAGTGGTAACTGCTTTTTTTTTTTTTTTTTTTTTGAGATGGAGTCTCACCCTGTCCCCCAGGCTGGAGGGCAGTGGTGCGATCTCGGCTCACTGCAACCTCAGCCTACTGGGTTCAAGCGATTCTCCTACCTCAGCCTCCCGAGTAGCTGGGATTACAGACGTCTGCCACCATGCCTGGCTAATTTTTGTATTTTTAGTAGAGATGCAGTTTTGCCATGTTGGTCAGGCTGGTCTTGAACACCTGACCTCAGGTGACCTGCCTGCCTCGGCCCCCCAAAGTCCTGGGATTACAGGCATGAGCCACTGAGCCCAGCTGGTAATTGCTTTTATAACTTTTTATTTTGTAATACTTTTAGACTTAGTGAACAGTTGCAATAGTAGCCAGAGAGTTCTCAAATATCTGGAATGCCCCTCATCCAGCTTCTCCTAATGTTAACATCTTACATCACCATGGTACAATTATCAAAACCAAGAGGTTAACATTGGTACAATTCTATTAACTAAACAACATACTTTTTTTCTTCTCCAGATTCCCAGTTTTCTCCTAAAGTCCTTTTTCTGTTCCAGGATCTAATCCAGGACACCATAGTGCATTTACTTGTCATGTCAGCTCAGTCTCCTCTAATCAGGGACAGTTTCTCAGTCTTTCCTTGTCTTTCATGACATTGACATAGTTGACAGTACTGGTCAGGACTTTCATATAGAATGTCCCTCAATTTGGGTTTATCCGATGTTTTCTACTTATTAGATTGAGGTTATAGATTTTGGAGAATACTACAGAGATGATGTACCCTTCCCTTCACACTCCATCAGGGGACATATGCTACCAATATGACTTATTAAAAGTAACGTTAACCTTGCTCACATAGTTAAGGTGAGGTCTGCCAGGTTTTCCCACTGCTAAATTACTACTGTTCCCATCCCATAGTCTATGCTCCCTAGAAGCAAGTCACTATGTTCAGTCCATACTGAAAGGGAGAGTAATGAAGCTTCACCTCCTGGAGGAAGAAGTATCAAAGAATTTAGCACACTATTTTTAATGTACTTTGAAAGGATTAAAAACTATGAAATTGTATTCACTGAATATTACTTTTTTTTTTTTAAGAGCCAGGGTCTTGCTCCATTGCCCAGACTGGAGTATAGTAGCTATTCACAGGCACGATCATTGCACACTACAGCTTCAAACTCCCAGGCTCAGGTGAACCTCCTGTCTTGGCCTCCTGAGCAGCTGTGGCTAGAGGTGCATGCCATTGATCCTGGCTTACAATTTTTTAACATACATAAAGTATGGCATTCTGTCAAAATCTTTAAACTTATGGGGATTTGTGGCTGGAGAAAAATATTTAAATGTTTTCTTTCCTCAGTAATAAGTTCACAGCAATAAAAAATCTGACATTTGCCTTAAATGTTAAGTTGAAGCCTGCTAACATATCTCACCTATTTAAAAGTATATAGCCACTTTTTATATTTAAAATCTTAGAGATGAAATCTACTGAGACTTCAGATATTTCCAAAATTCCAACTGCTTCTAGTCCCACACTTTAATTTTATTTTGATGTATATGCCAAATTATCATACAAAAATAAAGTAAGCATCCAACTTAATGTGGAAAATGAAACAAATCCAAGAAGATCAGTAGAAGTAATTAATGAATAAGAAAACAGAAAAAGGATACAAATGTGAAAATAAATCCAAGAGCTTTCCATAGATTGGCTAAGAAGGAAACCCTAAAGAATCAGCTAAAAACCTATCAGAACTAATAAGCAAGTTCAGTAAATTAGCCAGCTACAAAATAATTTGTTAAGTAAATAACTAAAACAAATACCCAGACCCTTATATCCCAGCAATACCCCATGAGAGTTTACACACACACAATCAGTAGCAGAGCTCTTCCCATTACCCCAGCTTCTCACAGTCCAGATTATTCTTCATCCAAAATCCATTCAATATCCTTCAAAATCCGTTGCACTTAACATATCTAAACTTCTCACCCACTATTTTCACCATGCTTCTGCTAGTCTAGGCAAGTCACTTTCTCCACTGGCCCACAAACACATGATCATTACTTTGTTCATGGTATTCCCTTTTTCTGGAATGCCATCTTCATGTTCTTCCATCTACTAAAATCCTGTCTGGGGGTTTCTGGTTTCCAGTATGGCACTTAATAAGCTTAGAAGTCACCATTCTGTCCTAACACAAGTAAAAGGCTGAAATGAAATCAACACCTTTTCTCCAATTTATCAAGCAAATGAGGTCACATCACAAACAGCTGCCTTGGAAACTGAACAGATGGGCAGGTGAATAGAGAGAATCACAACTTACTGGAGCACAAACCTCTCCAGGAACCAGTGCCAGGGTAGGAAAACCTTAACTGTAATTGACAAATTGCTGGAGGCTCAGTGTGGACAAGTCTGAGAGTTTAAAAACTCCAGGGAAACCCAGTCAGGGAGAGAGATGGGGGCATCCCCACACTTCCAGAGTTTTACCACCAGAATTTGTTCAACCAGGTTCTCACAGAGAATACTAGAGAACAACCCCTTGGTGCTTCTAGAAAGGGGAAGGGAAAGTAACCATTCTGAAATATACCAGAGCATTTTGTTCTTAACAAGATTTGCCCTGAGGAGAAACTATTTTACAAGAGCCTAACCTGTTAGGGTTTTATCAGAGCCTATCCTATTTGCAAGAAAGGAAATAACCAACTCCAGCTGGCTCTAACCTTCCACATAAAAGTGAGGAAATACCCAACTCTAGTCCCCTGTAGCCATCCTGTCCCACCTAAGCAAGGTTGGGGAAAAACTGAGAAGCATTTGTGAAGTTCACAGTCCAGTCCTTCCCCCCACACAATACCACCATACCATTGAAGGCCTATTTCCCAGAGTTCCTTTCACCCAGTACTTCAACAAAAAATTACAAGGCATATTGAAAAGCAAAAACACAGTTTGAAGAGACTGAGTAAGCATCAAACCAGAATGAGACATGGCAGAGATGCTGAAATTACCAGACCAGAAATTTAAAACAATTATGATTAATATGCTAAAGGTTCTAATGGAAAAGGCAGACAACATGCAAGAACAGATGAATAATGTAAACAGAGAGATGAAAATTCTAAGAAAGAATAAAAAAGAAATGATAGAGATCAAACACACTGTAATGAAAATGAAGATGGGCTAATTATTAAACTGGATATAACTGAGGAAATAATCTCTGAACTTGAGGATATTTTAACAGTAACTTCCAAACCTGAAAAGCACAGAAAAAAAAAGACTGAAGAAAACAAAACAGGATCTCCAACAACTGTAGAACAACTACAAAAGATATAAATACATGTAATGAAAATACCAGAAGAGAAGAAACAGAGAAAAGAACAGAAGCAATATCTGAAGCAATAATGACTGAGGATTTTACCAAAATAATATCAAGATACCAAACTACAGATCCAGGAAGCTCAGAGAACAATAAACAGAATAAATGAAGAAAAAAAAAAAAAGAACGAAAGCAAAAACCCTAAAAATGTTAAGAAAAGAAAACCCAAAAAACCCAAAAACCACACCTAGCATATGGTATGCAAACTTCAGAAAATCAAACATAAAGAAAAAAAATCTCTATAGATGCCAGGGGTAGGGGAAAACACCTTACCTACAGAGGAGCAAGGATAAGAATTTCATCTGACTTCTCCTAAAAACCATGCAATAGAAGGAAGTGGAGTGAAATATTTAAAGTGTTGAGAGAAAAAAACCACACACTTAAGAATTCTGTACCCTGCAAAATTATCCCCCAAGTGAAGGAGAAATAAAGATTTTCTCAGAAAAAAAATTGAGGAAATTTGTCAGTAGCCTTGCCTTGCAAGAAATGTTAAATGTTCTTCAGAGAGAAGGAAAATGATATAGGTCAGGAATTCAGATCTACATAAGGAAAGAAAGAGCATTAGAGAAAAAGCAAAGGTCAAATAAAATTCTTTCTTTTTATTAAAATTAAATTAATTTAAATATTATTAAAATCAATTTATTAATTTTTAATAAAAATCAATTTATTAAAATTAATTAATTTAATTAAAATTAAATTAATTTATTAAAAATTAAAAATTTTCAATTCTTACTATTTTGGAAGGAATCTTTCTTTGAGCAGCAGGTCTCGATAGTGGGCTTAAAATATTCATAAACCATGCTATAAACTGATACGCTGTCATCCAGGCTTTGCCATCCCATTTACAGAAAAAATAACAGTTTGTTCCAGATGATCACAGCAACAATGTATTGGGTTAATGGCTAAAGTACTCTGGGGTCCTAAATAAACTTGAAAGGCAGTCCAGGCCACAAGGATGGCAATTCCTGGGCAAGTCTGGGCTCAGAACCAGCAGACTCGGGGTGCATGTGGCCTACATATATACACCAGCTGCTGGTACAGTAAAGTGGGTGCTTGTGTCACTGCTCCCCCAACCTCAGGCAGTGCAGCTCACAGCTCCAGGAAAGACCTTTTCCTTCCACTTGAGGAGAGGAGAGGGAACAATAAAGAGGACTTCATCTTCCAACTTGGATACTAGCTCAACCACAGCAGAATAGGGCAGCAGGCAGAGTCCTGAAACCCTCATTCCAGGCCCTAGTTCTAGACACACACTGGGCCAGAAGGAAACTTGCTCCCTTGAAGAGAAGGGCCCAGTGCTGGTAGGATTCAGTCTGCTGCCTTAAGAGCACTGGGCCCTGAATAAACATCAGTGGTACACAGGCAGTTCTCACTGTGGGCCCTGGGTAAGACTTATGGCTGTGCTGGCTTCAGGTATGACCCAGCACATTCACAGCTGTGGTGGCCACTGGGAGAGACTCCTCCTGCTCAGGGGAAGGAGAGAGAAAAGGGGGCTTTGTTTTGCAGTTTGGGGACCAGCTTGGCCATAGCAGGGTAGAGTACCAAGTAGACTTTGGGGTCTTATCCCAGGCCTTGGTTCCTGGATGGCGTTTCTAGACTCACCCTGGGCCAGAGGGGAGACTGCTGCCCCGAAGGGAGCGACCCAGGCCTGAGAGCATTCACCACAAGCCGACTGAAGAGCCCTTGAGCCTTGACTGAACATCAGCCAGTGGCCAGGCTGTACTTGCCATGGGCCAAGGGCAGTGGTGGCCATGAAGAGAGACTTCTTCTACATGTGGAAAGGAGAGGGAAAAGTGGGAAGGACTTGCAGCTTGGATGCCAGCTCAGCCACGTAGAATAGAGAACCAAGTAGATTCCTAAGGTTCCCAACTCCAAGCCCTGGCTCCCAGATGGCATTTCTGGTCATGACTTGGGCCAGGGGTGAGGCCTGCTGTCCTGCAGAGGACATAAGCCAGAATGGATTTGCCACCTGCTGACTGAAGAGCCCCTGGAGCCTAAGTGAACATCAGAAGCAGCCAGGCAGCGGTCACTGCAGGCCCTGGGAAAGATCCAGTGCTGTGCTCACTTTGGATCTGATCCAGCACAGTCCAAGCAGCGGTGACCACAGGACTGCCTGTGTCACCCATTCCCCAGTTCTAGGCAGCTCATCACAGAGACAGAGACTCCATTTGTTAGGGAGAAAGTAAGAAAAGAGAACAAGAGACTTTGCCTAGTACCCAGCGAATTCTTCCAGATCTTATCCGTGACCACCAAGGCTGTACCTTCGTGAGTCCATAAGACTCACAGTACTGGGCTTGGAGTGCTGCCCCCAATGCAGAACGGCTGCAGTGACCAAGATTTAGATCACAACACTCAATTTCCTTTGAATACGTAGAAAGCCTTCCTAAGAAGGATGGGTACAAACAAGCCCAGACTGCAGAGACTACAATAAATACCTAACTCTTCAATGCCTAGACATTGACAAACATCCACAAGCATCAAGAACATTCAGGAAAACATGACCTAGCCAAATGAACTAAATAAGTCATCAGTGACCAATCCTGGAGTGACAGAGACATGTGACCTTTCAGACAGAGAATTCAAATTAGCTCTTTTGAGGAAGCTTGAGGAAATTCAAGACAACAGAGAGAAGGAATTCAGAATTCTAACAGATAAATTTAACAAAGGAGATTGAAATAATTTTTGAAAATCAAGCAGAAATTCTGGAGCTAAAAATTTCCATTCACAAACTGAAGAATACATCAATCTCTCAACAGCAGAATTTATCAAGCAAAAGAAAGAATTAGTGAGCTTGAAAACATAGAGAGAGGAGACAAAAGAAAACAGAATAAGAAAGAATGAAGCATGCCTACAAGATCTATAAAGTAGCTTCAAAAGGGCGAATCTAAGAGTTATTGGCCTTAAAGAAGAGGTGGAAAGAGAGATTGAGGTAGAAAGTTTATTCAAAGGGATAATAATAGAGAACTTTCCAAACCTGCAGCAAGATATCAATATTCAAGTATTAGAAGGTTATAGAACACCAAGCAGATTGAACCCCAAAGAAGACTATCTCAAGTCATTTAATAATCACACTTCCAAAGGTCAAGAAAAAAGGAAGGATCCTAAAAGCAGCAAGAGAAAAGAAACAAATAACATATAAAGGAGCTCAAATACATCTGGCAGCAGACTTTTCAGTGGAAACCTTACAGGCTAGAAGAAAGTGACATGACATATTTGAAGTGCTGAAGGAAAAAAGCTTTTAGAGTATATCTGGCAAAAATGTTCTTCAAACATAAAGGAGGAATACTTTCCCGGACAAACAAAGGCTGAGGGATTTCATCAACACTAGACCTGTCTTATAAGAAATACTAAAGAGTTATTCAATCCGAAAGAAAAGGATGTTAACAAGCAATAAGAAATCGTCTGAAGGTACAAAACCCACCGGTAATAGCAAGTCCACAGACACACACAGAATATTATAACACTGTAATTATGGTGTGTAAACTATTCATATCTTGGGTAGAAAGATTAAAAGATGAACCTAACAAAAATAGCTACAACAACTTTTCAAGACATAGGCAGTATCATAAAATATAAATAAAAACAAAATGTTAAAAGGTAGGGAGGAGTGAAGTTGAAGTGTAAGTTTTCATTAGTTTTCTCTTTGCTTGTTAGCTTGTTTTTGCAATCAGTGTTAAGTTGTCATCAGTTTAAAATAATGGATTATAAAATGTTATTTGTAAGCCTCATGGTAACCTTAAACTATAAAAAAAATCCTGCAACAGATACACACAAAAAAATAGAAAGCAAGAAATTAAATCATACTACCAGAGAAAATCACCTTCACAAAAAGGAAGACAGGACAGAAGCAAGGAAAAATAAGAAGATCACAAAAGAACCAGGAAACAAATAACAAAATGGCAGGAATAAGTCCTTAACTTATCAATAACACGGAATGAAGAAGAAGGAAACTAGGTACCTATCTCTCACCATGTACAAAAATCAAATCAAAATGGATTAAAGACTTAGACTAAGATCTCAAACCATGAAACTATTCAAAGAAAACACTAGGGAAACTGTCCAGGACATTGGTCTAGGCAAAGATTTCTTGAGTAATACCCCCAAAGCACAGGCAATCAAATGGGCAAATGGGATCACAGAGTTAAAAAGCTTCTGCATAGCAAAGGAAACAATCAACAAAATGAAGAGACAACCAAAAGAATGGGAGAAAATATCTGCAAACAATCCATCTGACAAGGGATTAATAACCAGAATATATAAGGAGCTCAAACAACTTAATAGCAAAAAAAAAATCTAATTTAAAAATGGGCAAAATTAAGTCATGTTGTTACAAGACCTGAAAAGGTGCTCAACATCATTGATCATTAGAGAAATGCAAATCAAAACTCTAATAAGATATCATCTCCTCCTAGTTAAAATGGCTTTTAACCAAAAGACAGGCAATAATGAATGCTGGTGAGGATGTAGAGAAAATGGAACCCTCATACAGTGTTGGTGGGAATGTAAACAGGTACAGCATCTATGGAGAACAGTACAGAGGCTCCTCAAAAAACTAAAAATAGAACTAAACTATGATCCAGCAATCCCAATGCTAGGTATATATATCAAAAGAAAGGAAATCAGTATATCGAAGAGGTATCTATACTCCCATGCTTATAATAGCACTATTCACAACAGCCAAGATTTGGAAGCAACCTAAGTGTCCATCAACAAATGAATGAATAAAGAAAATGTGGTACTTATACACAATGGAGAACTACTCAATTGTTAAAAAGAATGAGATCCTGTCATTTGCAACATGGATGGAAATGGAGGTCATTATGTTAAGTGAAATAAGCCAGGTGCAGAAAGACAACTTTGGCATGTTCTCACTCATTTGTAGGAGCTAAAAATTAAAACAACTGAACTCAAAGAGATAGAAGGTAGAATGATGATCACCAGAGGCTGGGAAGGGTGGGGAGTGGTAAGTAGGGATGGTTAATGGGTACAAAAATATAGTTAGATAGAATAAATAAGATATAGTATTTGATAGTGCAACAGAGTGACTATAGTCAACAATAATTTATTGTACATCTCAAAATGACTAAAAGACTATAGTTGGAACGTCTGTAACACAAAGAAATGATAAATGCTTGAGGGGATAGATACCCAATTTTCCCTAATGTGATAATTACCCATTGTATGCCTGTATCAAAATTATCTCAGGTACCCTATAAATATATATACCTACTATGTACCCATAAAATTTTTTAATTAAAAAAAAAACAGAAAACTACAGACCAATATCTCTCATGAAAATAGAAGCAAAAAATTCTAAAAAAAAACAACAACAACCAGTATTCAAATCCAACATTGTGTAAAAAGAATTAAACACCATGATCAAGTGAGATTTATCCCAGGTATGCAAGGCTGGTTCAGCTTTCACAGATCAATTAATGTAATCCACCACATCAACAAGCTAAAGAGAAAAAAATCCAAGAGCACACCAATAGATACAGAAAAAGCCTTTGACCAAATCCAATACTTATTCATGATAAAAACTCTCAGCAAACTAGGAATAGAAGGAAATTTCCTCTAGTTGATAAAGAATATCTACAAAAAAACCTACTGCTTATATCATAATGATGAAAAATTCAAAGCTTTTCTACTCAGACCAGCAACAAGGCAAAGATGTCCCCTCTCACACTCCTTTTCAACACCATACTGAAAGTCCTAGCCAATGCAGTAAGTCAAGAAAAAAAAAATACAAGGTATATATATTGGGAAAAAAGAAATAAAACTGTCTTTGTTCACAGATAACATGATTGTTTATATAGAGAATCCAACAAAATCAACAACAACAACAAAATGGAACTAATAAGCAGTTACTGCAAGATGGCAGGATATAAGTTTAATATACAAAAATCAATCCCTTTCATATACACTAGCAATGAATAAGTGGAATTTGAAATTTAAAACCCATCACCATTTACATTAGCACTGAAAACAATGAAATAAGTATAAATCTAACAAAATATGTATAAGATCTATAAGAGTAAAAATATAAAACTCTGATGAAAGATATCAAATAACTTAAATAAATGGAGAGCTATTCTATATTCCTAGCTGGGAGGACTCAATATTGTCAAGATGTCGGTTCTTCCCAACTTGAATTATAGATTCAACAAAATTTCAGTAAAAATCTCAGCAAGTTATTTTGTGGCTATCAACAAACTGATTCTAAATTTGTATAGAGAGGTAAAGATCCAGAATAGGCAACTCAATATTGAAGAACAAAGTCAGAAGACTGAGACTACCAAACTCCAAAACTTAAAATAAAGCTACAGTCATCAAGACAGTGTGATATTGGTGAAAGAATAGACAGATCAACGGAACAGAATAGAGAGCCCAGACACAGACCTACATAAATATACCTGAATGATCTTTGACAAAGGAGCAAAAACAATACATATGAAGAAAAGACAGTCTTTCCACAAATGGTGCTGAAACAACTGGACATCTACATACAAAAAAATCTAGACAGATTTTACATCCTTCAAAAAAAATTTACTCACAATGGATCACTGACCTAAATATAAAATGTAAAATTATAAACTCCAGCAGGGTGCAGTGGCTCATGCCCGTAATCTCAGCACTTTGGGAAGGCGAGGAGGGCAGATCACCTGAGGTCAGGAGTTCAAGACCAGCCTGGCCAACATGATGAAAACCCGTCTCTACTAAAAATACAAAGATTAGCCGGGTGTGGTGGTGTGCACCTGTAGTCCCAGCTACTTGGGAAGCTGAGGCATGAGAACTGCTTGAACCCAGAAGGAGGAGGCTGCAGTGAGCTGAGAACACACCACTGCACTCCAGCCTGGGTGATGAAATGATACTGTCTCAAAAACAACAACAACAACAACAACAACCCTATAAAACTCCTAGATGATAACTTAGGAGAAAACCTAGATGGCCTTGGTATGGCAATGACTTTTTAGGTACAATACCAAAGATATAACCCATGAAATAAATAATAGATAAGCTGGACTTCATTAATATTAAACACTCCTGATGTGCAACAAATAATGTCAAGAGAATGAGAAAATAAGCCACAGGCTGGGAGAAAACATTTGCAAAGGACACGACTAATAAGGGACTGTTCTCCAAAATAAACAAAATACTCGTAAAACTCTACAATAAGAAAGTGAACAATCAGATTAAAAAATGGCAAAAGACCTGAACAGACACCTTACCAAAGAACATACATAGATGGCAAGTAAGCATATGAAAAGATGTTCAATATCACATATCATTAAGGAATTATAAATTAAAACAGCAATAAGATACAAATACATATCTATTAGAATGGCCAAAATCCAAAGCACTGAGAACACCAAATGTTGGTGAAGATGTAGGGCAACAGGAACTGTCATTCATTCCAGGTGGGAAAGCAAAGTGGTACAGCCACTTTGGAAGATAGTTTGGTAGGTTCCTACAAAACTAAACGTATTCTTGCCATGCAAGCCAGCAACTGTGCTCCCTGAAGGTTACCCAAATGCACTGAAAACTTACATCTACTCGAAAACCTGCACACAGATGTTTACAGCAGCTTTATTCATATACAAAACATAGAAGGAATCAAGATGCCCTTCAGTAGGTGAATAAACTGTGGTACATCCAGACAATGGAATATTATTTAGCACTGAAAAGAAATGAGCTACCAAGCCATGAAGACACATGGAGGAAACTTAAATGCATATTACTAAGTAAAAGAAGCCAAACTGAAGGGGCTACATACTATATAATTTCAACTATATGACTTCAAAAAAAGGCAAAACCACAGAGACAGTAAAAAGATCAATGGTTTCCGAGAGTTGGGAGAAGGGAGCAATTAATAGGCAGAGCACAGAGGATTTTTAGGGCAATGGAACTATTCTGTATATTACAATGGTAGATACATGTTTGTCCAAACCCATACAATGTAAAATATCAAGAGTGAACCCTAATGTAAATTATGGACTTCATGTGATAATGATGTGCCAGTGTAGATTCATGAACTGTAAGAAATGTACCACTATGGTGTTCAGTAAATAGTGGGGTATGTTGGACAACTATGAGGATGGGGGATATATGGGAACTCTTTGTAGTTTCTGCTCAATTTTGCTGTGAACCTAAAACTCTCCTAAAAATCTAAAGTTTATTAATTTAAAAAATCCTATCTGTACTTTAATGTTCATCTCTTCCTTGAAACTAGCCTTAATTCTTTTCTAATTCATCTGACAATTTTTCAAAACAATCAGCATCTATTTTCTGCCCCATTGTAATTCTACGGGGGAAAAGCTTATCTTCCCAGACAGATCAAAAACTCTCTGATGGTTGGCACACAATGTTAAGCAAAATTTACTAGTCCTCACCTATGGGCAAGGACTCAAGAAACCAGCCCATAAATACTACAGCTGTTGTATAATAGGTCTGTGGATTCTTACAGCTTCTTTATACTAGGATCCTGAATTTCCTCTAGAGTAAGGCCCATGTGTCCCCCAAAATTATAAATGGATTAAGGAGAGAGAACTCCATCCTTAACATCACAATTTTCTCAGCAACAGTAAGGCAAGACTACACGTGCTTTGACTAGTAGAGACTCTATTTTAAGCTGTGTTGTTCCAGAGGAACAGCTGAGAACCATTTTAAATGTAGCCACTGCCCAGTGCAAGATCTAGTGTATCACACCTTAGTGAACACATATTGCTTTCTTCCCAGGATCTCCTATACAGCCCAATAATTCTTGCTAGGAATTAATTTCTCCTAGGATTTAATCTCAATTTTCTTTTTACCTTATCCCACATTTCCATCCTTCTAAAAATATGTAAGAATGTAGAATCCACGATGGGTTGTTCATTATTGTGGTTTTGTCTTCTTAAAAATAGTCTCCACCCAGTTGGCACATATGTAGTGAAAAGGAAAAAAAAAGTTTTAATATTAACAAACACAATTATGAAACTCTGTGCCATACTAAATGGACCTTATTTCTCTCTCTCTCGCCCTTCTCAGGATTTTGACAACTTGCTCATGACCTTACCCCTTGGTTAGCTGCAAAGATCTTGCTTGTTTAAATCTAACTTTCTCCACTCCTAGCATTTTTGTTAACCATCTCTTAACCTCCTCCAGTTTAATCCCATTTCCCTGGTGCTGAGGAAAAAAAAGGCTCTACACAATCTTCCAGGCCATGTTTCCCTAGCATGTTCCAAAGAATTTCTGAAGAACTCTCAACATCAGCAGCAGCCCCATCCACATATAAAAAGTTGAATATACAACAATTTCCTCTTTGTGTAGTTTAATTTTGGGGAGTTCTAAATCTATTATTACATCCAAAACTATGAGTCACTCAAAGGTTAGAAAAACAAGAAAATACATGGACCAGCACTCAAATCCTAATCTCAAACACAGTGGCCTGGAACATTCCCAAAGGCCCATATATAAGCACATGTCATCCATTTCGAAGCATATTACTTCCTTTCATCTCCAGTCTCAGTATTTATATTTGTGGGGGGTAATTAAAGAATTAACATGCAGTTAAGTTCCACCAGAGAAAATGGCTAAAGCATATATTCGTTAATGACAAAAATGTAGGGAAGAGGTCTAAATGATGAAGTCCAGGACAATACTTTCTGATATCAAAATAGTGTACTCATGTAAGTTCACAAGAGTTTTTAGACAAGGTTTTATTTTCAAGGTCCAATACGTATTTACAAGCTCTTTACAAGCTTATATGGCATTGGATTACATGGTTGATTCCTATAAAGAGTTTAAAAACCTAGTTATCATCAGAGAAAGGATACAGAAAAAAGAAATAGAACATGGGACAAAGAGAGGCAAATGAAAAATGGGGATTCCAAACTCCAACTGTTTTTAAGACAGAGTCTTGCTCTGTCACCCTGCCTGAAGTGCAGTGGCATGATCACAGATCACTACAGCCTACATCTCCCAGGTTCAAGCAATCTTCCCACCTCAGCCTCTCGAGTAGCTGAGACTACAGGCATGCACCACCACACCCAGCTAAGTTTTTCATTTTCTGTAGAGATGGGGCCTTGCTGTGTTGCCCAGGCTGGTTTTGAGCTCCTGGGCCCAAGTGATCCTGTTGCCTCCACCTCCCAAAGTGCTGGGATTACAGGCCTGAGCTACTGCACCCAACCCCAAACTCTTTTCTTTCTCTAAGTCATGCCATGGAGTTTGGAATAAGACAAGTAAACTTGCAATTAGAAGGAAAACATTACAAAAAGGCAGGACAAGCAACCTAGAAACAATCTTCAACACAGGAATTTCCCAAAAAAATGTATTTACCTCAGTGTAAAAGACAAATACCCCTGGAGAAAGGGTGAAAAGTGAACTTAATGCTCACAGTTCATTCTGCTTCCAACATCTGTGACCTCAGATAATGACGATGCTCACCATCATCACTATCAGCATCATCTAACACCTGTTCCCACCAGAGGAATGTAGCTTCCAAGCAGGCAGAGATTTGTGTCTGTTAACTGTGGCATCTATAGCACTCAGAACTATACCCGAACAAAGCAGGTGCTCAATAAATATCTGTTGATTAAATTAGGCAGTTATTATGTATTGGGCGCTATTTTAAGTATTTTACCTGTATTAATTTATTTAATCCTCACAACCCAATTATCCCTATTTTATGATGAGAAAATTGAGCCACTGACAGGTTCATGGGGGTTTACTGGTCCTGCTTTTTTCTAGACTTCCTGATTTACCTTGGGTAACACTGGAGCATGTGCTGGGCTATGGTGCTGCACAGATTCCTAAAGGAATCAATCAGTGACTTCAAGACTCCTAATGCTCCATAAAGTTCAACTTTTCCAGAAGTCTCCCTTTCTCAGCCACAGTCCTATGTGCTCTTGGCTAATTTAAGAGAGAAATTTAACCTCTGACCCAACACAGTGGCAAGGACTGTTATGTGTCCATCTTGAGTGATGTTGGAAGACCCTCCTTAGAATAACAATAACCAAGAAGTTTCCTCAACAACATTTAGGGAGTAGTTGTCTAGGTAACATAGTACCCACATTCACTCCTGATCTCTTTCTACCTTGATTTCTTTTATTGTAACACAGTTGGGAGTTAGTCCTTACTAGAGAATATAAAAACAAACAGATGATGAAATGGAGACATTTAAAGCTAAATAACTCATCCAAAGTCATGCACTAAGAATCTTGAAAAGGACAGGAGGGAAACAGATGCACATGACTGCTGGCCGTCCCACTACCTCTCATGCCACTATTAGTACTCCAACGTGCCTTGCTCCAAGCGTGATGCTCAGCTCACAATTCCCTTGAGAGTTACTTCCTTGAATATAGGGAGGATCCCACAGCACCTAAAATAGTAGCTTGCTGCTGGATAAAAATAAACCTCCTCTCTCAGGTCCAAAAATATAGAATGTTAAATGTCCCAATTATGTCAACAAATTTGCTACAAAAAAAAAAAAAAAGACAATGTGGAGTACAAGGGGGAAAATGCTCAATTAAAAAAAAAAAAATTAGCTGGGGGTGGTGGCAGGCGCCTGTAGTCCCAGCTACACGGGAGGCTGAGGCAGGAGAATGGCGTGAACCCGGGAGGCGGAGCTTGCAGTGAGCAGAGATCACGCCACTGCACTCCAACCTGGGTGACAGAGCAGGACTCTGTCTCAAAACAACAACAACAAAAAACCAGGTATCTTCCTGCCCAGGCCTAGCCCATTAATAATTAATGCATATAATATGGCTTGCTATTAAAGAAGTGTGTTATTAGTAAACTCTGCTTTACTAGTGAATCAATGAATCAATAGGGAAAACATTAGAAGAAATTTATTTACTCAGGCTTCTGAGTTTATCTTCTGTAAGATAGTGTCTCCTTAATCTTCTAAACACTTTGTGCCCTGCCTACTAGTCAAGGAGAATCCAATGCTCTGAAAAACACAAATGAGGTAGGGAAGGCCATGACTTTATCTGGGCCAAGGAGACTACAATTCTATAATTTTAAAAAAGGTTTTTAAAAAATTGCTGAAAAGATTTCTTCTTTATTACAGTTTACTACCACATTAACACTCCATCAACCTGGCTGATTCAGAGAGCTAGGGTGTACAAGTATGTGCTGGGGCGGGTTGATCTAGCTGATGCATCTAGGTGAGGCAACAAAAGGCAGGCATGCAATGTTACAAGGATAAATTAACAATCTCTCTTTAGGGGTAGAGATATGTTACTTTCATAAATCTGTTTCCTCTGCCACCTTCTGTCCTCCCCATCCCCCAAATCAACCATCTTGAGTGATGTAAGCGTAAGAATGAAGAATTGCTTTTATTATAAGAGGTTTTCTGTATTATTAAATCTTTTTAAAATTCTCAAGCATTTGTTAAAGGACCAAAGCTCTCAATCTAGTGTAGAATCCTGAACCTTCAACCTTCCCCTTCTGGAATTAAAACATAAACTGTGATATGCAAAATTTCAATGAAGAAAAAAGTCTTCTCCAAGAATCTTTCCATTGATACCACAAAACAAAACAAAACTGAGCATTTATTAGGCTTAATAAACTACTTTAAGAATCTAACTTACCCTGTGGTGATTAGGGAACCATGAGTAGAAGTCCCACCTTGTGGATGAGGTATCCAGGGCAGAGTCGCCTCACAAATTCTGAGTTGAGCCCAACAGGCCGGTTCTCAGTGTTTCAACTTGCAACGGAATGAGGTGGTAGTGAAAGCGCCCCTCTTCACTGGCTCCTATCCCGTCTGGCCTTACACCATGACTACTGCTTATACTTGATAAGGTGTTGAGAATGGAGTTAGGAGAAAACACCACAGAGGTGCACTCCAGTCAGAAGCAAAACCCTTTCTCAACTGAGCCACTAAATGACAGCTACTGACTTTGAGTCTTATACTTTATACAGACCTGGGGCTGAGCTGAATTGTCTACCCCAAATTCACATGTTGACACCCTCACCCCTAGCATCTCAAAATGTAACTGTATTTAGAGAAAGGGCCTTTTCAAAGAGGTGATTAAGTGAAAATGAGGCTGTTAGGGTGGGCCCTGATCCAATCTGGTGTCCTTAAAGAAGAGGAATTTGGACACACAGAGTGACACCAGAGGTGCGTGAATACAGAGGGACGACACGTGAAGAGGAGGCAAGAGGGCAGCCATCTGCGAGACAAGCAGAGAAGCCTCAGAAGAAACCCTCCCTGCCAACTCGTTGATCTTGGGCTTCCAGCCTCCAGAACTGTGAGAAATAGATTTCTGTTGTTTAAGCCACCCCGTCTGTGGTATTTTGTTATGGCAGCTCTAGCAAACTAATATAGACACTAATGGACATCACATACCTCTTCCTTCAAAAATGTTGGCCACTTGAGAACAAGAACCATGGCTTGTACAGCTCTGAATTGTGTATAGTATATTACCCAAAGTAGGCATTTTACAAATATTTTAGATGATTATAATAGTTCAAGAGTACTCTAAACAAGGACAAAAGAGAGCTTTATAAATAAAGTTCATAGTTTTTAGTCATATGCCAAAATTCTTCCCAATCTTGAATCTGTCACTTAAGTTTTATAACCTCAGGCCATCTACTCAGCCTCTAAAGTTCATTTTCCTCCTTTATAAAAATAAGAATAATAGCTACCTCATCAAGTTTTCATGAGGAAGCTCCCAGTACAGTACCAGACACAGTAGTTAACACAAATGTTAATTTGGCCCTTCCCTTTGCAACTTGTGAAATGTGAGCTCATGATCCTACTCATGAAAATACCCATGACCATAGAACAAGACAATGGTAGAAACAGGCCTAACTCTTCTGATAACTCTTCTGAAAACTTAAACTTTGCTCTAAGGCAGAAAGAGACCTTTGTCCTTTCTGCTAAAAGTAGTATTATAATATCATCAATAATATTCTATTTGAATTGTAGAAAAGCAAAGACTTCAATGGATATTATTTGCTCCTTTTCTATGCTAAAGGCATCATGAGTAAAAGAGGCATTTTCTACTCAATGTTTTTAGAATGAGATGTTTGATTTCTTGCCAAAGAAGCTATACTGAAGTCATCTAATATCGACAGCTCCCTGGATTTGCTTCTAAATACCAACAGTTTTCACTTCTGCTCCTCAGGCAAGAACCCAAGCAGATGCGGGAGGACAATCCATGCTATTTCTATGTCTTCTTGCAAGATCTAGTTTTTTTCTGAAGATGGAATGGAATCAAGAAGGCAAAGAAAACTACAGCCGGGCTCTCTCACAACTAGGACTTCTGTGATCTGAATGCTTTAGGACTGAACACACAGCCTCATGACACTTCCACTACACCATCTTCACCACTATGTTCCCAGACACCAAAGATGCTTGTGATTTGCATGCTTTTGCCCTATTAAAAAAAAACTTTCAAAATAAATGCTACTTGGGGAACGTTAGAAGAATAAGGGGTGAAAGAGCTTGACAGTAAGAGAGGACTTCATGAATACTCTGAGGGAACGCTCCCATGTTATGACCTCCTGTCCTCCAGGAAACAAGAAGGGGTCAAGAAGGGAAAAGGGGAAGCCTGAGTCATGTTTCTTGGCATGTGACAGACAGCTCCTGAAATAGAAAGCCCTAGGTTTCAAGTCTCAGGGGTATCACCTTCAAATATGTCAATGTTCTAAGGGTGGATCGGTTTTCCCAACTGCTGAAACCCTGCTGTGAGGTGAGGTCCCTAGCAAAACACAAGCCTCTGACTGGGAGCCTTTGAGGTGGCAGGAGCCATGAGGAGTTCAAAGGCAAGGCCGGCCAGTGGCTTGCACCTCCAAGAGCCATTGGGGTGAAAGGTTACTAAAGCAGGAGCCACTGACCAATAAAACTGTGTTTGGTCAAGCCTTCTCAGCAAAGAGACTAGAGATTCATTTCTGCTGGGCCCGGTTTTCTAAGTCACCCATGCCTGTGAATCCCACTGTTCCCTAGGCCAGATCAGGGAGTTCATTTGGTGATTAGCAGCTGACCAGTTCTCTCTCCTGGCTGGTTCCATGAAGAGCTGAAAGGTGAATTGGAAACCTTTAATCAAGATGTGTCATCAAAAATAAATAAATAAGAGCACAACTTGGGTCAACTAGCTATAAAGGAATCTGCCTGGGGCGAGATTTTCCATGTTTGCTATGCTAAAACCAGGAGAAAGAAAGCGTAAGTTTGTTTGATTAGAGAAAGCAAATCTAAAACAAGCCTCACTCCAACCAGGCACACTTGAAAGACCTGCTCCTTTTAATTAAAACACACACACAAACACAACACATGAAGGGAGTAAGACGGGAGAAATCAAAAGCTCACTTTATCCCCAATGCTGCTATCATGACAGCCATGTTAGCGTGACGTTCTCTACTCTATTTTCTTTCCCACATAGCAATGATTCCGGAGAACACCAAGGAGACACTCTCTGGCAGGTTTTCCTTTTGGCCATGAATACTAACTCAGCAGTCAGGTAGCACAGCAGCCCTGTCCACTATTATTACTACACATTCCTGGAAAAATGACATTGAGAATCGTGTAGGTCCAATACCATCTATCACTGCTGCACCTGACCAGAGGCACATGAGTCCTCTATGAACTGCTTGCTGGTAGAAAGCCCCATCTTCTGATTAAGGGTTATAGGGACAAGCTCTGCTGGTGATTCCGAGGGAAGACCCCTGTGTATGTTTCCCAAATTGAGACTCTTGAAAAGAGGGAGCTACACTTGCTATGTCAGTGGCTCTCACTTTTTCTCCTTGCCCCTTCTCATCTGAAGGACGACAAACACCTATGAGTAGGAGTAACTGTGGTTTGTTATGGCAGGGACTCTCAAGACAGATTCATGTCCCAAGCCCCCAGCCCAGAAAGCCTACAAGAGTGGGAGGAGTAGGAGTGATATGTGAAGTTTGAAAATTCCCCCAGGGAATCATATCCCTCTCACATCTCACAGTTAAAAGTTGCTACTGGAGAAGATTAGACAGTTGAACTCCTTCTCTTCTATAGTTTCTAATCTGGAAGTATTTCCAAGGCCAGGTGTGATGGCTCATGCCTGTAATCCCAGCACTCTGGGAGGCCAAGGCAGGTGGATCACCTGAAGTCAGGAGTTCAAGACCTGCCTGGTCAACATAGTGAAACCCTGTCTCTACTAAAAATACAAAAATTAGCCAGGTGTGGTGGTGCACACCTGTAATCCCAGCTATTCGGAAGGCTGAGGCAGGAGAATCGCTCGAACCTGGGAGGCAGAAGTTGCAGTGAGCCCAGATTGCGCCACTGCACTCCAGCCTAGGCGACAGAGTAAGACTCTATTTCAAAAAATTTAAGTAAATAAATGAAAGTATTTCCAAAGATTATATATCTGATATATCATATGTGAATTCATTTATAGCTTGCTAGGCAAAGAGATTCGGGAGGAATCATGATTTGGAGTTATTCTAAGCTGAAGGGAGCAGGATCAGGTCTAATATTCCCTATGCACTGCTTCACAGTCATGAGCATGTTACTCAGACCCTTCAGTGTATCACTGGCCTGTAGGTCTCCTCATTCCCATCAAATGCCAGAATACCACACTGCTGCCCTCAACCATAGTCTGCAGCTTAAAACCAAAGGAAAAACTCAAAGGTCTTCCTAAAATATAAATAATACATGTATAAGATCATTAAATCCTGATCAAATTAACCTGAAACTTTAAAAAAGTTCAGTATAGATAGACTTCAAACATTTGGAAAAAAACCACTTGTCCCTCTTCATAAGAAAGTATTGGAATCTGAAGGAACAAGCAAACTGTTTTCCTGCTATTAAACTCCTTATCAAAATGGGCAGTAACTACCCACTGAAATATAACAAATTAGCCTTTAAGTTACCGGTAGAAAAATAACTATATTGCCAGAAATGGCTTAAGTGGAGCTATCTTGTACTCTGAGTGAAGATAAAGAAATAAATATATGTGACTGTTGTCTAAACATTCCCAAGAACAGTAGCACAGAATTATAAGATGAATTGTGCTATTATAAAACTATAAATTATGCCATGCCAAAAATAATTAGGCAACTCCAAATTCTCTCAGCCTCTGCAATGCTTAAGGAGACAGAATATATGTAAGTATATAGTAAGTTATTTTAATATTTATAAATAGAGACAGAAATCCTATGTTTCTGTTGTTGCCAATATTTGTAGCATGTTAGCCATCTACATACTAAATTCAGGCAAATAAACAAAATGACTTATTTTATTAATCAGTTTAACCCTTATTTGAAGGTTTGAAAACACTGAGTTCTCTACCAAACACATTGACACTTGATACTTTACAAGTTATTGTATTGTAAACCTAGATATTTGTCTAAGTAGGTACGGCATGAATTCATAAACCTGCACTTCGCTTCCTGTAATGATCATTATTTCTCAGAAATATTTGTCAAATAGTCCCACCCTGTGGGAAACCAGCCCCAAGTAATCAGAGATTTCTTACATAGGCTGCAAATTAACATTTAACACTTTTATTAGGGAGGCTATTTCCTAAAGCAATATCCCATATTGGGGATTCATGACAAGGGATTAAACCGATGGTTAACTTTAGAGACTATTCTCCAACAAATGCCCAAGGAGGAAAGTGTGACCATTTTACCCGCCACCTTCAAAAGGCTATGTAATGAAGATTGTTCATGATCATAAATTTACTGACAACTTTCAACATACTTAAAAGTTGTTTAGTTTGTTAAGAGTATAGTATAAGCAATAACACCCAGTTCACTGTCCTAAATTAAACTTAACTAATTAGATGATATCAACTTAGTCATCAGAAAAGTATGGAAAAGTGATTCTACCACTTTGGAGTTTGGGGCATTTTGCTTTGTTTTGCTGCTCATTTGGTTTTTGTACAATTACAGTTGGTCCCTTGTATTTGCGGTTCTGTATCTGTGGTTCCACATCCATGGATTCAACCAATCACAGATCAAAAATATTCGGAAAAAAAACTGTGCCTGTACTGAACATACATAAAATTTTCTTCCTTTCACTTATTCCCTAAACAATACAGTATAATAACTATCTGCACAGCATTTACATTGTATTAGGAAGTATAATTAATCTAGGGGTAATTTAAAGTATAAGGGAGGATATACATAGGTCATATGCAAATACTATGCCATTTTGTAGCAGAGACTTGAGCATCCTTGAGTTCTGGTATCTGCAGGAGGTCCTGGAACCAATCCCCCACAGATACTGAGGGATGACTGTACTCTTCCCCACAACAGCTACACGAGTAATAAAATGAATCAGTATATTTTATTATTTGTTCAATGACAATCCAAGATCAACAGCTATATATGTTTGACTAACTTACTATAAAAATTCTTGCTTTTGCCTCAACCTCAAGTTAAATGACTATTTTAAATGGAACACACTTGCAAAACTGCTCATGTCCACTTGAAAAAGGAAAAATAACATGTTTGTGCCAAAAAGCTGTATACAGAGTAGTTAGAAATATATATGCCCATTGGATTTTGCTTATCACTACTAACCTCTTCCTAAAAGCTTTAGTTAGAAGAAGAGCAGGAAGATATAAAGTACATTCTAAGGGCTTATTCTACCCATCCATCCCCCTTTGGAAGTCAAAGTTGGAAGGTTTAAAGGAGAAGGAGAGTAAGGATGCTCTTTTTAAAATGCCTGGAAAAACATTCTGGGCAGGAGATGCCAAAGATTTTGAAGCTCCCATCAAACCACTGGCCTTGATCCAGGTAATGGTTTTTCCTTCCCCTCAGCTGTCTGCTGCAGTTTTCCAGCAAAGAAAGAAAGAAAAGTGGTAGGATAGAGGCAGGAGCAGCCTCTAGTCTACTTCTCTATAACAGAGAGGGTAAAAAGGGCCAAGCATCGCAGGCTGACATTTATGGAGGGCCTGGTGTTTCCATGAAACTCTCTGGGAGGATTATTGAGGGTTAACAGTCTGTTCTAAAAGGGTCAGCAAAGCAGACTGATGAAAGTCCCTTTAAATTCGATAACAGTGATGCTGCGGAGGCAGAGACAGCAGGCTGGAGCTGGCAAAGACACGCAAGCAGAGGTCCAGCCAGTCAGACTGCCTTTAGGAAAAAATTCATTGCAAACCTGGCCACCCTAACCCTTCAAGTTGCCCAACTCACTTGCTGAAGCGTGAAAGCACAAACTGCCAGTGGAATGGCATTTCTAATCTTGGGATAAAAATAAAAGCCCTTGGAAAACCCTCTTTTGCCTAACCCTTCCTGCCCTGCCCCTACCAGTGGCCAACGGCGAGGTTCCGGACCTGCAAAGGTTAATTATCTTGCTAGTCTTTCACCTCTGCACCACTGCCCCACCACCCAATCCCTTCTGCCTGGCATTTTTCTTCAATTTTAATATCAGAAGTTTCACACGCCTGCCTGAGCTCCTGGACTCAGCAGAAAGGCCCATATAGCTGTCAGCAAACTGATAAGGACTTTAAAATGACTCCACAGGGCCTCTTTATAAAGAAGAGCCAAAGAAGCCCATAAAGAAAAGGGCAGGGGCCACGGAAACCAGCCGCTCACACTGTTTTAACGTGGCATTAAAATGAGCTGCAGATTTATGGGAGTGCTTTAGCCCCTGGCCCAAATCATGTGGGAGATGAAGCTCGTCTCCCCTTTCCAGCGGGATTTCCAATAGGGGATGGAGCTGGCTAGAAAGAAATGGGGGAAGGGAGGCAGAGGCAGCAAAATGGGGAGAAGAGGAAAAGTGAAGAGGCAGAGGGCACCATGAAAATCAGATATCAGAACTCATTCTCCTTTCTGCAGGATGTGAACAGCTATTTCTAAAAGGTATGTGACCAGTCCTCCTAAATTCACATAAAAATGTCCTTTATTTTTAGCTTATACTTACTAGACTGTAGCTCCTCAGCTGTTTACCACTCAAACATCTATTCTGATTCTAACTTTCCTCTACAAGTTTTTTTAATTAAAAAAATGGATAAAATTATGATCAGGCAAAGAAAAGATTAGAAGGGGGAAAAGGCTCAGTACCATTTTTTTTTCCATTGGAAAGGGGAAAGAAAGCAATAATACTTTATCCAAATGTGCCAATGAATTAAAAAAAAAAAAAGGTCAGCTAAAGAGTCACTGATTTTTATCTCCCTACAAGTCATTCTGATCCTCACACACACACGCAAAAAAAAAAAAAGGAGAGAGAGAGAAGTAAGCCTCTTCCATGCCAAGATGTAAAATGTACACCAGAACCCACAGGAATAAATTCTCTTTCGAGTTTCCAAGCCCAGAAGCAAATGCATAATACATCAGTAGTTGTAACTTACTGTGGTTCTTTAAGACCACTCTGCATTCCTTGGAGGCTCCTTCTAATACTTAAATGCTGCCCCAGGAGGAGTTGTCCCAAATGACGGCCAGCATAGAGTGGGGGGCCAGAATCTACATGCTTTGAGTCAATCATCTCATTTAATCAATACAACTACTCCATACTATTATTAGCTCCACGTTATAGGTAAGAAAACAGAAGCTACAAAACTGGTACACACCCGGCAGAGCAGGACTCAAATTCAAGTCTCTCCAACTCACAGGCCCACTGGGCTTTCCAGTACCAACTTTCCTCAAACTTTCTGGACTGGGACCCACAGTAAGAAATACACAAATACATTTTATGCAACAACTCACTACTGGAACAAAAGCTACAGGAAATATTTACCCTTACTCTGTATAAAGCTCTCTAATAGTTTCCTATTATATTTCATTAAAAAAAAAATGCCAGTCGTGACCCACTGAATTGACTTCATGATCTGCTAATGAATCATTACCTTCGGTTTGGAAAATACTGCAGTACACCATGAAAAAAAAACAAATCATCAGACTGGGAGTCAGGAGACCTAGGTTCCAGCTGCAGACTAGGCCTAACAATTCATTCTCAAGATTACTGCAACTCTAGGGCTTACTTGTCACTTGTAAAATACAAGGAAAGGGTTGAATAATTTCTAAGGTCCCTTCCAGCTCTTTGATTTCTTTCCTAAATCTCTTCAATTATGTTCACTGCTTTCTCCTTGCCTCACAAATCTTTTCATTACCTTCCGCTTGTTAGTTACCGTCCTTCCCTTCAGTTCTCAACCAAGTTCTCTGTTGCTGGTATTCAAAGCTCTCCCCTGCCTCCCGTGCCTGTGCCACCAGATGCTCCTCTTACCTACTAGTCTCTCCACAGAACCTCCTGGTGGAAGTCAGTGCCCTGATGTTCACCCTCTCTATCTGAGGCTACCCAGTTGTGAAGATTCCTTTCACCTTCTGATCCACTCTGATCTTGAGGTCATTCCTGGCTCTCCTTAGCATAACTGAGTACACAGCACTCCTGGCCTTATAATTTATGTATTACTGAAAGTTCTCTTTCCAGCAACCTGAGGGCCTTTCTTAAAGACAGGATCTGTGCCCACCCTTTTTAAAATCTCCCTCAACATGCCAGTACAATACTAGGAACAAAGCAAGTCCTTAATCCATATTTATTTAACTGATTGCATTATGAAATTAAGGACCCTAATTCTCCTAAATTTAAAGAATGCTTAGGTGAGCTACTCTTAGAAAAGTCACCAAACCAATTAAAACTGGTATCACAATAAGATGAGTGACTATACTACACAGTCTAAATTCCACATACTACTCAACTGTATTTGCCTACAGACAAGACAGACCAAGGCTACCAGGGAAAGTAGCTTTATGGTCTCTCCATCTAGACTGTGAGAATTTAGATTTGCATTATGAAATTAGGGACCCTAATTCTCCTAAATTTAAAGAATGCTTTGGTGAGCTGCTCTTGGAAAAGTCACCAAACCAATTAAAACTGGCATCACAGTAAAACGGGTGACCTATACAGACTAAGATCCACATACTACTCAATTGTATTTGCCCACAGACAAGACAGACCAAGGCTGCCAGGGAAAGTAACTTTATGGTCTCTCCATCTGGACTGTGAGGATTTAGATCTCAGAAGCTATACAAAACAACTGCAAATCAGTCCAAACCTTAAAGACAGGAAAATTTATTTACAGGCCCTAGTGCATTGTAAATCTGAGACAGTTCTATTAAAATGCTTTTCTTGGCTTCCCATCATCAGATACTTGGTAAAAGTCTTTTTCCAACAAGCTTCTTAATAACAAAGTTGAAAAAAATAGTTAAACACATAAAAATGGTCTTCTTTAAGAATTCCAATTAAATGAGACCTTATTTTATGCTGCTTTAAACAACACATGTTGACCACTTTCCTTCACAATAGGGATATACATACTAGGAAAATTCAAACAGAATATAGAGTGCTACTGAAAAAAAAAAACTGTGAAATTTAAAATATCCCACAAAATGATTACACCCATTACCAAGGCTCTCCCATTGGCCAAAGAGCCTCCCTTTGTATTAGAACCATGGTTGTCTACTTCACAGGAAGAACTCCAGGGATCAGGTCAATGTGCACTGTTTAAGGGAAGCAGCCAGTAACTGTTTAAGGGCAAGTACAAAAGCAGAGACCACGAAACACAGCTTGGAGTGGCATGTCAGGACTGGAGAGGGGAGGAGGAGGGGCAGGGAATATTTGGCATTTTTTAAAAAGCCCCAAGAGTCCAGTTTATGTATACTTCTTAAAATCCTCAATTTCACAGTGGCGGTGCAGGGTGGATAAGAATGGTAGACATTATAACACTGATACTGGAAATTAGAGTGAAACCTTTTCCACATTCCTCATAATATATTTCCAGGGCTGTGTCCAGTCCTAAATGTCTCAAGCAACCACTTTTTCAAGGAAGACTATTCAATAAGCACTTAGCTTGAATTGTTAGGAAGCTCATCCTGATTTTTACCCTCAATCCAGGCCACACAGCTCTGTGGTTTGAATGAAGTTGTAGGCAGCAGAACAGAGTGTGCTGCTTGTCTGTCCCTCACATGCTGTGTGGTCTTGGGAGGATTACTTTACGTCTCTTTATCCTTAGTTTCTTCACATAAAAAAATTCAGATTACTCTTCTAATGGCCTAGCTTACTACTCTGTTGAGTCTGCTTTGTAAACTGGTGTACACTGGGGGTGGGAAAGGAGGGAGAAATTGACACAGACAGCTATGTAACTGTCATGGACATAACAGACTGGCCAGCAGCACAGGGAACCCTCAGTACATCAGTCTGGGTTGCTAAGGTTTCTAGACATCTGAGGGTTTACACTTTTAAGCAAATAACACTTTTTAAAAATAAAAACAAACATCTTAAACAGAAAACTTTATAAAACATATTACACAAGATCCAATATCTTAAAAACATATATGCTAAACAAAATTAAACTTAGCTTAAAGATTCAGGGGCATCACCATGAATAGTAATTTCTGTATTTCCTCAATTTTAAGATGCCACATTAATAACAGTTTTGTGGGAAGAAACAGAAACTACATTTGATGTTCAAATTGATGATAAGACTTATTTGGATGTCAGAAATTCCAAATACGAAAAATAAAGATGTACTTCTCTGAACTGAGGAATTCTGCCATCTTATAATGATATATCCAGGATAAAGTGAAACCTGAAAAGCTGGCTATCCTTACATTCAATATGCTGAGCATTCTTTTTTATTAAAAATAGCTTTTCCACCCAGTGCAGTGGCTCATGCCTGTAATCCCAGCACTTTGGGAGGCTGAGGAGGGCTGATTGCTTGAGGTCAGGAGTTCGAGACCAGCCTGGGCAACATGGCAAAACCCCATCTCTACTAAAAATACCAAAATTAGCTGGGTGTGGTGGCGTATGCCTATAATCCCAACTTCTTGGGAGGCTGAGGCACGAGAATCACTTGAACCCAGGAGGCAGAGGTTGCAGTGAGCTGAGATCGCACCACTGCACTCCAGCCTGGGTGACACAACGAGCCTCTGTCTCAAAAAAAAAAAAAAAAAAAGTATTTCCATCCTCTTTATTCATACCAGATTAGCAGATAACCCATCTCAGATACCTTCACTGTTAGTAGTCTTTCTTCACTTTAAATGTGTCTCTTCCAAACTACTACGGCTATGGAAACCAAATAATTCAAATGTGTTGAAATTGTATGCAAGTAGGATAAAATAAGAGGCCCCTGATAGGGGCTCTCCTATAAAGTACAGGAACTTCGGTGTATGCACACATTTACTGTTCTGTAGCCTCTTCTACTCTCTTCTTGATCACTACTAGGCCCAACTATAGTCTAGAGGTTTTATTTTCTTAAATAAAATTGTTTTGTCTTTTTCCTAATCAGCCCACTACATCTTCAAGTACTTCTCTGCAGCACCAATATTTGGTTTGCTTAATAGAAAAATATGAAGGCACATTGAGATGGATCAGTGTAATAGACTGAAAAGAAACTGGTATTTTAATGTACCCCAAGTGTTAAAGGCTAGAGAGAAAAGAAGATGCTGAATGTTTCTGCCACCTCAAAGGCTTCTAGTCAATTGAGTACAAAGAAGAGTTCAAAGGCAAGTCAGGCTCCTGACTTCCACCTCCTAGTGTGGCTGAGGTTAGAGGTCACTGCTGGTGGAGCCACTGACCAATAAAAGAATGTTTGGAAATTCTACTCAACAGATAAACTGGGGATCCATTTACACCTTCCTCCCTATCCATACAAACATTTCTAACGATACAGTCTAGTGTCTATCCAGCCTTCTGAGATCCCAGATTGTGTACTTTTTCTTTGTGATTCAGGGGAGACTGGGAATATGAATGTTCCATTTGACTACAGAAAAATATTTAGCTGCATACTTCTGCCTGCCTTCCAACATAAGAAAGATGGCTGATGGAACTCCCATCTCAAGGCCTACCTCAGATTCTACATCTCCAAGAAATTCATCCTGACAGCTTTAGCCCCAACTTTCTCCCTTCCATTTCAGACCCTTAATGACCCATAATGTACCTAGAAATATCGGCATCATCTTCTCAACTTTCTTTATGCTTATACCCATATATCCCCAACACAAGCCCTTTGTGAATGGGGATCAAAGATTTTTTTTATTATCTCCTATAATCTCTCCCCCCACCAAAAAACATTAGGGATTCAATAAATTAACTAGTTAATCATTAGCTCACAGGACAATAAAAGGCCAACTGAGAAGTCAGCTTTATACTGTTACAACTACTGTCTTCTACTGACTTAAGGAACTGTTTTTTAACTTCCCCACAAAAAGCCCTATAAGCCCCCAGTAGTCTGCCCAATGCCACGTGTGGCAGCACTGCTCACTGGTGGCCTTCAGGAATAGATACCAGAGACACAGGTTGTACTTTTTTTCAAAAGTCTTAGTCTAACTATAGCTGTTACTTACATTAGGCTCTAGCCTTGTAGTTAACTTTTTGGCTGCTACTATCACATCTAAGGGAATTTAATTTCCTTTCTTTGTCAGGTAGTATGACTTTCTCCCTTGGTACACACAAATTCCCGTCACAACAAGGACTTTCACCACTTTAGACATCTGTCAGATTGTAGCCTTTCTGATCCTAAACTCTAAGCTGCAAAATGTTGCTCCAATACCTTCCTCACCAAGACCCTACCCCACATTTCTGGGGCCAAATCAGAAACTTTAGCTCTATTGCATCTAGGGAGAGTAAAATCCTGTGCTAAGCAGGATTTTCTTTCTTCTTCTTCATCTGAAAGAAATGGTCTCTAGAGAGCAGCTATCAGGAAGATGTCAGTGTGAAGCACCAGAGTGGCTCATGGCATTTAGGATTTCTTGGAAAGATTTAAATACTCAGAGGGAAAATGAGTTAATTAAAAGTGGATGGAGACCTCTGCTGGCTACAACTGTCCAATGCAGCTCCATTAAGCTAGTCTGGAGTTTCTCAGCAAGCAAATCAGACTCTGTTCCTCACCCTCAGTTCATTCTGATACATCATCTAGGGGCTCCAAGGTATCAACTACTGATACAATAGGCTTTCCCCTAAAAGTGGATGCCTGTCTTGCAAAAAGACCCACCTCTGACCTCCCTAAAGAGAATTCACTAAGGTATAAGAACTTTTCAGAATCAGGTGTTTTACCATTTTTTTAATTACTCCTGCCAAGGTCAGGTTAAATCAATAGAAGGTAAACAGAAAGCAAAATGACAAGAATGTTTTGGAAACAGTATATTTTGTTATAGAACCAAAGAACTCTAATTTTAGAGAGATGAGACATTAACTATCTATAGAGAACAGTGGTTCTCAGTTAAAGCAATTTTGCTTGCCCTCCACCCCCAACCCCAAAGGGGACAATTGGCAAGCAATGTTCTAGAGACATTTTTGGTGATCACAACTGAGGGGAGGGGTGCTATTGGAATCTAGTAGTAGTTGAAGAAACCTAGTCATCCTTTATACCTAACTGGAAATTACTTTAACCAGATAATCTCATATCTAATTGAGATCAGCCCACTCTAGAAATGTGGGGTTAGGAAAAGAAAAGAGGTCATTTTGGGAACATGGATTACTCAGAGAAAGGGGAGTGGGACTAGTGAGTTGCCGCAGTGGAGAGCTTTAGATGGTCCGAAAGCAGCACAGGGAAAGAGGCCGTCAGAAAGCGGAAAAGGGAGTTAGAAAGGGGGCCGGGAAAGTGCCAAGACCACCTTTCTTTTTAAGCTGGCATAGTGGACTGTTCACCACTAGAGGAGGCAAGTGGCCCTTGTGACTAGAGCTGTTCAAGGGGAGAAGAGATGACCACTAAATTATTAATGTTGTCAAGGAGAGTAATGTTCTTGGTAGGGATAAGCATTTCATAGAGTTTTTTAACAGCCACATGGAACATGAGAGATTATTTAGCCAACCCCTTCATTTCATAAATGAGGAAATGGAAGCCTAGGGAGCTTGGGGACTTACCATGGTCATGCAATCAAACGGACAGAGCCAGGGATCAAACCCAAGTCTTTTGACTCAGTGTGTCTCTTTGAACCCAAATAACCCAAAAGTACGCTGTTTTAAATGACCAGCATTCATTCCTTCTCAACTGTTCTATGATTCTGAGCCAACACTGAAAATGACCAAGCTTATCTCAGACCTGTGGTTCCCACACCACCCTCCTATGGGCAACAGTCCTCTGTGAGCTGGCAGTAGACGCCACTCCAAAAACCAAATGATTCTCTTTCACAGCTTCAGGGTGGAGGGGTGGAGAAGAAACTGGATAGAATTTGTGCATTTTAACCTCCCCAGTTTTTTCTTACCCTTTCTAGACTAGATTCTAGTATAAAATAGTCTCTGCTTTAGCCTATAATTCTATATTTAGTTTTACTAATAAATCAAGATTCCATAAAAAGTAACACAAAGTGGGCCAGGTGTGGTGGCTCACGCCTATAATCCCAGCATTTTGGGAAGCCGAGGCGGGCGGATCACTTGGGGTCAAGAGTTCGACCAGCCTGGCCAACATGGTGAAATCCTGTCTCTACTGAAAGTACCAAAATTAGCCGGGCATGGTGGCGCGTGCCTGTAGTCCCAGCTACTCGGGAGGCTAAGGCAGGAGAATCACTAGAACCCTGGCGGCAGAGGTTGCAGTGAGCCAAGATCATGCCACTGCACTCCAGCCTGCACTACAGAGTGAGACCCCTCGGCGGGGAAAGAAAAGGTAACACAAAATGCACAAACATTATGACTCCTCAAGGGGCATTTTCTTCTACACAAGTTTTAGGAACCACAGGTTTAGATAAAAAATCTAGAGATCTCTGGACTGATTTTCTGATTCACTAAAACTTAGATGAAATCAGTGGTTAAATAACAATTGGGAAACCCAGAAACTTAAAACGAACAGGAGGATGCTATAAATAAACTGCAGGGAAGCTAAAACTAACCTGCGATTTGCGTTCAAACCAGAATGCCAAAATATTGCACAGATGAGGTCACTGAGGCCCAGAGAAGGCAGATCCTTACCTAAGGGTACAGAGTTTGTAACCCACAGAGCTGATACCCAAGCCAGGCAATCTGAGGTAAGAACCTACAGACTTAATCTGTGTCGATAAGAAGTTCACTATCATAATAAAGAGGGTGGACTGAACACATCCACTAACCTCACTCTCCTAAAACTCTAAAATGACAATTAAGGGGAATTTTCTAAATTAAGGTATGTATCCCCTAAGAAAAAGAGAATGAAAGACAAGATAACAGCATCAGAATGTGGAAGCTGAAAAGTAAAGGAAGAAGTGGTAACTGATGCTATAGACTCAAGAGAGCTGCCTCCTAAATCAGCTGAGAAAAACCTGAGTCACACTGCAGAGCCCCAAGTCAGGGGAAGAGTGGGGTTCAAGCAGGAGGTCAAAGTGAAACTTTAAGTAACAGTCAGAACCTCAGATCCCCTCCCCACACAGCCAGGCAGATGCGCTGTCCCCATCCAGACAGAAGCCTGTGGCCTGTTCTTGGGACATGGCCAAATGCAGGCTCTCTGCCTGAGGCTGAGGGTGCCGAACTAACAGCAGGGGGTGGCATGGGACACTTACGCACGTACTGCTGAGAATCCGCCAAGCCTCTTTTCCTGCTCTTCTCCCACATCGGTGATTTTGACAAAGATTAAACCTTTTTAAAAGTCCATTAAAAATTTTTGGGATAGTCTTCTTAACTTTTTCACCTTGCTTGATATTTAAACCCAATTAAATGTCCTTCAGGACAAAGAAACGGAAGCAGGACTCAGTGGGACATCAAGTGGAGTATGAGACAGTCAGAGATCAGCCTAGGGAATGGGGTGTCAGAAGGTAGAAGAGAAATTTGGAAAGAGAGGCAGGAAAATGGCAAATGTTCCAGAAGAGAGGGAAGGATTCCCGAATTACAAAGGATGACTGAACTGGGAAGCTGGGCTAGTTTGTGCAGCAATAGTATCATGGTCAATAGCTACACAGAAGTATTGCCCTGAAATGGTCCAGCTTCCATGGCTGTCTTAGTCACTACGACTATCACCTGCTGTGACTACAAACCCTCCAAAGAGCTTCAGCTTTGCATCTGCTATGGTAAGACCCTAAAATTGCAGTAGGCTTACCTCTGCACAGTTCTCTGAGAGTTATTATTTCAAACCTTATTTGATGCAACTCACCTAACATTAATTTCCTATCGTTTCAGTTTGGCTAGTTGATCTAGTGGAGGAAGTAAACCCCACTCAGGCATTCAGCTCCTGTCCCTCTGTATCCAGTCAAGGCCACCATTTCGGTACCACCCATGTCACCTCCCCAAGACTTGGCCTCTTACCTGTCTCTGCATTTCTTCAATCTGTCTTTGGGGGATGCTCTGCAAAATACTGTACACATCTGACATCTTTTCTTCTGGTACAACCACAGATGCTCTGGAGACAACAGCAAAACAGTTTACATACACACAGCCCTTCACAGAAAGCATTTCTACACACAGTCTTGTTTCATTTCACAAGCAGAAACAACATCCCAAACCTCCTTCAGCCCCACATCCCTTCCGGTAAGTATTATCTCTTTCCCCTCCCTTCTTCACTGGCTGAACTTCTCAAAGGAGTTCTCTTACAGCTCCATTTTTTTACCTCCCACTCCCTACTCCATTAATCTTTCACCCTGCCTCCACTCCACTAGTGTGCTCTAGCCACACTGGTATTATTTCAGTCACTTGAACACACCATGCTCTGCCCTACCAGAGGGCCTTTGCATGTGAAATCCCACCCACCTAGTACACTCTTCCTTTATTCCGTTTCTAAGTTAACAAATACTTTTCTCCTTTAGCTATCTATGCAAATCTATTCATTTATCTGGCATATATTTATGGAAGCCCTATTATGTGCTAACCCAACAGTGAATTAATTAGACAAGGAAGGCAAGAGAGTAAGCAGGCCAGAAGAATGCCTGGGAAACAGCATTCCAGGCAAAAAGTCTAACAAGCAAACAGCCCTGAAGAAGCAGTATGGTGGGCAAGTTCCAGGAACAGCAAGGAGGCTATTGTGGCTGGAGCAGAGTAAAGAAGGCAGAGAATAACACCAGGAAAGAAGAAATGGGACAGACAGAGTCACAGCAAAGAGTATAGGACCTTGTAGGCCACTGAAAGACTTGTGCTTTTTTTCTGAGATGGCAAGCCATGAGAGGGTTTTGGGCAAAAGCATGATATAACCTAACCATGTTCCAACAGGATCATTCTATCTAAAGTGTTAGAATAAACTACAGGAAAGCAAGGACAGGAGCAGAGAGAACAACTGGAGAACACTGCAAAAGCCAGGCAAGAGATGCAGATGAGGGAAGACTTGATGATGGGGATGAGAGGGTAGAGCCCACAGGGTTTGCTAACAGATTAGATGTGGTGGGTAAGAGAAAGAGAGGACTCAACAATCACTTTTCCTTCACGACATTTGGCAGAGTTTGTAATTACATTTGTATAAATTAATGATTAAACTCTAAACCTCACTTCTGCCAACTAGGCTAGTCCATTAGGACGGAAAGTGTGCCTGGCTCCACTCACCAGCGTATCCTCAGCACCTGGTATATTACTGCCTTGCACAGTTAGCACTTGATAAACATTTGTTAAGTAAGTAAATGATTTCCACTATACAGATGGGAGAACTGAGACTCAAAAAAGATTAAGTCATTTGCCAAGATCAAAAAGCCAGCCAGTGAGAGAGCTGGTTATCTCAACCTAGGCCTTCTGACTTTAAATCCATAATTAGCACTACCCAAGCAGATCTAGATTCTCATAGAAATACCCTTTTGGACTCAGCTTAGAGTTACCGCCTCTGTGAAGCCCTCACCAATCCCACTGCCAATGATGGTGTGTGTCTCCCCCTCCTCCTGGCATCCCATCCAGTCACAGCTGTCTCATCACAGGATTTGGTAACTGCTGATTTACTCCTCTGTCTTCCACCACTACACTATGAGTGTCCCTGAGAAAAGGTTTGGCCTTGATTGTATTTGTCTCCCTATACTTAAGACAGCATCTGGTAAATAAAAGGTACTTAATGGATGCTTTCATTGGGAGATAAATGCTGGAAGTGGCTCATCGCTTCTCTAAGGCATGAAGAATAACTACATGCTCTCCTCTTTCAAGCTGAGTTAGGCTCCCTCCTCTCTTTTGGGTTTCCATGGTCCCCTGTGCATACAGCTGCTATGACATTTACCACAAAACATTATCATCGGTTTGTCTTCTCTCACTAGATTCTAGCCTCCTTGGAAACAGAGACTCTATGTTACTCACAAGAGGGTTTCCAATCAATGTGAGATGAATGAATAAATGAATGAATGAATGAACTAGAGCTTTTCAAGTTGTTCAAATACCTGTGGTGATCAGATTTGGACAGAAATACCAAAAAAGTTGGGAGAGGAAAAAACCAGTAAGCATTTGAGGCAAGGAAAAGACTGAGAGATAGATATGAATGGAATTAATTTTCAACAACCTTCACCCTGCAAAATCTTGGGAAAGTGAAGCATGAGAATAGAGGGCTATTCTGTTTATTGCAATATAAATGGTGAACACCCAGTAGAATGGAACTGGGTCCATCTGTACACTGGGAATGTCTCTAAGCTTTCATCTACATGAGGCTCTCCACCACCATCTACAACATTATGCAAATTCAATAGACTCTAGACCAGTGGTTCTCAACTCTGACTACAAATCAGAATCACCTGGGAGCTTTAACATTCAGAATCCCCAAGAATTAGGCAAGGCATTTTTTTTAAGCTCTCCAGGTGAGTCTACTCTGTAGTCAGAGTTGAACACCGGTCTAGGCTAGAGGTTGGTAACCATTTTCTGAAAAGCAACAGTCCCCAACCTTTTCAGCACCAAGGACTGGTTTTGTGGAAGACAATTTTTCCACAGACTGGGTTTGGCAGGGAATCGTTTGGGGATGAAACTGTTCCACCTCAGATCATCAGGCATTAGTTAAATTCTCATAAGGAGAGCGCAACCTAGATCCCTTGTATGCACAATTCACAGTAGGGTCCACGCTTCTATGATAATTTAATGCCACCACTGATCTGACAGGAGGCGAGGCTCAGATGGTAATGTTCACTGGCCCGCTGGTCACCTCCTGCTGTGCAGCCCGGCTCCAAACAGGCCACAGCCCGGGAGTTGGGGACCCCTGTGATGAAAGGCCAGATAGTGATATTTTAAGCCCTGTATGTCATCCAATTTCTGTTGCAATTACTTAACTCTACCAATGTGACACAATAACAGCCAGACTATACGTAAAGGAAGGGACACGGCTGTGTTTCAATAAAACTTGACTTACAAAAACAGCCAGCCTGCAAACTGGCCTTGGTTTGTGAACTGCTCTAGACCAGTGTACTAACTCTCCTAATGGAAAATAGAGAAAAACTATCTGTAGTAGTTCTTGAACCAGGGTATACATTACAATGACCTGAGGAGATTTTATTTGTAATATACGCAGAACCACTAATGTAGAGTTTACTAGGAGGTACTACCCACCTCTTCCAGTCAAGAACTTCAGAGAAAGGCAAAATATAGGAGTCTGCAATGACAACCGGGACACAGCCAGCTTGTAACACATCGCTCAATACTGCCTGGCCCAGCCGAGCTCCACGAAGAACCACACAGAAAGTAGCCTCCTGCAGGAACACAAAGAGGCAAGAGATTACAAACTAGTTTTGCTGATCCACTAACTTTGATCCCTACAGACCACAAAGTTTCTACAAGGGTTGACGCCAAGCAATACTGAGGCATCTTGACACAAAAATGCCAAAAGACAACAGCTCACACCTGTAAAACTTGAAAAGTTTAAATGGCTGCAATGTTTTGTATTAATATTTCTACTCTTCAGTATTGCTTCAATGCCACCACTGTTGGCCTTCTGAAAATGTTCAAGGTCAATGTCAAAGTCTTCCCTTAGACAGCTAACAACGTGACTTCCTGCAAATGGGTCTCTTTAGGCCCTAGTGTACTATGTAAACACACCACGGCACACTGTCTGACATCTCTTACAGTACTTACCTCAGCCTACCTTGTAATGGAATTATTTTGTCTGGGAATTTCAGGCTTTCTACAAGACCCCCTAAAGGGAAGGTATCAAATCTCTTTTCATGTTTCTACCCCCCATAGCATCTAACAGTGTGCTTTTTATATAGAAGATACTCATTTCATGAATTCAATGCCTTTGAAAAGATATTAAGACTAATATGTTCTATAAAAAAAATCTAATGAAAAATTTCTTCCTCATTCACTCCCTCAAACCCCCTCAATGTGGGGAATACTTGGGAAAAGGAGAGATGTACCACAGAAAAAACAGCTGCAATAGGTAAACCAAAATACAGAAACCTTAACTACCTAACATTCTGTTTCTCCCAGATTTTGCCTCTTAAGAAGGAGGAAAAAGATTTTTTAAAAAAACCAAAAACTAATCTTTAAAGCTAGAGAAAAGGAAAGTTCAGAAAAAGAAATAAAGGAATTCGATATTCCAAACACCTCTGGGGATAAATGAGAAAAGCAGCAAGAGGAGAGGAAGAGAAGTCATCGTGGTACCCGGAGGTGCAGGTGGAAAGCTCCCCTGACCTCAAGAGTCAGCATCCAGATGTGGACACACGTGCTGATAACCATTTTTCCTGTCTAGACAAAGGTTACTATAAATACTCCTGCCCTCATCACCACTGTTACCAGCCAGACATTCCAGGAGGAGTGCAGCACTTTTTGAATGTATTTTTACAATCCCAGTATGGGCAAGCTCTCTGGAGATTAAAAAAAAAAAAATCACACCAGCTCCTTTGTGTTTCTCCTTGAGCTAACCTGTGTCCATTTTAAGTATTTAAGTGAACAAAGCTCAATTTCTCATTTCCTAGCCCCCATACCCTTGGAATGTCAAATATCCTACATATAAAACATCCCCAAAGAGACCGCTTTCCCTATGGTTATGGAAGTACAGCCATTCCCACTATGTAAATAAAGGACATGCTACTGACAGGAGATGCTAAAGGTGGCAAGAACTCCAAATAGCAAAACAATCAAAACAACCCCTAAACCCCTCCACTCCCAGGGAAAGTTCACTGTGGCTCTGTAGGCCAGCATGGTCAAGGGATGCAAGTTGCCACCTCAAAGAAGAAAATTTCTCTGGACTGCCTTATGAATATGGGGGTAAAAGCAAGATACATTTGCCTGCTTTGTCCATGTGGCTTGTCTGCGAATCTATGAGACTTGTCTTTTTGAAGTATAATGAATATCTGAAAGGAGTATAGACTCTCATAGGCCAAGCAGCTTTGCACGAACACAAGACACCAGACATCCAAGTACCTGAAGGTCTACATGTCCAGTAAAGAGCAATGCTATGTTTTCTTCCCCTTGGGTAATTCTAGTTGCATGCTGAAAACAACTCAGGTTCGCTGGGCTCAATTTTAACCCATGTAAGCAAACTCTCCTGAGCCTTTGCGAGAGGTAATGAATGACACTCACCTGTAGCACCTGTGGGTAATCGAAGACCTGGTGCTTGTGGCAGCGCTTACGGACAGAAAGGACACCCTCTGAGAGGTTGGTGCATTTATCGAGTACTAACACTGACTCTCCATGTTTGACCTGGAGGGCTTCTAGGTCCTCTCTGTACTCAGGATGGAGACCCACCTGAGATGACAGGAGGAAGTATTGCCGTGGACTACAAGGGAAAAAAACAGGTGATTGGAAAATTGCAGCTGGTATGTTAGTCAAGGTAAGACAAACTTTGATATTAAACTTATGACAGTAAGTGTTTCCTTACCAGTCTTCACCTCCACTGATTTTTAAAATTATCTTCTGTAGTATTAGTAAATATTTAAAATATTATATATTGTGAGAAAGTAAGATATGATTCATTCACACACTGAAATATTATGCAATCATAACACATCTTATTTGGGAACAGTTCTTGATATCGTGAGGAAATGCTTATAATATGCTAAGCTGAGAGCGCATGCTATAAATTGTGTGTGTGTGTGTGTGTGTGTGTGTGTGTGTGTGTGTAGGAGAGAAACTGATAATTTGGAAGGAACATCGAAGTGTTGTCTTAGTTACATCTGAGTCCCTGATCTGAAAGCGACTGGAAGCTGGCTGCATTCTTCAAATGGGGAAAGAGGGAAGCTTGATGGGAAGCACTGGCAGGCAACTGAAGGGCTCTGGAAAGGGCTGCTCCTGGCTGTCTAACAGCATCCCTGTGCAATGGAGAGGCTATAGGGAAAGTCCCCATCATCAAGGCCACATAAATGGGAGGGAGACCGAATTGGTAGTTGAAAACAAGAAGTAGAAAAAACGATCTTCATCAAAGCATAGAATCTCCAGTCTTAACATCTGGATGGCAAGGATGTGTAAAAGAAAACAGAGGGAAGAAAGATCTCCAAGGGTCTAGTGCCATGCAGATCTCCACAAGAGACAGATATGGAAACACAAAGTTAGTAAGTCTGAAGTCAAGGGGAAGATTTTGGAGAGACCAGATGGGAAGTAATTCCCTCCTGGAAGACAAGACTCAAACAAGACAGAGGGAAGAAAGATCTCCAAGGGTCTAGTGCCATGCAGATCTCCACAAGAGACAGATATGGAAACACAAAGTTAGTAAGTCTGAAGTCAAGGGGAAGATTTTGGAGAGACCAGATGGGAAGTAATTCCCTCCTGGAAGACAAGACTCAAACAAGACAGAGAGGGTACAGAACATAAAACCTATACAGGTTGAGCATATCAAATCTGAAAATCTGAAGTCCAAAATGCTCCAAAATCCAAAGCTTTCTGGATGCCAACATGATGCTCAAAAGAAATGCTCATTGAAATATTTTAGATTTCTGGATTTGGAATGCTCAACCAAGAGTATAACGCAAATACTCCAAAATCTGAAAAAATCAGGAGTCCAAAACACTTCTGGTCCTGAGCATTTTGGATAAGGGATACTCAACCTGTTTAGGCTGAGGGACCACAAGGAATCAGTGTCAAAGAGAAGAATCACAGAAAGCATGTTCCAGGAAGAAATGAAACACTCATTAAGCCTAGAAGCAGCACACACTGAAATCCAGCTCAAACTGGTACAGCCCAGGGAAAATACTAGGGCTACGTATCTCTCACAGGCAACGCCACCACGCAACCTAGAGTTTGTGAACCCATCCATTTTTTGTTTGTTTGTTTTTGGCTTTGAAGAGAGAATGGTAATTGTTACTTTTCCTTAGTTACTCAGACTTGTTTGGAAGTTCTAGCCGGGGAGCATCTCACTCAATAATTATACTCTAACTGAGAAGGTCATCTCCTTTTATAGAGGATTAAGCTTCAGGTCCAAATCACATAAAGCAATGAGTGAAGGTGAACACCTGCCTAGCCAGCTAGACTAGTCATACAAACCCAGAGAAAAGAGCAACCTATACCACAGCCAGACTGCTTTTACGTCCTCAGGATCAATTCTGGTTTTGGCCTAACTAAGAGCAAAAGGCACTTAACACATCACAATTAAGAAAAAAAGGAACCAGCAGACTCCCTAGAACTTCACTAATAGCAACTAGCCACGTGAGGCCATTTAAATTAAACTAATTAAAAGTAAATAAAATTAAAAGTTCAGTTTGTCAGTCACACTAGGCCCATTTCCAGTGCTCAAATAGCCATATGTGGCTGGGGCTGCCTGACAGCACAAACGTTGACCACGTCCTTACTGCAGAAAGTTCTACTTAATGGAGCTACGCCACAAGGTAGGTGAGAGCCAGAGGCCAGGATGACGGTAAGTGGAGATAAGAAAGATATACAACAGCAACCCAGCAGGGAGATGGTTTGGATCAGCTGTACAGACTGGTTCCTTTTTCCTGGCCCATTTCCTCCTAAATTACAATTTATTGAGCAATATGTTCAATATTTATAGCCAAAAGTATTCTTTCTAGACACTAAAACAGGCTTTTGAGTTCTACTCCAAGCCTTGAGCCTCAATCATTTTTCTTTTGTAAAAGTATTAATTTTCAGAGGATGACTTAGTGATGGCGAGATCACATACAGGGAGCACCCGCAGTTCATCTCAGACTAAACACCATCTTTGCTCAAATTACTTCTATAATCAAACGTACCTGTTTAAGCAAGAGGAAAATTTACAGTCAAACCCACAAGACAAGCAGGGAAACTTCCTTAATAATTAAAGCTATTCAATAATGAAATGGACTGTCTTGTAAGTTGGTGATTTTTCAGTATAAATCAGAAACTTTTTCAGTAAAAAGTTACTGAAAAGTCATGCATCAAGTTAAGAGCTAAATGGTCTTTAAAGGTCTTTCCAAACAATAAGACGCTGGCTCTTTGAAGGATCTCATGGATGTTTCTGGAGCCTTTCTCTTTAAGTAGAGCTGACAGCACAAAACTAGTGTTCTACCCTCTCCAGAAAAAGAATAAACAGGTGGGCATCCAAGAGGAGTAAAGAGGATGTCCAGGCAGAAGGGCATAGAGTATTGGAGTCCCAGAGGGCATTTCTGCATGGTCGGGTGGGGAAGAAGGCGCACGTGGAATGTTCAAGCCCTAGTGGGGTGGGAGCTTCTGCTTAAGAGAAGAGTAGTAAGGTAGCCTGGCGCAGGGTATCAGAGCCCCAGAAGTGAAAGGAAGGCTTCTGTGCTGGGGGAAGGGTTATGGGGATGCTGGAGACCAAGTGAGGTTAGGAGGGCATCTGGGCAGCTCAGAAGAGAGTGTTAGAGCCTGGGCAGGCTGAGAAGGGTGCCCAAGTTGTGGGGAGAATGATGGTAATGATAGCATCACCCCAGTGCTAGAACCCAAGAAGTGTGAGAAAGGCATCTGTGCTGGGAGGGTGCAGGGCAGCACAATGTAGGGGGTCAGAGTCTGAGCAGGGATGAGGAGGGGTGGGGAAGGCCTCTGTGCAGTGTGGGGGCAGGGGGGCAACAGAAGTTTGATGAATATAAGAGGGTTGATCAAATAAGTAAAGATGTTGAGGATAAAGAGAGCCAGATTTCTAGGAGTCAGAGAAGGGAGTTACAAATATGGAAAGAGAGAAAACCAGAATGCCCCTGCAGTGTTGGATGGAACTGGAGATACTGAGATGAATGCATGGTTTTCAATATGCACAAATAGATAGACATCTGTCTGTACAGATACAGAAATAAATACAGATGTTGATGTGTGGTGCTCAAAGAAAACTCTTAAGAAAGACTCTGGGTTAGATTTCACTGATGAGAAATAAAGTTCTATTTTAGACATTCAGTTACCAGGATCACTGGATCCCCGCTCTACTGCTACTCCATTTTCAACATAAATGTGGTAGCACCAGGCTACCTTACTACTCTTCTCTTAAGCAGAAGCTCCCACCCCACTAGGGCTTGAACATTCCACGTGCGCCTTCTTCCCCACCCAATGTGAACAAGTGTAGATGTGAACAAGTCTAAAAATGTGTCCCTTGCTTGCATGCTGGCTGTCCCTGACCTGGCAGATGGTTGAAGGAGTATGCTCATTTTAGTTTTAAACCAACTAAATTTTAAGGTGGATTTGTTTTTCTTTTAAAGACTAAAATGACTAGCTATAGCTTTCATGTCTCCTCCCAGCAGTGCTGATATCTAAGTTTAAGCAAAACCATGCTGAGAACTTGAAGTCTCCCTCAATAGTAACAGTTGTAAACTCCCAATTTAGTTCATTTTAGAAGGAAAATGACAAGAATTCCAGCTGAGGCCAAAACAGCTGTGAGAAGCAGCTATCAATAGCAACAATCATCCACTTCCCATTGAACAAATGCTGACAGAGATTTAAAACAAAAATAAAAGCAAAGCTCTCACTATTCTGTATAGCCCGCAAGAGATGTGGGAATTCCCTTAAACAGCAACTCTCACAAGGATCAACAAACCCAAAACACTGCCATGAGATGGCCCACCCTGCCTTCTCCCACGTCCCTGGCAGGATGATGAGTCTGAACCTGTCTTTACTTTTTAATTTTTTTTTGTCTTGGTTTTCGGGGGCAGGGAGGGGTGGTGGTAGGAGATGTTCTTATATAAAAGTTAACACCACAAGTGCATGACCAGACTGCAAGCTGGCACCGAAATGGACAGCATGGGCCCAAGCCAGGTTGCAGAAATCCATCTACCAGCCAGCAGAGGGAGGTACATGCTCAGCGCAGCCTTACCTTTCGGTGCTACCCTGAAGATAAACTGGACACTCCTATCGGGTTATTGAACCACAGAACTTTAGAAACTGACACCTTTTCAAAGGATCTAGTTAAAGATATTAATTCCAGCTGAGTTATACACAAAAATTAGAGACACTAAATTACTAGGAAAATACCACCAATATATAATCTCTGAAACTAATTATATATTGATGTATCTAAATCTCTGAAACTAATTATTTGAAAATGAGTTTTACTGTTTGGAGTGGTTTTTCTCCTTTGTTTTATTTTCACTTAAAGCTTTTATTTTCAGTTTTCTTCCCTGGATTAAACCTGAAGGGGATTAAGAGTCCTAAACCAATATAAGAGAGCTAGATTATATGAGAGGGATTAAACAATAAAGAGAGAGTTTGGTTCAAGTGGTCTCAAGAAAAGTGCACTGAAGACAGAGGCCCACAGCAGCTGAGCAGTCCTAGCAGACCAGTCCTCACATGTCACTCTCTGCCTCACCCAGGGTTTCTCAACCCCAGCGCTGCTGACATTTGCACCCAGTATTTCTTGATGTTGGGGGCTGCCCTGCCCTATGCAGAGAAGAATTAACATAGCAGGCCTGAGTGTTCTCCTTAGAAAGGCTTGCTTATAAGTTTGGTCTTTGGCTGTCATCTGGAGACTTGGATTTGGAGAGGGTTCCCATCATCCCTGGAACTGATAAGAGTGGCTCACTGTATCCAAACTGCACAAACAAATGTGGTTTATGCTGAACACATGCTTTCCTTCTGGGAGTCTGGAAGTTTGGCACGTGCCAGGCAGAGACAGCCTATGCAATCAGCTCCTAAGAAAGGTCCTGGGTGCTAAGTCTCTGACGAGCTCCCTTGGTTGACAGCATTTCACAAGTGTTGTCACAGCTTGCTGCTGAGGGAACTGAGAACATCTTGTGCACCGCACTGGAAGAGGGCACTTGAAGGCTTGTGCCTGGTTTCTCCAGATTCACCCCATGCGTCTTCTACCTCTCTGACTGTGCTGTGCATCCTTTTGCCGTAATAAGTCACAGACGTTAGTACAATTATATGCTGAGTCATGGAGCCCTCCTGGCAAATCATAGTAACTGGAAGTGGTCTTCAGGACCCTCTGACACACATCCCCACAGTCATGACAGTCAAAAATGTGTGTGTGTGTGTGTGTATGTGTATATATATATATATATATATATATATATATATATATATATATATAAATAGCCAAATGTCCCCTGGGGGACATAATCATTCCCTTTCTCCTGATGAGAGACAGCAGTCTAGCCCAATACTTGGTCCAAACAGGCTTTCAATAAAGGTTTGACTTGAAGTGAACTGAACTAAACTGAATTGAATTAAATAATTTCCAGAACAACTTTAGGAGGAAAAAAAGAGAAAAAGAAATGAATAAAAACTTTTTAAATCACAGAACAGATTTAAGTAAATGCTCACAGAAGCAGCAGAGAAGTAACTTTTTTCCCTACTTATAGTTATTTCTATCTCGTGCTACATAAATATGCCAAATTAAGACCCTAGGCACATAACAGAAACTTGTACCACCCCAAAGGGTACCAGCGGGGCTTATGTAGATGATCTCATCCTTTCTGAATTTATGAAAATCTAACCTCGAAATAGGGCACTGAATTATATCAGTTTCTTCTGTCCGTGAATTCACTAGAAGAATTATTTGTGTATTTCCATTGTGATGATAATCCAAAAAATTAGTATGGGGATAGTTTTGCTCATATTTAATGATGAATACTGCTAAAAAATATTCAACTTCCAAGTTTCTATTTAGTGGACTAATGAGATGAGAGAAACACTAAAAATGTAAATCATATAAAGCAGTAGAGTAAAAATGCAGATAGAATCTAGGCTGTGGGTATACATTATGTTCAGTGTAAAATTTTTTAAACTTTGCTGTTTGGAAATTTTCATAATAAAATATTGGAAAAAATATGAATCATGCATCTGTACCATATGAAGATAAATGATGTCACAATATGCTATCTAAAGGGAAGCTTCTAATGTTTCAAATAGAAAACATGGTTAAAAAAAAAAGTACATTTTCACCCAACATACAACAGTATAGGCACATCAAACCCAGCAAACCCGTAATTAACTCCATATTCACCTTAAAGATGCAATCTCATTTCAAAGAAACAGCATCAGCTATCATATTCAATTATGTTAATCTGAATGTTATTAGTTTTGTAGATGTGCTTATATTTAACCTTGTAAATTTGTTTCAGTTTTGTAGTTGCATAAGCACAAAGAGTTTAGACTGTTTTTCATTTATATTTACTTATAACAAAAATAGTTAATTAAAATGCAAAGGACCTGAATAGTCAGGAAAACTCTGAAAAAGAAGAACACAGCCTGGGCAGTATCACAAGAACCCATCTCTATAAAAAATTAGCCAAGCGTGGTGGCATGTACCTATAGTCCTAGCTACTTGGGAGGCTGAGGCAGGAGGATCACCTGAGCCCAGGGGTTCAAGGCTGCAGTGAGTTATGATCCCACCCATTCGATCCAGCACTCCAGGGTGACAGAGCGAGACCTCGTCTCTTAAAACAAGAAAAAGGAAGAACAAAGTTGGAGAACTTACATTTATTTCAAAACTTAATACAAAGCTAAGGTAACCAAGACAATGTAGTACTGGCATAATAGACATATAGACCAACAGATTCGAATTGACAATCCAAAAATAAACCCATATATCTATGGCCAGTTGATTTTTAACAAGGGTACCAAGACCATTCAATAGAAGAAGACTTGTTTTTTCAACCAGTGGTGTTCAGACAACTAGACATACACAAGCAAAAGAATGAAGTTGGACCCCCACCTTATACCACATACAAAAATTAACCAAAATGAACCATAAATCTAAATGTAAGAGCCAAAACTGTAAAACTCTTAGAAGAAAACGTAAGGGTAAATCTTCATGGCCTTGGATTAGGCAATGGTTTCTTAAAAATGACACCAAAACTGCAAGTAACCAAAGGAAAAATAGATAAATTGACTTCATCAAAATGAGGAACTTTTGTGCATCAAAGGACACTATCAAGAATGTGAGGCCGGGTGCGGTGGCTCACACCTGTAATCCCAGCACTTTGGGAGGCCAAGGTGGGTGGATCACCTGAGGTCAGGAGTTTGAAACCAGCCTGACAAACATGGAGAAACCCCGTCTCTGCAAAAAATACAAAATTAGCTGGGCGTGGTGGCACACGCCTGTAATCCCAGCTACTTGGGAGGTTGAGGCAGGAGAATCGCTTGAATCTGGGAGGCGGAGGTTTTGGTGAGCCGAGATCACGCCATTGCACTCCAGCTTGGGCAACAAGAGCAAAACTCCGTCTCAAAAAAAAAAAAAAAAAGAAAGTGAAAAGCAGTCTATAGAATGGGAGAAAGGATTTGCAAATCATGGATCTGAAGAGGTTCTAACATCTGTTATAGATAAAGAATTCTTATAGCTCTACGATAAAAGGACAATTCAATTTTAAAATGGGCAAATGATCTGAATAGACATTTCTCCAAAGAAGTTATATAAATGGCCAATAAGCACATGAAAAGATACTCAAAATTATTAGTCAGTGGGGAAATGCAAACCAAAACCACAATGAAGATATGACTTCACATCCACTAGGATGGCTAGAATAAAAAACACAGGCAATAACAAGGGTTAGTGAGGATATGGGGAAATCGAAACCCTCATACATGGCTGGTGGGAATGTGAAATGGTGCAGCCGCTTTGGAAAAGAGTTTGGCAGTTCCTCAAAAAGTTAAACATAGAGCTACCGTATGACCCAGCAGTTCTGCTCCTAGGTCAAGAGAACTGAAACCAGCTTTACATACAAACTTGTATACAAATGTTCATAGCAGCATTATTCATAAGAGCTAACAGGTGGAAATAATCCAAATTTCCATCAACTGATGAAGAGATGAATAAAATGTGGTATATTCATATGATGAAATATTCAGCCAAAAAACAAAGGAAGTACTGATTCCATGCTATTACATGAATAAGCCTTGGAAACATTATGCTAAGTGAAAGAAGACAGGTACAAAAGACCATTTATTGTACAATTATGTTGATAGGAAATGTCCAGAATAGGCAAACCCATAGAGAGAAAAAGCAGATTAAGGATTCTTGCTGGGGACAGAGGTGAGGACTGACTGCTATTGGATATTAGGTTTATTTGTGGAGTCATGAAAATGTTCTAGAATTAGGTAGTAGGCCTGATGATAGTTGCACAATTTTGTGAATATACTAAAAACCGTTAAATTATACACATTAAAAGAGTAAATTTTATGGTATATAAATTAATCTCAATTTTAAACATAAAATAAAATAAGTCAACTCTGGGAGTCCACAAAGGGAGAAAAATCCAGGAAGATGTCCTAAGCAACAACTTCATGAACCACTCAGTCTTGCTCCGCATTTGCCTAAGGGTAGGAACAAAAATGTCTCAAGCTCACCTGGGCTTTACACATCGTCTACATAACAAAATTTGCTAAGTGAATGGCTAATGTAAGTTTCAGAATTTGGTCCCGGGCCACATGGTAGAACACAAACAGGAGAGAGATGTCTTCTCCTGAGAAAAGTTCTCTTACTTCTCAGAGTCCACAAAGGTTTCTAAGGAGATGTCTGAAATATTTAAAGAATGGTTCTAATGGTCTCCAGGCAAACTATTTCCATGAGACCCATTTCTCAAACCAAATACAACATTTTTAGTGTCAAAATTTATCTATTGGTCACCTCTGCTTCTGAGCACTTCCACACAAGTAAAGGATGCTTTTATTATCATGTTTGTTTAAAGCTCACTGAGATTCTCACCAGGAAATAGCACAATTTTTACATAGACTACAGAAAAAAAAAGGTTACATCCATGCTGCACATTCATGTTGTCAGCCCTTTTCATTTACTCCCTCACATACTAAAATATGAGCCAAGAAATGCCAGACACTGAAGATATGGTAGTTTAAAAAAACAGCTGGATGCAGTGGCATGGGCCTACAGTTCCTGTTACTTGGGAGGCTGAGGCAGGAGGGTCACTTGAGCCCAACAATTTGAATCTAGCCTGGGCAACATAGCAAGACTCTGTCACTTAAAAAAGCAAAACAAAGCAAAAACAAAAACCTAACCTCAGCTTCACTGCACGTACAAAATCCAAAATCCAAACAAGACAGGCTTTGAGCAAGTCATCACGATGGGCATCATGTGTGCAGCGATGGGCATCACTCTAAGAGACGTGCAGGCTGCTATGGGAGCATAAAGCAGAGGAGCCAGGGCAGAGGCCAAGAAGGTACCCCCTCCACCCCATCCCAGAAGGTGGTTTCAAGCTGAAACCTAAGGCACAAGCAGGATGTTAGACTAATGAAGACGAGGAAGAAGGTCTGCAGACAGTAGAGAATGTGTCTGCTGCCCAGAAAAACTGAGAGAGCACAGCTTGTTCTAGGAACTGAAAGAAGTAAAAAGTTCTCAGACACAAAGCTAAAGATGGAGATAGTGGTCAGATGAAAGAGAGCCTTGAAAGATGTTTTAGGGACTGTGGGCTAAGGACTAACGTGAATCTTATCCTAAGGGCAATGTGAAGCCAAGGATCAAACTCGAGGGGAGCAAGACCAGAGGCAGGGAAACCACATAGGAAGCCGTTTCAGCAATCCAATGGAGAGATGACAGTAACCTGGTCTAGGGTAGAGGAGGAGGATTCGGGGAGCAGACAGACCTAGGAAGTATTTAGGATGCAGAATCAATACGACTTCCTACTTTGATATAGGAAACAAAGGAGAGAACGGAGTTAAGGATACCACATGGATTCCTGGCTTAGAAAACTTGGTAGACAGCACTGTGAATTTAAGGAGACAGAGAAAACTGCAAGATGAATGAGACTGCATGGAGGTGGGAAAGATGGGTGCCTCAGTGCCTCAAGGACCCTACCCTGTAACTGATGTATTGGTTGCTTTGATGCCCACCACACTAAACCTCATCAACATCTCACAGATTCAGTAAAGGCACACCTGGCTGGGATGAATGTACCTTACCCTGGTCCTTTCTCTGGAAGATCCACCTCAGCTGACAGTGGACTATAGACAGGAATGCTGACATCGTAGCCTTGCCGGTAAGTCCACGTAGAAAAGCCGCCACCAGCCAACAGGGCCCTGAAAGCAAAGTATTTTGTTAAACGATGAGAAAGAAAGGACTTTATTCTGATACACACTGTGGAGAGGAACAGGAATTACTGAGTCTTTATTATCAAAACCAGCTAACGTTTACAGAGTCAGTTTTCTATAAAGACAATGCCTTATACACGCATCTCGGGGCCATCAGCTGCGTTCTATCCTTGAATCACCAGCCTTCCCCCGGGGTCCTAAATACCCTTTCCTTACTTCCCAGTTTTTGAAACACATCATAGTCCAGAGGACACCTTACGGACAGCCTCTCTGCTACCTCCCTCAGATCCCATTCACCTCTCCCTAGTCATACTTTATAAATAAACACATTTACAATAACAGGAGTAACAGTTCTGCATGGGAAGACTGGTTGGGGAAGTCATTTACCAACCACTGGCTAGAATCTCAGAACACAATGGTCCTGGAAAGCAGTGGTGGCCAGAAAGTATCACATTTCACATCGCTTACACCCCAGCCTCTCTCCAATCCCTGCCTCAAGCAGTTCTTTCCACCATCATCTCAGAGTTACATGTCAATCATGTAGCCTCCACCGGCTCTCACTGTCCATTCCAGCTACTTAGTCTTATTAACCCAATTCCCTATACAGGAAGCAGAACCTAGAATTAAACCCTCAGTGCTTCTCTTGCAGTTTGCTTGTACTAGCCGTTACTCTCCTTAATTAGAAAACAGTGACCACATTGTTTTAACTGGATCCAGCAAGTAGTACAATGACACTTCATCAGAGAAAGGAAGCAGGTGTATATCACACCAACTTTTACTGTTATTCTCTCCCAGGACCCCAAACCCATCGAAATCACTTTCTAGGGCAACACACACTACAAAGTCTGAGCCAAGATGTCTCAACTGAGAAACCACATTTTTTGCAATATTGATTGCTACCAATCCCCTCCCTGCCCTGATGACAACCTACATTCCCTTCTAACATGACCAGTTTAGGTTCAAAGATTTTCAAACCACCCCTGGAAATCCCACTCTGTTTGTTTAAGCTTTATGAAACCAAGAACTGGTGAGTGAGGTAACCTGCAGGCTAAAAACTTCTCCAGCTGCCGGTCTACTCTGTAAAATGTAATAACTATCCTTAGTACCAACATACGGTCTTATTTTTCCTGATTATCATGCAGCACTGAAACCATCCAACATGAACTTGGGCAGGTTCCATGACCATGATGGCAAGCAGACTCTATGGGCCCCATGGCCTATGTGCAGAGAAGCAGACATGGATGCAATATTCAGGCACCAGGCAGTCCAGGTAAGCCAGGGTCGTGGGTGATTAGGCTATTACACTCACAGCCCCAGAGGAGAAGTGGGTGTGTATGTGCAGAGAAAGGAAGCAGTTGTATATCACATCAACCTTTACTGTTATTCTGTCCCCGGGGCCCCAAACTTGTTATTCTGTTCCAGGGGGGTTAAGGTGAATGTTCAGCACTGGCAGTAGGAAAGCAGCAATCAGAAGCATGCCTTACGCTGAAGATCATCCACATGCAGTCTGTTTGTCATCTCAAAAAGAGCCACGACTGCAATTAGTCAAACTGGCCTCATGCCAGCCCTGCTACTGGCATGCACTCTAAGGCACTGTATCTTCTTCTGCCAAGGTCTCCATTACATTATAATGGAGAAAATATTGTAAGCATCCCTTGCTTTACAGAACACATGGTTTACATTGACTGAAAAGTGAATTTCTGAACAGCACATTCTGTTTTCCCATTATGTATCCCCAAATCAGAGATTAGTTCCAAAGCTGCAAGAGACTGAAAAGAAAACCTGCAGCTAAAGAAGTATTAATATGATGATCTGACTCAGGTCAGGCCAAGTATTATAATCACTGGAGGCGCTCTCCAGCATTTTTAGCACTTTGCAGGGCTGCCTGATTCTGGGACGTCTCCTCTGACACTGAGCCTTCCTCTCCACGGCCTTGTATTCTCCACCCTCCCTAACCCAGTGTTCTGCATGTTTTCTCACAGTTCTCCTCCTGCTATCTAAGTATTCGCAGTGCCTAAACACAGTGAGGCTGCAAGTTTGTCCTTTGCTTTCCTTTAAACCATGCATGGAATCAGGCCTGCAAATTCCTCAAATATAAAGCTTCAGGTTTTGCACAAAACAAAACCCAAAAAAGCAGACCGATTCTATCGGTCATCCTTATTTGTTCACTGAGTCAAACAAACTGTAAAACAATATTTGTGAGACAGGTAAACATGAGCAAAGGCTAGATATTTAGTGACTATTTGGTGATATGGAAAAATTATTGTTAATTTTCTTAGGTATGATAATAGTATTATAGTTAGTTACATTTTTTGAAAAGGCTGTATCATGCAGAGATTCACACAATATTTACAGATGCAAGGATCTGATGTCTGGCATTTGTTTCTAGATAATCTAGCGGAGGTGGAGGTAGATGAGAGTAAGGATGAAACAAGACGGGCCTCAAGATAATGATCGAAGCTGGACAGAGGATATGTGGTGTTCACTGTACTAGTCTCGCTTCTTTATATAGGTGTGAAATTTTCCATAACAAGTTTAAGTAAATAAATAAACACCCACATAAAAGTAGAAATGTGTGAGAGATATTTGCAAAGAAAGGATAAGAAATCCAAGGTAGTAACGGTATTACAGAACACATCTGAGAAAACTAACATCAGTTAAGTCATTAAAAGATGTATAAGTCATGAAATATGCTCCTACTCAAGTTAAAATAAAATTGGTTTGTATGTGTGCTTGTGTCTAAATCCATAGAAAAAAGACTAGAAAAACACATCATATTTTAATATAAGTATCTTTCAGGAAGGGAGTGAAAACAGAGGAGGGAATCAAAGCAGGTTTTTACGTTTTACTCTTTATACACTTGCATGCTGTTCGACCCTTGCACAAAGTATATATGTATCATGTGTATGGATTTTTTTTTAATTGAAAGAGAAATAAAAACATTTAAGCAGCATTAAAAAAAATTCACTGAGCAGACATTTCCCTTCAGTCCAGGTCCTTGTACTGTATTTCCTTAAGTAAAATAATTTTTAAGTAATCACACCTATGCTTTTGAACTTTAGGAGATCTTAAAGCAGTCTAATCTAGCCCATCTGTTTTCTAATTTCCAAACAATCTGACATGCAGCTCCTGTAAAACCATTCTGCATTCACAGTTCTTGCCTCCTTTGAATCCAGGAGCAAGGATGAAGGATAAGAAAAATTAACAAACAAATCTACTATTCCTTACCCCAACAAGAAGGCCACCTAAGTTTCAAAATGAAATTTCCCACATGCAAAGATAAAGGACTAGATGGTGATTCATTACCTGCTATAGGATTGGCTATAATCACTTACAAAAATACATGCATAGGAAAAACTATTTAACCTTCCTGATCCTAACACCTAAACACTGGCATGTACTCACACTTTCTCCTGTCTACTTGACACCTTCCTGCAGACAAATGAAATCGCATTTAACATGTGCACTTGATAAAAATAAAATCCAACTCCCATGCAGATGCATATACCAAAATGTCAGCAAAAAGTGAAATGACCCAAACAGAAAGAAGCCCTTCTGAAAAAAAATCCAGAACTGGAGATGGAGACTCTGCATTCCTAACAGCTCTTTTCCTTCCCTTCTCTGTTCTCCAAAGTTATTTCACTTCCCCAGAACAACCAAATCCATAAAACAGTAGCCCACTCAGGAACAGGCACACCTTCTCTGGGGCTGAGAGCCAAATCCGGAATTACCCTGTGTTCAGCCACTTCCTACAGCATTTGTGCACCCGGACTGCCCTCTATCGTCCAAAACGGTCTCTACACCAAAGCTGAAGGGTGGTCCTGGAGTGTTTGTCTTGTGTAGTTATAATTATATTTCCAGACAGAAACTCAAAACTGACTTTAGATAATCACTTAATGCAAAGAAGGTTTAGATTTAATCTTCTGGGGAAAAGGAATACTAAGTGTCGATTTTCATAAATGATAATGTTAGCCTCTAACAAGTTGAGAACTAGCCTCAGGCTGTTCTCAGGCTAATACCTCAGGCTGTTACCTTTTCAGTTAACAATGAGTTTAAGAGTTAAACACCAACTGTAATAAGACTGGTGATAAACAAGTTTAGGTGAACTGTTAACAATTCTATACCTTGAGCATTGCCCGCGACGCTTATATATTGCGCCCCAACTTTCTACTTTCCTCAAAGCCTTGAACCCAGCACTAAGAGAGGTCCCTTAAGTAGCACCTCATACCAGAGCTTTCCAAGAAAGCTCATACCAAAATCTTTCAGTCAGTGATGAAAGGGCAGATAAATACAGTGAGTGAACTCAAAGTCACTCTCAGGCAGTCATGGCCACCCCATACCACATCTGCCTATTTGGAAGGTTTTTCTGGAAGGAACGAAAGGCAAGAGGGGCGAATAATGAAGGCAGGCAGGCAGGGAGGGAGGGAGGAACGGACAGAAAGAACCCTACTGATTGAAACAACAGAAAGTAAATGAGAATCAGCGTGCCCCCATTACCCTCTACATTATAGGCTTTGGGTATCGCTTTTACATATCCACGCTACCTTCTCTCAGTAAGCTGTGCATCTACTTGTGGCAAATGCTCCCGAATTCAGAGAGAGCTAGCACAAGCCTGTCACACTTTTGGGGGCTGGATGTGTTACACTCAGAAGTGCACAATCCAGAGTGGGAAAACAGTTTTAGAGGCTATGCCAGGACATAAGCCCTAACTGGTTTTCCATAAAAGATTTAAGCACTTCTAAATCTTCAGGAGGAAAATACTTATGACAATTTTCTAGTTTAATAAACAATTCTGATTACAAAGTATGTGGTAGATTTAGGAATATAATTTCACATGAACAAAATGATCTTGAACCCATCATAAGGACAGCCCCAAATATGCCTCCTACCTGTCTCTGGGGACATCCAGGGCTGTGTTATAATCTGGGGGACCTCCAGGCAACATGTTGAACAACAGGTGATTCGTACCTCGATCCCACCTGTCAAGAAATTTAAAATGTAGGAGAATTAATGTGTCAACTATGAAAAGACAAGAGTCAGTTACTAGACAACAACTATCAAGGATCCCCAAGCCCAAATAGGGCCGCTTCTCAGGTATGCAAAGCAAACTCCTGGAAATCCCAACAGCACATCAGACACAAGTCTGGCTCCATGACAGGGAAAAATGAACGCACGTGTACTTCAAGCTTGTCCCATACAGACCTGCTTCTAATAATGAAAAGTTGAAAACTACCCAAATGTTCACCATTTGGTTAAAGAAACACAAAATACATTAGAGAAGCCTGGTTAAATATATGGTAGAACATCTGCAAAATGGAATACTATGCAACCCTTAAAGTTATATAGTAAAAGAACATAAAATTATGTCATAATTTGGAAATATATTCATGATATATTAAGGGAAAAAGCAAAAGAGTATGTACTGTGTGATCCCATTTGGAACAAAACATTTATATACAGATGTGTATGTGTATTTTTAGTAACATCAAAATATTAATAATGTTTATCTCTTAGAGGAAGGATTTCAGAATGAATCTTAGATTCTTCTTTTTGCTTACCTGTATTTTCAGATTTCTTACAGTGAATGTGTATTATGTAAGTGCTACGAGGAGGTGGTAGCATATTTAGATTTAAAAGGAAGAATAAATGAAGAAGAGCCACGCTTAGTTTGGAAACTCTAAGAGGCTGGGAACCCACAGCAGTAGTGCCGGAGATGGCAGACTACTCTTCACGGGCACACAGGCAGATGCTGCCACACAGGCCTCATGCTGCAAGTCAGTCCCTCCAACACACCCCGTCCTGCAAGAAGACAGCATCGGGAAACCAACTCAAGAGCAGAAGCATTCCCATCCTTCCCTTCCCTTTAGTTCCCTGAGGGCCACTCAAGTATCTCCTGGGGGCTGGGCTGTATGAGTGTGAGATACCTAGAGAGCTGGGCCATCGCTTGTGCTGTCTCCTTGATGCGCAGTGTGTTCTGGTTAAGCACATCGATGGAGGGAACAAACAGACAGGCCCGGTTGATGTCATCAGTGTAGTAGTCACTGTCTGAGATGGCCATGAGCAGTTCATTATACTCCCGGGAGATGGTGTTGCTGACAGAGACGCCAAAGTCATCCACGTACTTTTTCAGAGCATAGATATACACCTTGATTTTGTTCTTTGGGTTGAAGCCACAGCGATAGACATCAAAACACGTGTGCATTCTGCAACTGAGATCCCCCCGCTCTGGGATGGGACTGTCGGCTGGCAGCCTAACAACCGGCACATCACGGATGCTGCGCTTCTCTACATTCCAGTCATTTGAGGACTCGATAGAATGGGGCCAAAACTGAAACATGCCAGTGGCAATGAGGCCCAGGAGGACAATGGAGAAGAGGGTGATATAGTAGATTCGGTGCTTGGTCTTCATTCTTGGGATGAGGGCAGGACCCCGGATATTATACTTGACCGACGCACACATAATGACACAGACAGCCTCTTCCTCACACTCCTGGTCACCAGGGAGAGAAATAAGAAAAACCAAGTATTTAGGATGGCAAATGACACTTGAAAAGACTATTCAACCTTTTTTTTTGTTTTGTTTTGTTTTGAGACAGGGTTTCACTCTGTCACTCAGGCTGGAGTGCAGTGGTGCAATCTCAGCTCACTGCAACCTTCACCTCCCCAGGCTCAAGCAATCCTCCCACTTTGGCCTCCCAAGTAACTGTGACCACCACGCCCAGCTAATTTTTTGCATTTTTAGTAGAGAAGGAGTCTTGCCATGTTGCCCAGGCTGGTCTTGAACTCCTGAGCTCAATCTATCAGCCTGCCTCGGCCTCCCAAAATGCTAGGATCATAGGCATAAGCCACCGCGCCCAGCCTCTACTTTTAATGTACCTATTTCTTTCCCTTAAGTGGTGTGGTGAAATAACAAAAAGGGACTTTGGACACTTCTTATAAACATTTAGAAATATATATCTAGATATATGAATAAATAGTATATAATGTATTTAATATTTAATACTGCATATATTTAACATAAATATTAATTCATAATATAAAATATTACTATACCCTATCAATATACATTTACTTAAAGCAGAAGCTGGCAAATGTGGGACTCTGGGAAGGAGGGCTCTGACCAAGGCAGAAAAATCAAAAGTGGAATAGCAAAAGACAGTTATTTTATTTCAAAACACTTGCTTAACATAAAATAATGATTTAACTGGACAAACTGAAGCTTCATCATTCCAAAATCTGTTTTCAGCCATGTGCGGTGGCTCACGTCTATAATCCCAGCACCTTGGGAGGCCAAGATGGGTGGATCACCTGAGGTCAGGAATTCAAGACCAGCATGGCCAACATGGCAAAACCCGTCTCTACTAAAAATACAAAAATTAGCCAGGTGTGGTGGCATGCACCTGTAATCCCAGCTAGTTGGGAGGCTGAGGCAGGAGAATTGCTTGAATCCAGGAGGTGGAGGTTGCGGTGAGCCGAGATCGTGCCACTGCACTCCAGCCCAAGTGACAGAGCAAGACTCTGTGTCATAAAAAAAAAAATCTGTTTTCGTTCACTTATTCATTCAAACCATTATTGAGCACCCATCATGTACTGTGAAGAAAACAAAGATGAAAGCAAAGACCCTACTCTAATGAGGGAGAGAAAACAAAGCTATAACAAAAGGCAGAATGTAAAAACACCACTAGGAAAGTATCGATTAAGTACAAAAGGATATCAATAAGAAAAAAAATTAATCTTTCATCTTCAAATAAAACATATAGTGATGATTTATAATGAAGGTGATAGTTGCATTTAGATAAATGGAAGAAATGAAGAAAGGAATGGGGTAGGAGAGACAAAGGGAGGGAGGAAAAGGAAGAGAAAGAGAGAGAAGGGAGAAAGGGAGGAAAAGGGCCAATGTGGTAGATTCATTTACAAAGACGAACACCAACAGTTCTTTCCATCCCTGAATTTGCATGGTACTTCTCCAAACAAAATGTAGAATCCATGTCCCTTCCCCATGAATCTAGGCTAGCTTTATGATTTGCTTTGACCAAGAAAATGTGGCTGAAGTGATGTTTTGGGATTTTTGAGCACAAGACTTGAGAGGCCCTATAGAGTCTGCCTTTGCACTCTTCGAATCCAGCCGCCATGCTCTAAGGAAGCTGAGCTCCCAGTGGAAGGCAACCTGCCCCAGTGGACACGGAGATCTCAGTCAAAACCATTAGGGAAGAGATGAGCCATCCCCACCAAGCTCTGCATAGATTCCACAATCATCAGCAAATAAATGACTGTTGTTGTTTAAAGCTTCTAAGTTTTGGGGTGGTTTGTTATACAGCTATAGATATATAAAACAGCCAATAAGCATTATTGACTGAGATGTAAAGAAAATTTGTAGTCCTCAGCTAAAAATGTAGAGTTCCCATGTAGACCACATTTTAAGATCCTTACCAAACAAGCCTCTCCTATATGATTCCCGGATACTGTTTCGGGGGAGGGCAGAGCCTTGAGTGTGGCTGCATCATCTGCCACATACTTACCATGTTACTGCAACAAGCTATTTTGGCATCCTGCATGTCAAAATACCAATCCACAAAAAGACAGCTGGGCACAGTGGCTCATGCCTATAATCCCAGCACTTTGGGAGGCCAAGGCAGACAGATCACCTGAGATCAGGAGTTCAAGACCAGCCTAGCCAACATGGTGAAACCCTGTCTCTACTAAAAATACAAAAATTAGCCAGGCATGATGGCAGACACCTGTAATCCCAGCTACTTGGGAGGCTGAGGCAAGACAGTCACTTAAACCTGGGAGGCGGAGGTGCAGTGAACCAAGATTGTGCCACTGCACTCCAGCCTGGGCAATAGAGCACGACTCTTTCTCAAAAAATAAAATAAAATAAAAATAAATAAACAAAATGGTATCATTCTACTCACGGATCTTCCAGGAAAGCTATTAATATAATGGGAAGTAACTGAAAAGCTCATAGACCATCTTAGAGTTATCAACCATTTTTGCTTCGGATAAATGGAGCTCTCCCCATCAGTGCCCACATGGTAAACTGCTTCCTGCCTAGCGAGCTGAGTATTGCCAAGCTTGAATGTTGCAATCACTTTCAGTTTTGGGGGTAAAATATGCTAAATGGTCATGAATCATTTCAAGTCATATCTCTCTAAGACCAGAAACTGGAACATAACAAGGAATTTGCCTATCATTGACTAATACATGAAAATTCATACATTTTGAGCTTAAAAGATTATCATCTTTGGAGTATATACATCAGTCACTCAATATATTCTAATTGTTCTATGACAGAAATGTGGCATGACAGCGATTTCACTTTTTCTATCATTCTAACAGTAAGCAGAATATTCCTGCCTGCTCCCATCCCCTACCAGCTGCAGGCCCACCCTATGGTATGGCTTCCTTGCCATTCTGCATATCCCTCCTGGAGTTTGAAGACAGGAAGTTTTGGGACAAATGCAGGCAAGGAGCTGCCCTCCGCTGGCCCATGTTAGAACTTCCCAAGAAGCTCTCAAGGTCTATGTGTATACTTGAATCAGTGGTTCCCCAACACCTGAAGGGTAAGAAGCACAAGAGTTTGTTAAAACAGATTCCTTGGCCCCACCACTGGAGGCTGTTATCAGTAAGTTTAAAATAGGGCCACAGAATATGTCATTTAAAAACAAGCTCCTCAAGTATTTTGTGCCATCTGGTTTTAAACCTTTATTAATATTAGACAAACTACCCTTTAATAGTGTTTTTCAAAACTTTTTTTAAACTAAAATTGACAGTAAGAAATATATGTTATATTGTGACCCAATATAGACAGATATATATATGTGTGTATATGGATATTTTAAATAAAGCTTCAAAAAACAACATTTAAGCTATGTACTGTGAGTACACAGTGTTAGCCACAGAACACGCAATGAACCCTCCATTTTTCTACTCTGTTATTCTATTGCTTTTTAAAAAATTCTGGCCATAACCTACTAGATCAATTATACCACCCAATAATGGGTCCTCCATAGCTTGAAAAATAGCTTCTATGTATGACAAAATTGAGGTTAAGGGAACAAAAACTGTATTCACACATGAGCTTCACAAATCTTTATGAGTTGCAGATTAACTATAAAAAAGACATATCACAACAAAGTAAAACCAAAGATAACAGAAGAAAATAATAAATAAAAGCACAGAGATTAATTAAAAAACAAAATAGAAATGGTCAACAAGGCTAAAAGTTGTTTGTTTAAAAACAGACTAATAAAATTCTGGTAAGATTAATCAAGAATTCAAGGAAAAAGGTGCAAATAAATACCTGAAAAGGGGAACATAACTCTAAATGCTGCATATATTTAAAAGATAAGATGGTATCAATGAATTTATGCCAGTACATTTGAAAACTCAGATAACATGGAAAAATTATTTTAAAATATACTTACCAAAAGCATCTCAAGGAGAAACAGCAACTCTGAGTAGCTCTATAACATTAAAGACACTGAATCAAAAGTTTAAAAATCTTCCTATAAAGAAAATTCCAGGCCCAGAAAATTTTCCAAGTTCTACCAAATATTCAAGAAATAATAATTCCAATTTTCCACAAATTATTCCAGAGTTCAGAAAAAAAAGAGGAAACACTTCAAAGCTCAGTTTAGGAGGCTAGCAAATGCTTCATACCAAAATCTTAGAACACTGGTTCTTGAAGTATGCTTCAGGCATCCCAGGCCCTTTCAAAGGGCTTATACTAGTTTAATACTGACATTTGCTTTATTCACTTCCATTTTCCAGAGGCTACATGACATATGACACTGCAACAGACTGAATGTAGAAGCCGATGGGATAATCCAACTGTGTTTTTTTAAGTTTTTCCAAAAATGATAAAATACATCAATTCACAGACTCAAGATGCTCAACTCAGAACAGAACATATATATATATAAAGAAAATGCTACCTAGATATATCAAAGCCAAACTGCTAAAAAGAAAGTTAAAGAAGAATATTAAAAGCAGCCAAAGGGGAGAAAAATCTATTCAAGGTATATCTTAAAACTAAATGTAAAAGGAAAAACTATAAAATATTTAGAACACAATAGAGAATATCAATGACATCTGGCAGAGAATGATTTCCAAAACACAAAAACCAGAAACCATTAAGAATTTTCCATCAAAAACACAATAAGGAAGTAAAAAGACAAGCTGCAAGCCTGAAGAATATATTTCCAGCACATATAAGCAACAGGGACTTGCAACCAGAATAAACTGTACGAAGCAATAAGAAAAAAACAAACAAAAAGAAAACAAAACAAACAAAAAACAGAAAACACACTTAAACAGGAATTTCACAGAAAAGGCAAAAAAGGCACATAAACATATAAAAAGATGTTTAGTCTCCTTAATGGTCATGGAAAGTAAGACCACAATGAGACCTATACCCAACAGCATAGGCAAATTAAGAGTCAAACACCACCAAGTATTGTTGGAGAAGATACGGAACCACAGGAACTGACTCCAGAGTCCCAAGTGGCCTCAGCAGAAGGAAGAGGGAGCTGACACTCACTATGTTAGTCTTAAGTATCATATTTTGCTTGCTACCTGTCATAGTTTGACTCCCCTCATACCCCCGACCCCGTGCAAAAAAAAAAAAAAAAAAAAAGAGAGAGACAGAGACAAAGACAGGAGTGCAAGTAGTCTACTTACTTGGGAGGTGATCTCAGAAAGCCACAGTGAGGGAGCAAGGAGACAGGCAACAGGGCAAAGCCAATAAAAAGTGTGTTCTTAGGCTGGTTACTGCAGTGGGCAACAGGGGCTCCTAAGGCTACCAGGAGCCTTCTGAAGACTCATTTAGAATACAGCTGGTCTCTAAGCAGGATGGGAGACTAGAGCATCTGTCTGCAACACCTATCCACTATTGGTTGAGGGTTGCCTGGTACTGTTATCAGCCCGAACCCTATATTCAACAGCCCTATAAAGGTCTAAATATTATACTTTCTTTGCTGTACAGCTATTCTGATAAAGATCTGCAGTTCCCTTGAGGAAGGATGGGAGAATGTCTGCCTATACGTGCAGGAATGTTGCAAGATCTTTCCCGAAAGAGATCCAGCCTCCCCTTCAATCCATGGGATATGGGTCTAAGAAATGGCTCATGTCTGAACACAAGGGGAGAGATAGTGATTTTTCTCCATTGTAGCAGCTGACATCAATCTTCCACGTGCCAGCTCTTAATTTTTTTTTTTTTTTTTTTTTACTGATTATACAAGTCAAGCAGCACCATGGTTAGCTGCCCAGCTTAGAAACACCATGTTCTATTCGCATCAGAGTGGGTCAAGATTCCCCAGTTGTGAGTCCAGCCTTGCTGCCCATTCTGGGCACTATGTCTACCTTGTCTCTGATGATTAACTGCCACCAACTGGCCTCCACTATCTCAGAATCCTATCATCCTCATTGATACTTGGGAACCTAGTTTCACAGTAACATCTCCTAAGGTCAATCTTGTCCTACAGAAGACAGCCAACACTGAGCTTCTCAAAGATGCAGGTCCCCTCACTGGGCATTCCACATTAGCAGAGTGAAAGGAATAGGCCCTCCCAGGAAAACAGGCAGGAGGTGCAGGTGATTCCTTCCTCAATACTCTGCCAAAATAGTTCTGATGCCTCCACCGCATTTATTGCAGTCCAAAGTGACTTAACCTTAGCACTATGACATTTTAGGCCAGATAACTCTTTTTTGTGGGGAGCTATTCTGTACATTGGAGGTGGCTGAATAGCATCCCTACTCAGTAGAAGCCAGAAGCAACCTCCAGCTGTAACAACTAAAAATATATCCAGACATTGCCAAATATCCCTTGGGGAGGCAAAATCAGCCCTGGTTGCAAACCACTGGTATGGGTCGTTGTGTCCAAGCTTCAAGGAGCCTGCCCAGCCGCATACCAAGACTGGCTCCAGCTGTCCTTGCTAGGTCACCAAATCCTGAATCATGAGAGAATGCTCACCTGTCAACAGGTTCTCTCCTCTCCAGCTTTATAGTCCACCAATACCCCCACCTTTGGTCCAACACCCTTAAGATTCTCCCCACCCCACCCCCAACCCACTGTGTTTCCTCAGTTTCTGCTGGTCCATATTAGCCAGGTCCTGCAACTCCTTAAGAACTGCTTTCCTGCTCAGGCAATGCTGAGATCTGAGGGGAGTGGAAGGCAGATCTTGAGGAGCACAAGAATCATATGGGAGGCATCTGCCTCAAGTGAGAGCTCTGCACAGTGTCCAGGCAAGAAGAAACTGCTGTCCTCTGCATCAGAGAGGTGCATACCTCTACTGGCCCAAGGGATCTGAGGAAATCTGGGAATTCAAAGTTCTCGGTGCCTCCACCCAAATATCTCCATCCAGGTCTCAGGGTCTCACATCTTGCTACCATTGCCCTGACTTTAGCAGAGGCAACCTGTCAAGGCTGTGCATTCAGCTTCCTTTGCAATTCTGCCACATGTATAATTAAATTCTGGGCCCGACCTTCAACAGAGCCCACCCTCCAGCTGCAGGAGATGCGGCCATAGAGCCTTCTGTCTTTCACAATGAACCCTGAGTTCATGTCTGGCTGATCTGGGCATGGCATTCTCTTACCCCAAGGCTTCTAAGGAAAATAACAAGAGCCAGTCAACTCCACTCTCCTTATCATTACCATTGTCCATACACTGCTCAAGTGCTAGAGCTACCATACTAGCCAATGCTTTTCCTTCCACCTGAGTCTCATCCTAAACCACTCGTGGTGACAGTCTTACTACAACTGTGATGTTAGAGAGTACCAGGGGTTACCAACACCTCAATTAATACTAGCAAAGAGGTCCTTGTTGCCAACTGAGGGTGAGTGATTCCATTTTCACAATACTATCTCACAGCCTGCTTTCTAGAGCCACTTCTAGTACCAACGACCTTGGTTTGTGCTCTGCCAAACTAAGAGAAAACAACTTGGGTGCAAGTAGCTTGCAAAAGGTGAATCCAGAAAGCCAGAGTGTGGAAGTAAGGAGAGGAGTCAGAAGGGTGCACACTTGAGCTGCTTACCAGACTGAGCTAGGCCACAATACCCAGTCCTTCTAGGATCCCTCTGGAGAAGCACGGAGAACACACTTCAGAGCTGTCCCTTTGGAGGGAAGCCACATCATTCAACAACCAAAGCCCACCCCGCACTGGCTGAGGGATGCCCTCAGACACGTAAACTCCTCCATGCTTGTGAAGTGTGTCGACACAAGCTAAGCGAACTCCCACACATCTGTATCAAACTCTGAGGAATAAAAGCAAGCACTTGAGGTGGAATAAACAATAGAAGAAATGAGAGGGAAAGAATGAGAAAAGAAAGGGGAAAAGCCCCTTACTAAGCAGTGCTTTACAGAGAGAGGATCTTCCCTGTGAGCACCCACATCACCTTTCATACACTGCATTCTAGCACTTGCCACATTTTATGAATTGGTTAAGTATTTGCAAGTCTGTCTCCTCTACTGGTTGTGATTTTTCCTGTAATCAGTTGTTCATCTCTGCTCAGTATTCCTAGCATCTAATACCAAATCCAGAGCATATATTTAAGCCAGACGCAGTGGCTCACACCTGTAATCCCAGCACTTTGGGAGGCTGAGGCGGAAGAATCACTTGAGTTCAGCAGTTTGAGACCAGCCTGGGCAACATAGCGAGACCCTGTCTCTACTAAAAAATATAAAAATTAAGCCAGGCACAGTGGCTCACACCTGTAATCCCAGCACTTTGGGAGGTGGAGGCGGGCGAATCACAAGATCAGGAGATCGAGACCATCCTGGCTAACACAGTGAAACCCCATCTCTACTAAAAACACAAAAAATTAGCCAGGCATGGTGGTGGGTGCCTGTAGTCCCAGCTACTCAGGAGGCTGAGGCAGGAGAATGGCATGAACCTGGGAGGCGGAGCTTGCAGTGAACCGAGATCGCGCCACTGCAGTCTAGCCTGGATGAAAGTGCGAGACTCCGTCTCAAAAACGAACAAACAAACAAAAAAAAACCCAAAAATTAGCCAGGTGTGGTGGTGCACGACTACACTCCCAGCTACTTGGGAGGCTGAGGTGGGAGGGTTTCTTGAACCCGGGAGGTTGAGGCTGCAGTGAGCCATGACTGCGTCACTGTACTCCAGTCTGGGCGACAATGGAGACCCTGTCTCCAAGGAGAAAAAAGAAAATAGAACATATTTAATATAAACATAAATATTTGTTGAACGAACAAATGTCTGTATCCTTCCCAGTTCCATAGGTGCACACGGTTTAGCATCCAAGTTTTGAGTTATTATATGTGACGGCCTCTGACTATTATCTTTCCTAAATAGGAAGGAATTTCCAAAGGAGGAGGGGGAATGGCTAGATATTTCCATAGACTCTGAATTTTCTGTACCCACCCCTGAACACCCTCCTCTCCCACCACCCACCATATGCAAACACATCCAAAGAGCACCATTACTTTCCCCACCCCTGCTTTTTTTTTTTTTTTTTTGAGACAGAATCTCTCTCTGTTGCCCAGGCTGGAGTGCAGTGGTGTCATCTCGGCTCACTGCAACCTCTGCCTCCTGGGTTCAAGCGATTCTCGTGCCTCAGCCTCCCAAGTCACTGGGATTACAGGCGCCCACCACCATCCCCGGCTAATTTTTTGTATTTTTTAGTAGAGACGGAGTTTTGCCAAGTTGGCCAGGCTCGTCTTGAACTCCTGACCTCAGGTAATCCACCTACCTCAGCCTCCCAAAGTGCTGAGATTACAGGATTGAGCCACCGTGCCCAGGCTGCACCCCTGCCTTTATAAACCTGTGCTATACTGGACCCCTTTTGTAAAACTGCCAGCCTAGACTGAAGTGACAGTGCTCCCGACTCAGGACACTCCAACCTCACCCCTGTAACACACAGAACCAATCCTCCCAAAACAGTTTTCACATGCCAAAGCACAGAGAGATGGAGTATCTCCAAACCATCATCCGAGGAAACAAGTCATAATCTCTCTGTCCAGTGAGACTGCTCCCTACCACCAAGAAGTTAAAATCCCCGGAAGATGACAGACTGAAAGGAATCTTCTACTAATGAAGGTTTATTCCATACAATACCATAACCTGGATCAAAACAAGAATTTCAGCCCTACAAACTTTATCACCTTGAAACACATCAAACCTGCCCCTGCAAAACACTGGAATCATCTGGCTAGCTGTCAAGCACTGAGTCACTGGAAAAGTCTTTTAACCCCAACCTATTGTGAGGATGAGATGCATTTTCTGTTCCTGGAATTATTTATTCCTAAAATTTGCCTGAATAATCTTTCCTTGGTGCTTCAGGTTATAGCCAATCCACTTAGTCCAATGTTTTCAGTCACAGTCTCTTGTCGTTTCAACCTTTTTATTTTTATTTTATTTATTTATTTATTTATTTATTTATTTATTTATTTTTTGAGATGGAGTCTTGCTCTGTCACTCAGGCTGGAGTGCAGTGGCACAATCTCAACTCACTACAACCTCAGCCTCCCAAGTAGCTGGGATTACAAGCGTGTGCTACCACACCCAGCTAATTTTTTTGTATTTTTAGTAGAGACAAGTTTTCATCATGTTGGCCAGCTGGTCTTGAACTCCTGGCCTCAAGTGATCCACCCACCTCGGCCTCCCAAAGTGTTGGGATTACAGGCGTGAGCCACCGCGCCTGGCCTCTTCTTAACCTTTTTAGAAAGGGCCTTACAGCTGAACTCCTGGGGCCACTGCCACACTGGATCTTAACCCAACCATTCCGAAAAACAGAGGAACCAAATATAAGCAAAAGCAAAAAAAGCCACAATTCATTGCCTTACTTGATAGGATTCTTTATAATTAAAGTTATGTTATGGCTAAATGCCCCTAAAAATTATTTTCAATTAAAAACAATGCCCTTTTAATCATGGGAATTATACCATAAGACAATGTGTGTCATTACATAATTAATATGTAAATCTTACTAAGCACTTACTACATGCCAGGGTCTGTTTTAAGCACTTTATAGTGTTAACTTATTTAATCTTCATAACAGCACTATAAGCCAAGCTATTATTACCCTCATTTTACAGATGGGGATAGTACAACAGAAAGTTTAAGTACCTGGCCCAATATTACACAACTGGAAATGCCAAAGCTAGGATTCACAGCATGGCAGTCTGGCCCCAAAACTGATTATCCATTCATACCCTCACATGCAACCAGGAAGTCGGGGAAAGTGAATGATGGAAACTGAATCATCTATTTTATTACAGTGAATAGCCTTTGAGTTCTGAAAGTTACAAACTAAGTCCAGTTAAAGTACATAGAGCACTTACCTGACTTACAAGAAGTTAAGACTTACAAGAATTTAAATGTACATATTTCAAGACCATATCTTCACATAAATAAGTCAAGAACCTTTCTAGATTAGCATTGCCCAATCAGTAACACCAAGCAATTCTTTGATTCTCAAAATTGTGTGTTTAGATCTGGTTCCCACCGAATGTAACAAAGCCCCAAACACCTCTGGACTTCAAGTTGAAGCCCAGAGCCAGTGTGCTTCTGGCCACCTAGTCCCGAGACTAACATGCCCCTGGCCCCGGCCCGACACACCCCCGGGCCACCTAGTCCCTGGCCTAACATGCCACCAGCAATCTAGTCCGCAGTCTAACATACTCCTGCCCCGTCCTGACAGGCCCCCGGCCACCCAGTCCCCTGCCTAACACGCCCCCAGCCACCTAGTGCCTGGCCCAACATGACCCCGGCCACCCAGTCCCCGGCCTAACACGCCCCCGGCCATCTAGTTCCCGGTCACCCAGTCCCCGGCCTAACACGCCCCCGACCACCCAGTCCCCGGCATAACATGCCCCTGGCCCCTTCCCTACCTCGTCCCACGGCTTCTGGCACCGCAAGGGATGCCGCAGGCCACCACCGGACCCTGAGGCGCAGGACATCCCCCTGGGAGGAATCAGATCCCTGTGGCTGGCGGGAAGGTGGCAGCAGGAAGGGAGGGGTCACGGCGGAGGGCGGAGGGCGGGTCGCAGGAGGAAAGGAAGGAGCGGACTGGGGGCGAAGGTTGGCTAGGAGAACAGGTGGGTACCAAGATGCTGAAAGCGCGGCCGCCGCCGGAGGAGAAGGAGAAGCAGGAGTGGAAATCGGAGCGCTCCAAAAGCGGGCAGTCATTGTCACAGCCCCGGCGGGGCTGGGGGTGGCCTCTCGCAGCCCACGGGCCTCCACGGAGCCTCCGCGCGGCCGCGCTCCCTCGGCCCTTGTCCCGACCCAGCAGCGGCCCCCGGAGGCCCGAGCCCTCGCTTCAGCGCCCGCCCGGCCGCCGCCCTGGAGAGCCGCGCTTACCTCGGCCACGGCTGCCTCCCGCTCGGCCCCGAGCTTGGTCACCGGCTCATGCCGCGGGGCGCGGGCCACCTCCGCCCAGGTCGGATCGGTCCGAATCGCCAGCCGCCACTGCCAGGGCCGAGTCTGGGCTGGCGAGCAGCGAGCGAGGGGCCGGTAACCGGGATCCGGGCCGTCTGACACCGAGCGCACTGCGCATGCGGGAGCTGCCGGGCCGCGCCTCCTGCTGGACAGGAGGAGTCCGAGCACCGCTGCAGTGTTTTCCCAGGCAGGCGCGCTCAGGCTCCGCAGTGAAATGCTCAGACAGCCTCATTCATAATTAAAGAATCCTTAAACCCAAACGAGACACCACGCGTTGCTTATAAAACTAACAAATATGTAGACGTTTTATTATAATCAGTTCTGGTGAGCGTATAACATTCCTGGAGGGCAATTTGGTACTATCCATCAAACGGAAAATGCTGGTACCCTTCATTCCAACAAGCTCTCTGTACGGAGTTTGCCCTATGGATATTCTCAACAATGTTTGTCAAAAAGTTCCATGACAGCATTCTTTCTAATCATAGCGAAATGCTAGACACAATCGAAATAAATTATGGAATTTGATTGATTTGAGTAATGTGAGATAGTGCAATATATTTGGGTAAGGAAATATCTCCAAGATATTAGTTAAGATCAAAGCGTAGTCCAAAACAGCGGGCAAGTCACTTTTAGGTAAACTATGCATATGCAAAAACAAGAGGGAGAAATATATAAAGTAGGTGCTTATATTCAGGCATGTGTATAACTTTTTTCTGGAAGGAATGCAAGAAGAAATGAACAGCTTCAGGTGGAGTAGTTGTCGAGGCGGAAATGGAAGCATTTATGGCGAGGAAAGGTGGCTCACGCCTGTAATTCCAGCATTTGGGGAGGCCTAAACGAGAGGATCGCTTGAGCCCAAGAGTTTGAGACCAGCCTGGGCAGCAGAGCAAGACCCCATCTCTACAAAAAATAAAAAGTTAACTAGGCATCGTAGCACACGCTTGTAGTCCCAACTACTTAGGAGGCAGAGGCAGGAAGATTGCTTGAGCCCAGGAGGTCAAGGCTGCAGTGGGCCGTGGTCGTGCCACTGCACTCCAGCCTGGGTGATAGAGCAAGACCCTGTCTCCAAAAAAAAAAAAAAAAAACGCATTTTTGTTTTGTATCTTTCTCTATTATTTACATGATTTAGCCCTATCCATGCACACTAAAACCGCTGTCATAAAGCAGTAAGTGGAAACTAAAAAATTAAATTAAAATTCAGAGCGATGTTATTGAGAGGTTAATGAAATGACCCCTGGGCCTGCGATGTTGGTTTGGTAGAGTTGTGGGTCTGGCTACAGGATCCAAATCCCTTCTGGTCCCAGATGTACTTTGGCGCCATCTGGTGGAAGTTGTCACTGATAGCTTAAATATTCAAAGTGATGATTCTGAGACTAGATACCTACAGAGGCTTCCGGCAGCAACCTCGATTCCAGGGATATTTTTGTGAGTTAATGCCTGCTTGTCACAGATCTAGGGAGATTGGGATGAGGACATTCTGGGGATGGGACACTCATGTTCTGCTTCCCCACATCCAAGGGGGCATTGCTCTGCTTTCCAAATCAAATCCCCCCTGCAAATGATACAAAATGTAGCACACACCCACCCCATTTGAGAACTGGATGGGTGGAGAGCAGTGACAATCACCACTGGAACTGTATCCAAATTTATCTTATCCCAGGGAATATTGTTTTCACTTTTTGAAATAAGTCAACAATAGCTATCTGGTCTGGAAGATTGTGGCCTCTTTTTTTCTTCTCCATATTTATCTGTATTTTAAACATGTATGTTTTTAATTAATCCTTTGTTCTTTTATAAAATGAGAATTTGCCGTGTTAAAGAACTGTGTGAGGCACAGCCTCACACAATGCTGCCTATCTTCTTCATTTTTTATAACCTTAAACTTGCCTAATGCCTGGCATATAGTTAATTGCTCAATAAATAGTTGTTGAATGGAGAAAGGATGCCTAGACACTGGGAGGAGCTAACTAGAAATAAGACAATAAGATTATTCAAAGGAGAAGGTAAAAAGTGGCATAGAAGCATATAAACAAAATGCTACAGAATTCAAAAAAAAAAAAGAGGTGACATCCAGTTGGAAAAATCTAGGAAGAGTTCAATCAACAGTTGATATCTTTGTTTATCCTGGAGGACACTTAGTATTTTGACAAGCAGAGAGGTGAAAAGGGCATTCAAGGCAGAGAAAGAAAGTCATGAGCATGTGTTAAAGAAGGAAAAGCAGCTGGGCAGAATGGCTCACATCTGTAACCCCAGCACTTTGGGAGGCCGAGGCAGGAGGATCACTTGAGACCACAAGTTCAATACCAGCCTAGGCAAAAAAGTGAGACCCCCATCTCTGCAAAAAAAAAGAGTAATAAATAAAAATAAAGAAGGAAAAGCAATCAGAAAGAGCAAGTGTTTTTCAATCCAGTGTGGCTACATTTCTAGGCATAGAAACCATGCAAGTGAGGGAGGTGGGAAAATATAGAAGATGTGAAATTAGAAGCTACATGATGCGAAAGTATCCAAGGATGACTTCAGGGAGGAGTGGGAAATAAATTATAAGCCAGGACCTGAAGTTTCTGAGAAGGCAGAAAAGCGTCTTAGTAGCTGGTGGTTGAAGGAGGAGAGGTTGTAGAAAGATACTGCTTTACTGAATTTGAAGTTACAGGGCAAAGCAAAGATTACACAGATACCCCCTTACCCAGTGAGTCAGGAAATATGAAAGTCAGGATTAGAAAGGGAATGGCTTTCGTGGAAAATAGTGTCATCAGGGGAAAGTGAGTTTCCAATTAGGAGAAAGAGCTGGTGTAGGGTTGAATCCCATATTTAGCACTTCCTCTAAATACAGTTGATTCTTGAACAACACAGGTTTAAACTTTGCAGATCCACTGCTGTGCAGATTTTTTTTCAACAAAAGTTACACCAAGTGTGCCTGCCTCTCCAGCTTCTCTTTCCACCTCTGCTACCTATTCTGCCTCTGCCACTCCTGAGACAGTGAGACCAACCCCCCTTCCTTCTCCTCCTTGGCCTACACAACATGAAGATGAGGAGGATGAAGATCGTTATGACTTCCACTTAATGAATAGTAAATATATTTTTCTTCCTCCTGACTTTCTTAATAACATTTTCTTTTCTCTTGCTTACTTTATTGTAAGAATACAGTATTTAATATATATAACATATAAAATATGTTTAATAGACTATTTACATTATCAGTAAGGTGTCCAGTCAACAGAAGGCTATTAGTAGTTAAGTTTTGGGGGAGTCAAAAGTTATACATCATTTTTCAACTGCTTAGGGGATTGGCACCCCAACCCCCACATTATTCAAGAGTCTACTGTAACAGAGATATCCAAGAATGGAAAAAGGCATATTCTCTAAAGAAAAGGGCTCCATAATATAATTGATCTGTGGGACCTTAGGTTGGCTCAGCTTAAAACAGCACTGGCAGGCAGCATGGTAGGCTAAAAAACACCTAACCAGGTGAAATATAAGGAATACCTTCTCAAGTGAATAGCTGAGCTTACGCACAAAAAAAAGGAAGGAAAACATCCAAAGTCAAAAATGAAGCTTAAATAATAGAAATGACATTGAAGCTACAACTATCTTGGGCATACAAGGCAGGAAGCTGATACAAAGAAACCCATAAAGCTAGGATCTTAAAGAATTACACCCAACAGGGAATACTGGAAAAAATTTGCTCAACATCCACCAAAGAAACTTACCTGTCTTGTCCAGGGAATGGAAAAAGAAGAGAGTCTCACTGATGATCTTTAACACGCATATCTTAGTCAGTTCGGGCTGCTATAACAAAAATACCACAGACTGGGTGGCTTAAACAACAGGAATTTATTTCTCCCAGCTCTAGAGGCTAGGAAGTCCAAGATCAAGGTGCTGGCCAATTTGGTTCCTGATGAGGGCTCTTTTTCTGGTTTGCAGAGGGTTACCTTCTTGCTATATTCTCATATGGTGGAGAAAAAGACCTTTCTGTGTCTCTTCTTGTCAGGGCACTAATCCTACTCATGAGGATTCCACCCTCAAGACCTAATTACATCCCAAAGGCCCCACCTCCAATAATCATCACACTGGGGATTAGGACTTCAACATATGAAGGAGGTGTGGGAGGGGATGAACATTCAGTTCATAGCAATCAAGCTTTATGACCATCTGGGGTTTGAATTTATACCACCAGCATGGTCTAGGAAGCTCCAAGCCAGGATAGTAACATACAGTATTCCCAGGTTGGTAGCACCCAAAGACATCCAACAGAAGGAAACATAAATCCCCTCTGGAGACCCACATCCTCAACACAAGCTACCTAGGATTCTGACAAATAAAACCCTGACAAATGTAAACTCACAATGCAGAACTATAAAGCATATGAGAAAACAAACCACCAGAAATCACAAACAGCAGAAATTTAACCCCCAAGAACTACATATAATTGAATTATGATACATAAATATAAAACAAGTATGTTTATACCACTCAAAGACTTAAAATGAAATGTAAAACATTACAAAGAAATAAGATGTTATATTTTTAAAAGACCAAGGAGACTGAAAATGTACTAAATATAAACATTGAAATTGAAAAGTCAATGCATAAGTTAAATAGTAGGTTAGAAACAACAACGATCGATCTGAAAGACAGGAAACGAATTAAATATAGGAAAGAGAAGTTAAGAGAGGGAGAGGAGAGATGAAGAAAATGGCACATATCTAAAAGGAGGGAATAGAGAAAAGGAGGTGAAGGTAATATCCAAGGAGATGATAGCTAAGAATTTTCCAAAATTGAGCAGAGATGATCACCTGCAATGAACTAACAATGAGACTAATAGCAGACTTCTCAACAACAAAAACCTAAAGCCAAAAAATCATAGTAAAAAGGCTGAGAGGGCAATAGTTAATGATGTATAATTGTATGCCCAATAACACCATCTTTGAAGAATAACAGGGAAGTAAAGATATCTTAGACAAATACAAATAGAAAGAGATTACCATCAGTAGATCCTTCCTAAAGGAACTTCTTAAGAATGTTAGGAAGGAAAACATTAAAACCAAAAGGAAGTACTGCAATGAAGTAGGGCTGGGAAACAATGAAACTGATAAACCTGTGGGTAAATCAAAACAAACACTGACTGTATAAAACTAGAAAAATAATTTAGAAATTTAAAAACTAGGGCCGGGCATGGTGGCTCATGCCTATGTAATCCCAGCACTTTGGGCAGCTGAGGCAGGTGGATCACTTGAGGTCAGGAGTTTGAGACCAGCCTAGCCAACATGGTGAAACCCTGTCTCTACTAAAAATACAAAAATTAGCCAGGCATGGTGGCGCACGCCTGTAATCCCAGCTACTCAGGAGGCTGAGGCAGGAAAATAGCTTGAACCCTGGAAGTGGAAGTTGCAGTGAGCCAAGATCGCACCATTACACTCCAGCCTGGGCAACAGGGCAAGACTCCATTTCAAAAAAAAAAAACAAACTAGGTGTAGCTAATACACCAGTCAACAATATCAAATGAGACCAAAGTAAAGGAGTAAGAGCTCAATGTTCTGAGGTCATTTCATGTTCAGGTAGAGGATAAAGAAGGTAAAATTTAGACTTTGTTAACTATGAATGTTGATAATTTAAAGGCATCTGACAAAGGACTCATTTCCAGGCTATATAAAGAACTCCTACACTTCAATTAGAAAAAGACAATTTTTTAAATGAACAAAATTCTTAAACACCACACAAAAGAATACACATAAAAGGGCAACACACACATGAAAACCTGTTCAATATCATTAGCAGCAGGAAATGCAAACCACATGGAATAGAGATACCTCCAATGAGGATATGCAAATGGCCAACAAGTATGAAAAGATGCTAAACATCACTAACTATCAGAGAAATGCAAATCAAAACCACAATGAGATACTGTCTCATATCTATTAGGATAGCTATCAAAAAAAAATATAAGGCCAGTGAGGTAATTCCAGCAGTTTGGGAGGCTGAGGTGGGCAAATCACTTGAGGTCAACAGTTCAAGACTAGCCTAGCCAACATGGTGAAACCTCATCTCTACTAAAATACAAAAATTAGCCAGGTATGGTGATGCGTGCCTGTAATCCCAGCTACTTGGGAGGCTGAGGCTGGAGAATCTCTTGAGCCTGGGATGCAGAGGTTGCGGTGAGCCAAGATCATGCCACTGCACTCCAGCCTGGGCAACAGAGCAAGACCCCATCTTAAAACAACAACAACAACAACAACAACAACAAACAGAAACATGTGCTAGTGAGAACATGGAGAAACTGGAACCCCTGTGCACTGTTGGCAGGACTGTAAAATAGTGCAACTGCAATGGAAAACAGTATGATGGTTCCTTAAAGAATTAAGAATAGAATGACCATATGACCCGACGATTCCAGTTCTGGATATATACCCAAAAGCATTGAAAGCAGGGTCTTCAAGAGATAGCTACACACCCATGTTCATAGCAGTATATGAGTTAAAGAAAGAGGAAAGAAACATGAAAAGTGGCTCAATAGTCAAAGACAGGTTTATTTTGAAGAATAAACCTGAGAGGGGCTTCTGGCTGATTTCGGTCAGGAGCATGTTCTCTCACAGACTAAGATTATTTAAGGGTTCAGGGAGAGACAGCTTATGACAGGCTTGGAATGTTTCTGTGTAAGGGAGAAGTTTATGGCGGGGTTGGAATGTCTCTGGTCAGAGGGGAGGTGACCTTGGGGCTGACATCTCTCCTGCTGGAGAGGAGGTTATCTCGGGGCTGGCATGTCTCTAGAAAGGGAGGGGTTTGGAATGTTTCTGGTCAGAAATGCAATTTGTAGTTTATGGTCATGCTGATCTTAGCCATTAGAGAGACACATTTTGGATTTGGGCAGTTTTTGATCAATGTGAACGTTAAAATGACTGTGCTTGTCCAAGATGGCGATGCTCCTGCTCTGTCAGCAGCACTATTCACAAAAGCCAAAAGGAGATAGCAACGTAATGACCATGGATAGGTGAATGATAAACAAAATATGGTATAGACATATAATGGAATATTATTCAGCCTTAACAAGGAAAGATAGCCTATCAAATGCTATGATATGAATGAGCCATAAGGACATTATGTGAAGTGAAATAAGCTATTCACAGAAGGACCAATATTGTGTGACTCCACTTACAGGAGGTTTAGTCATATTCATAGAAACAAAAGGTAGAATAGTGGTTACCAAGAGCTGAGAGGAAGCGTGCAGGAAGAGTGGTTTAACTGGTGTAGAGATTCAGTTTTGCAGGACGAAAAACTCCTGGAGATCTGTTTAACCACAATGGGAACGTACTTAACATTACTGAAGCGTACACTTAAAAATGGTTAAAATGGTAAATGTTACATGGTTTTTGTACCAGAACAGAAGAAAATGTAGACTACAATGAGATGCTTCCTTTTTCTTTTCTTTTTTTTTTTTTTAGACAGAGACTTGCTCTGTCACCCAGGCTGGAATGCAGTGGCGCAATCCCGGTTCACTGCAACCTCCGCCTCCTGGGTTCAAGTGATTCTCCTGCCTCAGCCTCCTGAGTAGCTGGGATTACAGGTGCCTGCCACCACACCCAGCTAATTTTTGTAATTTTAATAGAGATGGGGTTTCACCATGTTGGCCAGGCTGGTCTCGAGCTCCTGACCTCAGGTGATCCACTCACCACAGCCTCCCAAAGTGCTGGGATTACAGACATGAGCCACCATGCCCAGCCTACAATGAGATACTTCTACATACCTTTTTTACCTGATAATACCTAAAAGTTGGCAAGGATGAGGAGCTAATAGAATTTTTATACACTTCTATACATCGGTAGAATCATATTAGGAAACTGGCAGTATTTACTAAAGCTGAGCTTACCCCATTATCTAGCAGGTACATAGTGAAAGGAAATGTGTATGTATGTGTCCCAAAAAGTCATATTCAAGAATGTTCACAGCAGCATTATTCATAATAGTGAAAAGCTATACACCATGGAAATTCTACTTAAAAACATAACCAGGACAGCAATATCTGCCTTGTGATGAAGTCAGGATTAAATGAGAGTGCAAAAGGAAAGCCCACATAGTCATTTACAGTAAGAAAGACCCCCTCTCCCCACCACATACACTGAAAACAAGTAACAATGCTGAAACACAATGTTCAGGCCAGGCGTGATGGCTCAGCCTGTACTCCCAGCACTTTGGTAAGCCGAGGCAAGGGGATCATCTGAGGTCAGCAGTTCATGACCAGCCTGGCCAACATGGTGAAACCCTGTCTCTACTAAAAATAAAAAAATAAAAAAAATAGTGGATCATGAGGTCAGGAGATCAAGACCATCATGGCTAACATGGTGAAACCCCATCTCTACTAAAAAAAAATACAAAATATTAGCCAGGTGTGGTGGCAGGAGCCTGTAGTCCCAGCTACTCGGGGGGCTGAGGCAGGAGAATGGCATGAACCTGGGAGGTGGAGCTTGCAGTGAGCCAAGATCCCGCCACAGCACTCCAGCCTGGGCGACAGAGAGAGACTCTGTCTGAAAAAAAAAAAAATTAGCCGGATGTGGTGGCGGGCACCTGTAGTCCCAGCTACTTGGGAGGCTGAGGATGGAGACTCACTTGAACCCAGGAGACGGAGGTTGCAGTAAGCCAGGATTACACCATTGCACTCCAGCCTGAACAGCAAGAGCAAAACTCCATCTCAAAAAACAAAACAAAACAAAACACAATTTTCATGAGCACATGCATTAGCTGGAACAAAACAAAGGAATGATCAGGCATGGGACTGAGTGACAACTATGATGCTGGCTTTCATCTTGAGGCATTTGCCAAAACAATGATCTCGAGCTTCTATTTTCCCAATCTCCTGGAGGCTGACCAGAGATGAGAAATCTAATAGGAAATTCTTCTCCAATAAAGCCAGGACTCCAAAAAGCTAACTCCACAAAATAAGGCTAAACCAGATTCACATCCTTTCCTCCCTCTTCAGAAGACTGCAAGGAAAGCTGTCTCAAACCTTGGTGTTAAAGGAGGGAAGTTAACCTGAGAAGTTGTAACCAAAAGCTGGCTCTTGCCAGACTAGATTTCCAGGCCAAATTCACAGCAGCTGATGGCAACAACAACAACAAAAAAATCTAAATATTTAGTTTGAAGACTGGCATTGCCTCTAGTTGCCTGGAAGAAATAAACACACAAAAACTCTCTTGAGGAATCTGTCTTTATCTAAGACTTCAAAGAATTCCAACAAATAAATTTCCCCCAAAAATGTACAGCTCACCATAAAAAATCACTAAACTCACAAAGAATCAAGGCATGAGACAGAATAGCAGAAACAAACCAGCAAAGATTTCAGACACTGGAATACTGGAAATAGATACATACAATAATACATACATAGAAAGATGCATAGAGGTATATAAAAATAATTGGCCGGGTATCGTGGTTCCCGCCTGTAATCCCAGCACTTTCGGAGTCTGAGGCAAGTGGACCACTTAAGGCCAGGAGTTTGAGACCAGCCTGGCCAACATGGCAAAACCTCATCTCTACTAAAAATGCCAAAAATTAGCCAGGTGTGGTGGTGCACACCTGTAATCCTACCTACTTTAGAGGCTGAGGCAGGAGAATCGCTTGAACCTGGGAGACAGAGGTTGTACTGAGCTGAGATCATGCCACTGCACTTCACCATTCCAGCCTGGGCAACAGAGTGAGACTCTGTCTCAAAAAATAAACTTATTATTATTATTATGCTTATTACATCTTAAAAAATGAAAAACAAACTTGAGGTATAAAGAATAACTTTTAGAACTTCTACTAATAAAAATATATTTGCTTAAATTTAAAACTCAAATAGATTAAAGCAGATTACATCCAGCTAAAGAAAGAATTATTAAACTGAAAAATAGACCAAAACAAATTACCCTGAATGTAGCACAGAAAGATGAGAAAGAAAATATGAAAAAGAGATTAGGAGACATGAAGACAGAGCAAGTTGATCTATATCATACATTTAATAGGAATTCCAGAGGGAGAGAAGAGGGAGAATGAGGCAGAAGAAATATTTGATGAGAACTTTCCAGAGCTGCTGAAAGAATCCACAGATGCAAGAATCCCAATACCCAAAATAAGATCAGTAAAAAGAAACCATCGAGATATATAATAGTAACACTGTATAACATCAATGATCAGAGTATGTCTTAAAGGCATTGAGACAGAGGAAACAGATCACCTTTGAAGAAGCCACAGACTGACAGCTGACTACTTGACAGGGACAATGGAAGTCAGAAAATAACTATTAACCTGTAATCCTACACCCAGTGAAATTCTTTCAAAAATAGAGCAGGCCAGGTGAGGTAGCTCATGCCCATAATCCCAGCACTTTGGGAGGCCAAGTCAGGTGGATCACTTGAGGTCAGGAGTTTGAGACCAGCCTGGCCAACATGGTGAAACCCTGTCTCTACTAAAAATGCAAATTAGCTAGGTGTGGTGGCGCATGCCTGTAATTCCAGCTACTTGGGAGGCTGAGGCACGAGAATCACTTGAACATGCGAGGCGGAGGTTGCAGTGAACAAAGATCACACCATTGCACTCCAGCCTGAGCAACAGAGTGAGACTCTGTCTCAAATAAATTAAAATAAAATAAAATAAATACAGCAAAATACAGACAAGCAGAAACTGAGGGTTTATCATCAGCAGACCCTCACCAAAGGACACTGAAGTGCTACACTCCAGGCAAAAGAAAAGTGATCTCAGAAAGAAGTCTTGGGCCAGGTGTGGTGGCTCACGCCTGTAATTCCAACACTTCAGGAGGCCAAGGCGGGCGGATCACCTGAGGTCAGGAGTTCGAGACCAGCCTGGCCAACATGGCAAAATCCCATCTCTACTAAAAATACAAAAATCAGCTGGGCATGGTGGCGGGCACCTGTAATCCCAGCTACTCGGGAGGCAGAGGCAGGAGAATCACTTGAACCCAGGAGGTGGAGGTTGCAGTGAGCCGAGATTGCGCCACTGCTCCAGCCTGCGCGACAAAGTGAGACTCCATCTCAAAAAAAAACAGAGAAAGAAGGAAAGCATCGGCTTCCAAGCAGGAGTGTCAGCACCTGGGAAGGCTCCTCAGCACACAGCTTTAGATCTGACACACCTGGTCAGATCTAGAAGCTCATTTAGCCTCTGAATTAACGCACCCCTGAAAATGGGGTAGGCGGCCCTCATCTGCATCCTTACAATAGAAAAGCCAGCCTTGGTTAGCTTGGCCTCATAGCAGCCTCAGTTCAGGGTTCCAGCCCCAAATCTTCCCCCAACAACCATCACTAGGTCACTCTGCTTTGGGGACATCAGTGAAGGCAGCTCTTTCAAAGGGAGAGGGAGAAGGAGCTTCCTGGAGATTGAGGGACCAGTTCAGCTCCCATAAAGATGCCTCTCCTGACTTCCACCATAGAGTCCTGTTCACCTTGTCCCAATCAGAAGACGGTCCCACAATCTCAGTGTGCTGTTGAGCCCAACTGTCTTAAGTGTGGGGAGAACAATGTGTACAAACAACATTCATTCCATTCTCCTCGGAGTTTGGAAGTTATCACTTTTTTTTATTTTTCTACAAACTCTCCTGTATGTGCTGTTCCTTTGACTCGTTTCCTTGGTGACAAAGAAAGAGGAATGACGGTGATATCAGAAAGAAGGTACAAGTTGTTTGTTTTCTTTTCACATCCTCAGGGGGGCTGAGGCTCTGGTTAGAAGCAGTCACGACTCCTCCATTCTAAATAACTCACAATGGAGACATATGGACTCTCCTAGTTTTGTTTAATAGGAGAGAGGGAGGGCCCAGGCTGAACCACAGCTTAAGGAGTTTCCCACTGCTACAGCGAAAGACAAGAAACAGTTCTTCAGGCACAAAGCCAAGTTAGATACCTTCCTGGCAAATGGCACATCCACAGTCAGTCTTCTGCAGCCCCAGAACGCCCCAGGTCCACAGTGGCTGCTGGGCCCTCTGGCCACGAGACAATGACCAGCTCACCTGCGTTGGTCACTTGGCTCCTGGCTCTGAGAGGGACGGGGGTCTTCTGCCACTTGGGATTTGCCTGCAAGCACCTGCTGGACCCTCTGCATCCCTGGGAAGGGGAAGTGAGGGGCCAGTTGGCACTGATGGCCACGTGGGTGGGGACAAACAAGCGGAGGCCACAGTGAAGGCTGCAGTTAGGACTGGGCTGGAAAGGCAGGCTGCTCACCCAGGCAAAGCCGGTGGACCTGGTCTGAGAAGACAAAGCGAAACCAACCAGGCTCTTTACACTCGAAGGCCTTGCCAAAGGACAGCAGCACCTTGTTGTCCAAAAAGCGGCGCCAGAGCAGCATTTCCTCCTCAAAGGTGCCCTTGGGCAGGTACTGAGAGGGTGGAAGGGGCTCAGGACATAGCTGAGACCCCTCACCAACTGCCCCTCACCTGCTGGAGGGAGACCTGAAACTCCCTCTCAGCCCGCACCTCCACCAGCATTACCTTTCTCAAGTCAACCCAGATGAAGAAGCCAGCCCCACGACTCAAGAAGGGGATCCCCAATGCCCTAAGCTCTTCTGAGACATAGGTGTGGGCAGCCTTGAGCCGGGCATGGTTTTCCGGCAGGTACACCTGGTTGATCCAGTCTGTTTGGGTGAAAGAGGCCAGAAGATCAATATCCCATCAACCCTCTACTTGGTCCCACTAGTCTAAATGCTGTAAAGAAAAAGGCCACAAGCTGCCAGGATGCTGTTGAGTCCCTCCTCTAGCTGGCTGCTGTGGTGGGAAGGATTACGAAGGGGAGGTCAAGAAGGGATGGAAATGCAGTGTTCAATGTAAAGCACCTTAAACCCAGACACTCAGCCCTGACAGCTCCAGGTCCCACACCCCCTCAGCGCAAAGTCCCCCAGGATAAAGAATCGAACCCAATGTTTATCTAGTTCTAAAGTTCCAGAGTGATGCTCTGTAGTCCCACAGACCAAGGTTCAGATCCCAGTGTGGCCAATGACAAGGGGTGGGTCCTTGGGCAACTTCACCTCTCTGATCCTCATTGTTTGTACTGACTTTTTGTCGTTGTCATACAGTTCTATGAATTCTAATACATGTGTACATTTATGTAACCACCACCATAGTCAGGATGCTGAACAGTTCCACCATCCTAAAGAACACCCTGATGCTGTTGATAGTCACATCTCTGATGTGACTATAAACAGATCTGCAAGCACAGATCTGTTCTCCATCACTACAGTTTTGCCTTTTCCAGAATGTCATCGAATTGGAATTATACAGCATGTAATCTTTTGAGGCTAGCTGCTTTCACTCAGCAGGATTCCTTTGAAATTATCCCATACTGCCACGGATTTTATTGCAGAGTAGTGTTCCATTGAGTGGATGGGCCATGGTTTGTGCATCCACACATCTGTGGAAGGACATTTGGGTTGTTCCAGTTATGGGTGATTATGAATAAAGCAGCAGTTATGGGTGATGATGAATAAAGCAGAGGTTTTTGGGTGACCATCAAGGTCAATATCTAGGAGTAGGATTGTTGAATCACTTGGCAAGTGTATGTTTAACTTTATAAGAAACTGCTGAATTCTTTTCCAAAGTGGCTGAACTACTTACACTCCTACCAGCAGTGTATGAGACTTCCAGCTGCTCCTTATCTTTGTCAACACTTGATGTTGTCACTATTTTTAAAACTTTTAGCTACTATAGTGAGTGGGGTAGTATCTGGTCCTCATTTTCCTCATCTGTAAAATAATAAGGAAAATATAAGAATTCTTGCTTCCTAGGATTCTGGAGTGAATGAGATGATACAGCAGGTGCATTTGCTAGGCTCAGTAAATGGCGGCATTTAAAGGTAACCTTTGCTATTTAAACTCACTATTTGAATCTAGGAACAGAATAGATTCACAGCAAGAGAGATACTTCCTTTAAAACAATTTTCCTTAGAAGCTTCTGCTGTTTTTTGTTGTTGTTAAAGACAAGGTCTTACTCTGTCACCCGAGCTGGAGTGTAGTGGTATGATGAAGGCTCACTGTAGCCTCAACCTCACAGGTTCAAGTGATCCTCCCACCTCAGCCTCCCAAAGTGCTGAAATTACAGGCATGAACCTCCATGCTCGACCCTGCTCTGTTTTTTAGGTGCTCACACAGCTAGTCATAATGAATTCACATTAATCAAGTGCCTATTATATGCCAGGCACTATTCTAATTGAATTACAAATCATACTAACCTGTTACAGGACAGGTACCATTATGATCCCTGTTTTACAGATGAGGAAACTGAGGCTCATACAGATAAAGAGGTGAAGCAAAGTGCCACATGGCCAGGAAGTGGCCAAATAGGGTATGGACCCAGTCGGGGCTCAGAGCTGGCACTCTCAAACATTACCCTAAATTATTCTCATAGGAGAAGTATCTATGATTCCTGGCTGTTCCCAGGCTGCCTCCAACCCTCCTCCCATTTTCAGGTCACCAGGCCCAGGCAGTCACCACGGTCCCGGAGCAGCTGTGCCATCTGGTACTGGACCAAGCCACTGAGGCCGTGGTAGCGGCAGAGGGAAGCCACGGCAGTGGCCACATCCTGGTTTTCTGTGTACAGCGTGCCAAAGCGGAGCCCAGACATCCCGAAGTCCTGCAGGAAGAAGCACCCTAGGCGGTGGCCAGCCCTCCATGGAGGAAGCTGGTTCCACCCACCTCTCTGCCCTCCCACCCTTCTGACACCCCCAAGGCCAGCCAGGAACTCACCTTGCTGGTTGCCCACATCACATGGGTCCTCTGGGGGTCAGGGAGCCTGCAGAGAGCACAGCATGGGAACAGAGGCAACACAGAACTATGGAAACCCACATGTGTTTGGTTGAACAAATGAAGAGATGGGTGGTTGAATCTAGTTTTGGTTCCAGGACAAGCCCTGGTTTCATGTCTTTGAACCACCCATTCCCATGCATCCTTTAGAGCAGGGGTTAGCAAATGACAGCCCGCGGGCCAAACATAGCCTGCTGCCTGTTTCTTGTAAATAAAGTTTAATGAGAACACAGCCATGATCTAGAGCCTAGCTCAAATGTCACTCATCAAAGAGACTTTCCCTAACCACTCCCCCTGGGACCAGGCCAATCAGGTACCCTAAACAGATCCTCTCACAGCTCCCTGGACTCTCCCTTTTAGCATTCATGATGGCCATAATCCAATGGCTGGATGTGCATTTAGCCGCTAAAATGGTTTTTCTGGCTAGAAATTAAAGTTCTACACAAGAAGGGTCTATGTCTTTCTTGTTCACTGTTGTATCTCCAGCACTTAGCACAGTGCCTGCCACGAAATCGATGCTCAATAATTTTTTTTTTAATGACTAACCAAGGATCGTGGACAATCACTTTTTTCTGTGCCTCAGTTTCCTAATCCAAAAAATAGATGAGAGTCACAATCCATGCTCCATCAACTCCTCAAGGCTTTGTGAGGACAAGAAGAGAAGGCTAATGGAAAGGGCTTGGCTGGGCTGAAGGTTCTGAACAAACAGCCGGAACTGTTAGAACCCCTGAAGGTGAGATTCACAGACTACCCACATGATCTGGTCCCCACTTTCTTTTTCTTTCCCGTAGAAACAGAGTCTCACTATGTTGCCCAGGATGGTCTCAAACTCCTGGGCTCATGCAATCCTCCCACCTTGGCCTCCCAAAGTGCTGGGATTACAGGCATGGGCCAGTGTGCCTTGAGGATGATCTGCTCCAAGTGTTCCCAAAGGTATTTTGGCCACAAATGCTTTGCTTACAGTAAACCTAATGAAAAAGCCCAACATTTAAATATCCAGAGGTGTTTGGCACACTCTGTGTGTAAGGGGCTCCAGAGGTGCTGAGTGAATGAGAGCATGAATGAGTAAATGAATGAATGAATAAAACTGGAGCGACTCTGGAGGTAAAGGAAACAGCAAAGAGGCCAATTTGCCATCCACTCAGCCCTAACTTAAGGGATCCTGAGGCCTCTTCTTGGAGTTCTCAGAAATTCCACAGAACAACTTGAAAATCACTAATCTAGCCCAACCGTCCCTGCTTCTCATTAGATCTGAGGACCAGTGGGACCAGCTGGGTGGAAATGGAATTGCTCTGGGCAGGCCATGCCCTGTGGGCTGAGCCAGAAAGTGGCCAGGGCTCCGTGGGATAATAGGGACTGGGGGAGTTAGCTGTGTCAGGGAGCCTCACCTTTCCAGGCTTAGGACACTGCGGTACCCAACAGACTTCTCAAACACGGACAGCATGTAGACCTCATCCACAATCACATGCAGCCTGTGCCTGGAGTGAGGCAGGGGTGGGGAGGAGAGACTTAGTGTGTAGGGCAGATGCGTCCCACAGGGTGGGGAGGTAATACATCAGAAATCCAGAGGGGCCGGGGTCTAGCCCGGGGTTACCAAACTTGTTTTTCCAAGAACACCATTCTTTCTTCTGTTTTTTTCAAACAGAAAGCCACACATACAGAGCAGGTGACAGAGGAGCTTTTGAAGCACTGCAGGGGAGAAAAGGATCTCCCGGGCACCTCCATGGAGGGGCAAGGTCATGCACAAGGGCTCGAGTCGGAGAGACCCAGGTTCAAGTCTGGATCCACCCCTCACTTGACCACTCTAAGGCTCAGTGAGCTGGATGTGATAACAGCATCAGTAGGGTTGTTGTGAGGATTGTTGTAAGGATTGTTGTAAGGATTGTATGAGGGTTGTTGTGAGGATTGTATGAGGCACATAAAGGGTTGTTGTGAGGATTGTATGATAGCATTGTTGTGAGGATTGTATGAGGCACATAAAGTGCTTAGCATGGTGCCTGGCCCCTAGAGTGTGCGCTAATTGATAGCTATTGTTATAAAGAGTGAAAGATAAAGAGGAATGGGCATCCCACAAATCCCTGCTTCCCCGCTCCACTGCCAAGGAAGGGCCCAAGCAAGTAGCAGCCCACAGTGGGGTCAAGAGAGTAGAAAAACCTGCACCAAACCCGCATTGGAACCCCAGGCTGCCCAGACGCTCTGTCGGGGCCAGTGTGGGGTGCCTCACCTCTTGGCAAATACCAGGTACTCCTGTAGCTCTTCAGGGGAGTATACATCACCCAGAGGGTTCTGGGGGCTGATGAGGATGAGGCCTTTGACCTTCACACCCTGAAACCATCCGTTAGGGCAGGAGACCCTCAGCTCTTCCCCAAGGCCAGAGCCACACAGTCAAAGGGGGCTGATCGCTGGAAGGCTCCCAGGGAGATTTGAGGGGGACATGTTCATAACACAACATGAAGCAAACAAGCGGAACACAGAATTACATCTGCAGCATCAGATAAAGGCGGAGGACAAGGCCCAGAGAAAAAATATACCCAAATACCAGTAGGTTACCTTTGTTGGTAGAATTTTGGGTTGGCCTTTTGCACTTTCAAAATTCCTACAGTGAGTATGTATAGCTTTCATGACAGAAGTAAAAAAAAATTAAGTAGATTTTTGAAAAGTAGGCTGGAAAGGAACCACTGGAATACTGGTCTCTGCTCTCCTTTGGGAGTCCTCAGCTCCCCCCACAGTGAGCAAGGTTGCCCCCTCAAACTACCAGGGAGACTTGTAAAACCACAGACTCCTGTACTCCATACTTGACCCACTGAATCATAATCAGATGGATCAGGGATGGGGGTATCTTTAGTGATGCTCCCTGGTTGATTCTCTGTGAACTGAGGTCTGAGAGTCTGTTTTGAAAGGGAAGACCCTCCCTGGGCAGGGTTCTGCCTGACTCCCAGAATAATTCTGTGCTACCACCCTACCTGTCTGTCCCAATCACCGGGTATCAACCCTACTCCCGGGAGGAGATCAGTCACAAGAAGAGGGGTCCAGACCCTGCTCAGACCCACCCACACCCAGCCTCAGGTTTGATTTGATCCCCAGACCTCAGAGTGAGCTTCTCTCAGGGCCATCTCCAGCTTCTCCACTGTGAGCTGGAAGGGGCGTGTGTCTAGCCCAGTGACCTGGAAAAAGACCCATCAGAGCCACCAGCCACATTCAGTGACCATTGCCCCCCAAAATACATATGAACTCTCAGGCCTCTCCTCCCCTGTAATCCCCAGCCTCCTCAGAAGAGTCTCTGGAAAAGCAGGTGGGGTCCCTCCCTCTTACTGCCATCCACCCCCAACCCATCACTTCAGAGACCCCCTCATCACTCTTGGGTGTCATGCTTAGGTCTACCCTGCTCTGTTCCTACCTTGCTGTTTCTGGGTCTGGCTCTTGGCTTCTACATCAACCCCAGGGATCTCAGAGACTGGAACTTTGGAGCCACTGGGGAACCCAGGCACAGGCAGCCATGCAGCAACAGAAGGCTCCATTCCCTACTCATCACAACCCCAGAGCCCTCAGCATGGACCACCCTCAAATTCAGACCCAGGAAACTCTTGACCACAGGCAGGCCCAGGTTCCACCTAGGAAGTCAAGACTCTTACCTCACTGTCCAGGTAGACATAGGCCAGCCGGATGTTGCCATAGAGACACACGTGCTGTGTGATAGCGCCATAGTAAGGGGTGGGGATCAGGAAAGCCTCTGGGGGCAGGAGTGGGCGAGGGCCTGTCACTTTCTGGCCAGAACACCCCAGACCCTCTGTCCACTGTCCCCAGTCCCTCTCCAAGCCTTTAACTTCTTTGGGGACCGTTTGGGGCATACTTGCACTCTTAACTCCCAAAACACTTTGGAAAGCTTGGATCCACTGAGATCAGCCCCTGATATGGTTTGGCTGTGTCCCCACCCAAATCTCATCTTGAATTATAGCTCCCATAATTCCCCTGCGTCATAGGAGGGATCTGGAGGGAAGTAATTGAGTAACGGGGGCAGGTCTTTCCTGTGCTGTTCTGGTGATAGGGAATTAAGTCTCACGAGATCTGATGGTTTTACAGAGGGGAGTTCCCCTACACAACCTCTCTGGCCTGCTGCCATATAAGATGTGACTTTGCTCCTCATTCACCTTCCACCATGACTGTGAGGCCTCCCCAGCCATGTGGAACTGTGAATCCATTAAACCTCTTTCCTTTATAAATTACCCAGTCTCAGGTATGTCTTTATTAGCACATGAGAACAGACTAATACAGCCCCCTTTCTAATTATTAACAGCTAACATTTGCTAAGCATTTACGACGTGATGGGAAATGCACTGAACATTTGTTTCTATTTTATCTCATTTGCTCCTGACAATTAGTCTCCGAAGGAGGTACTATTTATTATATCCTAACTTTATAGACAGGGAAACTGAAGCTTAGAGGGTTCCTGTTATTGATTGTTCTGGAACCGGCAGGAAATTCCCTATTATATCCTTACAATGAATCTCTCTTTCATGGTTCAAATACTGGTTACTACCTCTCTTTGTGTGACTTTGACAAGTTAACCTCCTGTGTCTTAGTCTCCTCATATGTAAAATAGAGATAACCATAGAACCGACCTTATTGAAGTATTGTGAGGATTAAATGAAATACTCTGCATAAAGCCTTAGGCTAATCCCTGGAACACAGTACGTGGTCAATAAATGTTACTAATATTCTCATTATTAATTAAGTTACCATGAATGGGTCTCTTTTCCTTGCAACCAATAACCCCTGACCACAACTGATTCTTAAAACAACAGGCTCTTGCAGCAGGCAATGCTGGCTGGCTGCCCACTCAACAGCCATTCCAATTTCCTTCCATGCTAAGAGAGCACTAGTTTCTTCAGGTATGACCAGCAAGATGTCTAAGGAAGGTGGGCCTTCCCCTGTCCCTGGGGGACAAACCACATCTGGTTTAAGGCAACCTTGGTTTTCTTAGTCCCCTTTGCCAGGGACCATTTTGGAAACAGGCATATGAGTCCATTCTGGTCAGGAAGATAGAAGTGGGCCTCTTCTGGGAAACAGCATCCCCATCCCCATCTCCTGATAAAAAAGAGACAGGCACGGCACGACCACATCCCTTTCTTCCTGCTCTAAGACACACTGTCACGTGAGGACGCGACAGCCACCTTATGAGCATGAAGCAGCCAAGGTCATGGCAGAGAGAAAGCCCAGGACCCTGACATCAAACTAACCTCCCCTGGAACTGCTGACCCCCGGGTGCTTTGTCAAGCCACTTATTCAAGCCCCCTGCAGTCTAGTATATTCTATTGTGCCCGAAAGCATACTATTGCAGCCCTTGAGGCCAGGCAACTGGGAACCCTGCAAGCACAATGAGGCTCACAGTGCGGGGCAGGCCACAGAGCTCACTTACCCCCGGCCTCACACAGCACCGTGGCCAGAGCAGAGAAGAGCGAGGCACCACCATTCAGGACAACCACCTAAGGGCGACATATCCAAGGGATGAAGATGAACCAGTTCCAGGAGTGTGCACGGACCCGCAGCCTCCCAGGACAGCACAGAGTGAGCGCCAGGCCCTGCCTTGGTGCCACCTGAGGCTCTGTCACAACAAAGCCACTAGACTGACAGCCAAGCTCATCCGTGTGGACCCTGCTCCAGATCATCTGAGCCAGGAAGAGGGGGCTGGTCATTTAGAGGGTCTCGCCTGAAGGTGTGGAGGCAGAAGGCCCACAGAACAACATGGGGTGGAAATTATACCCAAACTTTAAACATCGAGGAGGGAGAAGGTATTCCTAATTCTACTCTGAAACAAGTCAAAACTATGTGAAGGGCAGATCTCAACCCCAGCTTACTCTCAGGCCAGCCCAAAGATGGGGAATGGAGGCCAGGCTCAGTGGCTCAGGCCTGTAATCCCAGCACTTTGGGAGGTCAAGGCGGGCAGATCACCTGAGGTCGGTAGTTCGAGACCAGCCTGACCAACATGGTAAAACCCCATCTCTACTAAAAATACAAAAATTAGCCGGGCGTGTGGTGCATGCCTGTAATCCCACCTACTCGGGAGGCTGAGGCAAGAGAATCACTTAAACACAAGAGGCAGAGGATGCAGTGAGCCAAGATGGCACCATTACATTCCAGTCTGGGTGACAGAGCAAGAGTCAGTCTGAAAAAATAAAAAAAATAAAAAAAAAAAAAAGAGAAGGAAGGAAGGAGAGAAAGAGAGAGAGAGAGAAAAAGAAAGAAAGAAAGAAAGAAAGAAAGAAAGAAAGAAAGAGATGGAGAGGGGAGGCAGGAGAACAGGAAGGAGCAGTGGAGGGGGCCACTCACATTCTCTGGTCTGAGGGGTACTGGGCTCTTGCAGTAGAAAGACAGGAACTTGGCCACTTCCTCCCGGAGGCTGAAGATAAGACAAAAAGACAGTGCTTGCCAGATGGTCCCCAACCCACGGTGCATCCTGAAGCTCCTCTGGTGAATCCTCAGGCAGCTGCCATCACTCTTCCCTAATTTCCCATGATGGGGTGTGGGTGTATCTGTCTCCACTCCTTAGCACCCACCTTCCCCTCCCCAGTACCCACATGCATTGCAGAGGACACCCCACCCCACCTAATCAGGAGACTTCAGGGATTATCAAAAGTAACACCCTCCATGGAGATCTAGCTAATTATACTAATAAACATTATTACTACAACAACAACTATTGGCACCATTATTGTTGCTCATATTTTTTGAGCATTTACCTTCTATAAATGTTATTTAGAAAATTTTTACTTACTCTTCATAATAATCCTATGATGCGGCTACTACTATCATTATTATTATTATTCCCATTGTACAGGCAAAGAAACAAAAACTAAGATTTAAAGGAATTAAGTCACTTGCTGGTAAGAGGCAAAGTCCACACTCAAGCCCAGTGGTCTGACTCCAGGGCCCACCACCCTGATTACTACACTAGAAGAACACGTGCTTTACAATCAGTCTTGGGATCAAGTCCTGCTCAGCCGCTGAGCCCTTAGAACAGTGTCCACAAGCAAGTGTTCAATAAGCACAAGCTATTAGTGTTATTTACCACCTCCCCTCTTAGCATTAGGAAAAGGCCCCAGCCAGCTCCCCGAACAGCAATTCTGGCTTCTCTAAAGCTACCATCAAAGCAAGGACAAAGACTTCTCACCTGAAGGCCCTCCCCATGCTTTAAACCCAGGTTCCCAGAAACCAGACTAGCGAGCTCCTGTGCTGAGGTGGGACTGGCAGGAGACCCCATAGTCGCCAGGTCTCCAGGACTAGGCCCTCAGCCTGCCACTACTGATGTTCGGGGCCAGGTCATTCTTCATTGTGGGGGCTGTCCTGTACATTGTAGAACTTTAGGCAGCATCCCTGACCTCTACACACTAAATGCCAGGAGCACCTGACTTCCCAGTTATAACAACCAAAAATGTCTCCCAACATTGCCACACATCCCCAGGGGGACAAACTCACCCTATGGCAACTACTTACAACAGATGTCCCCTCCAGTCAGCATACTGCAGCAGGGATGGCTCCACCCTCTGCATGTCGCGCTGACTCAGCTGGGGACAGAGAGGGAAGAGCACGGCTGAGGGCCAGCACTGCTACCAGCATCCACAGCACAGGGCAGGTAAAGCTGAACGCTTGTTCTGCTCATCAGAGAAACTGCGAGAGGGGCAGAGAGTGACAGCTTTCTCATACCCATGTTGCAGGTGAGGAAACTGAGGTCCAAAAAAGTGAGGTCACTCAGCCAAGGTCACAGAGCTAGCAAGTGGCAGAGCTGAGACAAAAACCCAAAATTTTTGACTCCTAGTCTGGCATTCTTTATACAACACTGCCACCTAAAAAAATCGGAGGGGTGGGTTTGCAAAAGTATTAACGGAAGAGCACACTGATCAGCATCTCCATGGGGTGATAGAAGATACTGAGAGCTAGAACCTCAGTCTTGGCTCCAACTTCTAGAGGGACTTAGGCCACTGTCTTCCTGCAAGCTCAGCTCAACCTCACACTTTAAAAAAAGTAGCAGTTTCTAGACCACCCATTCCATGACCAGTGCTAGGTTAGAAACTCCTAGTATTGTAGGTCCTTTGTCAAAGAAGGGCCAATGCAGGGGCCTTACGCACTGGGGCCAAAAGGAAGAAAGGGAATCAGCCACTTCTACATAACTGGGTCCAGCCTTTGCCCTCTCTCCCTTCCTCCCTTAGAGCCACACTGTCCAACATGGTAGCCACTGGCCACATGTGGCTAATGAACATTTGAAATGTGGTTCATCTGAATTAAGACACACTGGATTTTGAAAACTTGGTAGGAAAAAAGTATGTAAAATATATCATTAATAATTTTTGTACTGATGACATGCTAAAATGGTCATATTTTGAATATATTGGGCTAAATAAAATATATTATTAAAATTAGTTTTTACCTGGCATCTTTTTATTTTTTTTAATAGAAAATTTAAATTGATATATGTGGCTCACCTTTTATTTCAGTGCTTAGCTGCCTTAGAAGGAGGAGCTGGCTTTAGGTAAAACAGGCCTTTAAAATCTATTCCCTGGCCGGGTGCAGTGGCTCACGCCTGTAATCCTAGCACTTTGGGAGGCCAAGGCGGGCGAATCACAAGGTCAGGAGTTCGAGACCAGCCTGGCCAAAATGGTGAAACCCTGTCTCTACTAAAAATACAAAAATTAGCCGGGCATGGTGGTGTGTGCCTGTAATCCCAGCTACTCAGGAGGCTGTGGCAGGAGAATTGCTTGAACCCGGGAGGAGGGGGTTGTAGTGAGCTGAGATCACACCACTACACTCCAGCCTGGGCAACAGAGTAAGACTCCATCTTAAATAAATAAATAAATAAATAAATAAAATCTATTCCCTATAACCCCTTCCCCTTGGGGTTGAGATTTCTCCCTTTGGAAATATGTTCCTTTGGGTTAAGGATTGCTGTCTCTACAAACCCAAACTCTGCCACTGCCGCCTTGGGAGACACATTTATTAGGCATTGTCAGTGGTTGCTAAGATGGCTTACCACAGCTCAAGAAATCGGATTATAAAATTTTCAGAAATGTTGCAAGCTGTGTTAAAAACAGCCACTTTTAAAAAGCAAATTAATATAAACTGACAATGAAATACATTATCTTACAAACAAAGGTGATAAGCACTCAAACGTCACTGCTTCCTGATTTGCTAGTACCTTTTACTATCTATGTTTTTGAGGTCAGTTCTGTCTACATGTCTATATGGTGAAAATATTACATAAGTGTGCCCATGCAGCTCTCTTCCAACTCTGCCTGCAGTGATATCACATAAGGAGCTTGAAATCAGCCATGGTGGGAGTATTTACACTACGGAAATTGGCAAAACTACACATCAGGCTTTTTTTGTCCCCCTGAAGAGCTAATTGCTAAATACCTACACCACAAAGCACTGAGTGTTTCCCTCTGAGATCAGGGGACCCAACACAGCAGGAGGGACTGAGTGAAATAAGAGTCTACAGAGATGAAGAAATAGGACTACAGTGGGGAAGAAACTCACCTAAGATCACACAGAAAACTGTCCCAAGGTAGGCCTGGAACCCGGGTCTCCTGATTCCCAGGCCAGGGCCACTGAGCCAAGCAGCAGGCTCCTGTTGGGAAAGCATTCCAGGGAAGACAGCTCCTCGGAGCTGGTGATGCCCCCTAGAGGGGCCCTAGGACTTACCCGCCAGGACAGCAGGTCAAAGCAGAGTTTGTTCTCACTGGTGCCCAAGTTAATGATGCCCTGGAGATGAGAGGTACAGAGGCAGAGTTAGCATGGCAGGGGGGTGCCAGTGAAAGGCCCCAGGAGCCCATGGAGGCAGCAAAGCAAAGTGGGAGCTCTCTACAATCCCACCCTTTCAAACATCCCTCCTTGCCTTTGCTCAAGGTGTGCCTTCTGCTCAGCTGCCTGATCCCATCTTCCCATTTCTAAAGCTCTGTCCAAATGCCATGTCCTCCATGAAGTCCCCCCTATAACCCCACCTGGAAGGGATACATTCTTCTGGATCCCATAGCTCTTGATCTGTCCCCTTTAGAGAACTGGTCAGTTTCCACCCCAGGTCACAGGGACTGAGGTACACACCGTATCTCCCGTACTGAGGGTAAGCTCCCTGAAGGACAGATGTGTGCTGAAGACACCACTGTTTCTCTCGAGGGGTTTAGTGGGACTCAATACACATTTACAGAATGAAAGAATAGAGATGGTATATTGGCAGTCTGGAAGGAACAGAAGCAAAGGTAGATGTAGATCAAGAAGAGGTTCCTTTGCCAGTGCAAATACTCCCCCAGGAGACCCTGCAACATCACACAATACCTTGATCCCCACCCCACAGGCATTTATTGTCATAGGATAGGCAGGCAGGCATAACCCAAGCTCTCCCTTACAGAGTCCCCAGGGAGACTCGGTGCAGGCCTCACGCACAGCTAACTGCTGACCCCTGAGTTACTGCAGGGGGAGTGAAGGAAGGAAGATGAAAAAGTAAAACCTGAATGAGCTCAGGCTATGACAAAATAAAAGGCAGTGCTCCTTCACGACCTGGTAAGCAAGCTGGGAAGCTCCTCGAAACAGAGCCAATCTGTCCACACATCCTGGCAGCTCTACCTTCAAAACACATGCACAGTCCAACCATGTCTCACCCTCCACTGCTGGGACCCTGGTATAAGCCACCATCATTTCTTGTCTATATTATTACAACAGCTTCCCTCCCCTCTCTCTGTGTACTGTCTCACCTGCCAAGTCAAATCTCCATACAGCAGTCCAAGACATCTTTCAAAACCCAAATTCAGACCACACTGCTCCTCCTTTGAATACCTCCTATTCCACTTTGTCCAAAATCAGAAGGCTCACCAGGTCCTGTGGGGCCCTACAGGTTCTATCACCTCCACCACCCCATCCTCTTTCTGACCCCATCGCCTGCCCATCTTGTTTTTGGCTTTATTCCAGCTCCAGTAGCCCCTCTGCTGTCCCTTGAACTCATCAAGCATGATCTAACCCTGGAGCCTTTGCACTGGCTGTTTCCTCTGCTGGGAATGCTCTTCCCTAGATAACTGCATGGCTTACTCCCTGTGATGCGCAGCCTGTAAGGCCTACTGGTATTCACACCCCTTGAGTATGGGCTGGGCCTAGCAACGTGCTTCTAATTAACAGAATAGGCAGATGTGATGGGATGTCACTTCCAAAGTTAGGTTATAAAGAGTCTGTGGCTTTCCATCTTGGGTACCATGACCCAAGTGATTCTCTCTTGAATCACTTGCCCTGAGAGAAGCCAGCTACCATGCCATGAGGCAATTCTGTGAAGAAGCCCACGTGGAGAAGGACTGAAGCCTGCCAATAAGCATAAGAGTGTCATTGGAAGTAGAGCCTCCCACCCAATCCCTTGGCCCCAAGTCAACCTTTCAGATGAGACCACAGCCCCAGCTTCATGGCACCTTCACAAAAGATCTTGAGGCTGGGCGTGGTGGCGTGGACTGGCACGGTGGCTTGGCCAGGCGCGGTGGCTCATGCCTGTAATCCCAGCACTTTGGGAGGCGGAGGCAGGCGGATCACCTGAGGTCAGGAGTTTGAGACCAGCCAGGCCAACATGGCAAAACCCTGTCTCTACTAAAAATACAAAAATTAGCTGGGCATAGTGGCACACACCTGTAATCCCAGCTACTCAGGAAGCTGAGGCAGAATCCCTTGAACCCGGGAGGCAGAGGTTGCAGTGATCCGAGATCATGCCACTGCACTCCATGGGTGTCACAGCGAGACTCCGTCACAAAAAAAAAAGAAAAAGAAAAAGGAAAAAAAAGATCTTGAGCCTGAGGCATCCACCAGGATTCCTGAACTCCAAAAATTGTGAATTGTTGTTTTAACTTGCTAGATTTGAGGTCATTTGTTATGCAACAATAGATAACTAACACAATCCCTCACTTTTTCCAGGTTTCTGCTCAAATGTTCATCTTATTAAAATAGCCTTCTGTGACCTCCTTCTACTAAATAGCAACATCCCCAGCCCACCCATCTTTCTCTGTCTTCTTTAACCTGGTTTATTTTTCTCTATAGTACTCACCACCATATAGTATACATATATTTTCTCTGTTCATTCACTGTTTGTCTCCCTAACTAGAATATGAGCTCTATGAGGATAAGAACTTTGTTTCTGTTCACATCTACATGGTAGATGCTCAACAAATAAAGATTATTAAAGGGTTATTTGTAACAGCTTTCTGACTTCTGAAGGCATTATGAGAATAGCTTATATTTGGGACAGAAAATAATAATAGCAGCTATCATTTATTGAGTAGCACTGTGCTAAAAACTTCATATACTTGCTCTCATTTAATCTTGACTCTTCTACACAACAGGTATTATTATCCCATTTTATTTTATTTTTGTTTGTTTGTTGTTATTTTGAGATAGGGTCTCACACCGTTGCCCAGGCTAGAATGCAGTGGCATGATCTTGGCTCACTATAGTCTCAACCTTCCAGGTTCAAGCAATCCTTCCACCTCAGCCTCCCCAGTAGCTGGGACCACAAGTGCACGCCACCACACCCTGTTAATTTTTTTATTTTTACCTTTTTGTAGTGATGGGGTCTTGCTATGCTGCCCAGGCTGGTCTCAAACTCCTGGCCTCAAGTGTTCCCTCTGCCTCAGCCTCCCAAAGTGCTGGGATTACAGGCATGAACCACCATGCTTGGCCTTATTATCTCATTTTAGAGATAACTTAAGATTCAAGGAAGTTAAGTAACTAGCTCAGCAACACACAACCTATAAGTAAAACAGTTGCAACCTGAACCTTAGTTCTGCCCTAGCTCTAAAGTTGGATAGTCGACAGGTCGTGGGTCAGAATCCATAGAACATCATATGGTTCTTGAATTCCTCCCTCAGAAATCAAGGTCCCCTATATTCTAAATGGACCATTTCCTGATCCAGGCAGTACACTGGGGCCTCTCTAAGCTACATCAGAAGCCCTCTTGGAGGTCAGAGTACCATAACTCCAACCTCATAAGAGCAGGCTGGATGCTGCCTTATTGGTCAAGGTAGGGTACCCCACCCTGCAGTTCTCTCTTGGGTCCCAGTGGGAGGGGAGCTTCACTCACACTGGGGTTCTTGTCCTCATCATACTCATCCATGTGGTAGGTCCTGTAGCCCTCCTCAGCTGAATCCCAGAACCATTTAATCATTCTTCCTCTAGAGGACAGGTAGGAGGTATCAGAGGAGATCATGGCAGGATCACCCACTCCACGGAGCTCTGGCAGCTTCTGGTCCAGTTTTCTGGAGCATTCTCCTTCCAGATCTTCCCCATGGCTACTGCCCAGGTCCTGCATGCAGGTGGGGCCCAGACAGGTGGTGGGAGCCCTGAAGTCCTTTTGAGGAAGGGTGAACATCTGCAAAAAGACAAAACGCACAGGCCTGCTCAAGGGATTTCCATAGCACCAAGCATCAGAAAGGAGTTGGAGTCATGGGAGTCCCCTTTCTCTTATCTGCCCCTTCCTTTAGGTTTATGCACTCATCACTTCCTGTGTCCCTTAGCTGTAACCATATGTGCAACGACTTCAACAAGAAAAATCTGTTAAGGACCTAGTACGTGCCAGGGACTGCACTTGCCACATTGACGTGACTTTAATGTATTGCTGCTTTAGCGTGTTCTACTTCTGCAAAAGTTTTTCACTCTCCAGCCTAAGGGGTCATCAACATTCTTTTTCCACCCTTGCTCACCTCAATTACCAAATGCCAGGTTAAAATTTCCTGAGTTAAAGCAGAGTATTGCCTGGGAGTCCTGGGGGTCTTGTGGTGTAAAGGGTAGGATGAGATTATGTGGTGTTCTGAGGCAGATGGCGGGTAGGAACTGAGGGAAGGGAGGAATGGGAACCTCCACAAGTGCAGGCAACCCAGGCAGAGCTCCAGGGCCTGCCTCTTCAGTCCTGAAGAAACGAGGTGTGGACACCAAGGAGAGGGTGGTCTACTCCTGCCCGCGGGTGTGAACTCCTTCACTTCTCTAAGCCAGTTTAGTTTCCTCATCTGCACAGTGGATATAACAGTAACCACCTCGGGGTGGCCGTGAAGACATAAATATATATGTTAGTGACAATAAAGTACTTAGAACAAATCCTGGCTGATGACCAAAGTTCAATAAAATATGAGTCATTATAGCGTAACTCCTTGCCAATTTTCCCAGTCCTGATGCACAACACAAGCTCTGGTAACACTGGGCGCACCATAAACTCAGCGGGTACCCGCAGTTAAATTTTCCTCCGCAAAGTCTTCTCAGGGGTACTCTTTAAATTGGCTGGGCTCTCCCAAGAGCGCTCACCTCCAGCTCTCCCGACAGCCCAGGTCCGAGGAAGGGCAGCACAGTGGGCGGAAGCCGGGGTGGGAGTAAAGCCTGGGGTAGGGGGGCGGCGGGGTTCGAGCCTCCAGGCGTCCAGCAGGACGGCGGCGAATCCACAGCCAGATACCCGCACTCGATGAGGCCTTGGAATCCCGCAAGTGGGGCGGCTACCGCGCACGAAGAACCGAAACGGCCTTCTACAGGGCGGAGGACGTCTCGCGAGAGACGGCTCCAGGTTTCCAGGCAGAGGAAGTGTGATCGGCGCCAAGGGATTCGAGATGGAAGGGCAGAGGCTTTTGCAAAGTGCACAGAGGGAGGCCTGAACGGCTTCCTCCTCTGCAAAGTAGTGGATCCCACCTACTTGGCGGAGCTGGAGGAGGCGGTGCTGGCACTCGGTGGGCGCCCATCACGTGTAGGTTTTCTCCGCCCGGAAACGCCCTGCGGCGACTTACGCGTGGGTGAGGACAGCGCCCCCCTGCGCTCAGCGCGCCCGGACTAGGAGACTGAGGGCGGTCCGCACCGGGTTGGGCTTCCAGGCCTGTTCAGGGCGCAGTTCGTCCCCTTGCCACTCAGGCGGGGGCGGTCTCGGCGGGGACTACGCTTTAAGGGTGGCACACGAGGTAGCACCGCGGGACCAGGAAAAGGGAAAGGGGCGTAATGCCGTTTCCCACCTCCACTCTGGGTGGCCTGCGCGTGCTGGGCCGCCGCCGGGCCGGGTCTGCCACCTCCTTCTGCCTCCTGGCCTTGGTTCTCCAGTTTTCAAAGGAGGTTAGAGCCACAGAAATTTCTTGCCAAAGTATGCTTGGCTGCGGCCCACACAAAGGGCTTTTTAGATTCGGGTGTGAGCATCCTTATGGCCTTTCATCGCAGTTTGTCATTTCTGCCCCTTTCATTTGTAGGGGATTTTCTGTAGCCCTCATAGGTTCTTAGTTGGGGGAGACTCCTGTTACAAAAGACAAATTAACAAGAGAAAAACAGACAGAAATTTACTGACATGTGTATTTCATTTATACATGAGAAATCTGGAGGGAATGAGTCGTTCTGGAAGAGGTGACTTTGAATTCCAGTTTTTATAGCATCTTCAACAAAGAACAGTAATTTTTTTAAGTTACAAGACAAAGAAATAGGGCTTTGAGTCTCTCCAGGAGGCAACTTGTGAGAAGGCAAAAAAAAAAAAAAAAAAAAAAGACAAAGGCCAGTTAGTCAAGCTTGTTAATGTAAATTCCTCTGGTACCATCTCCAGGCCATAGGGGTCTAAAGTTGTCTTTGTTCTCCTAGGTAGACAGAGGGACAGGATACCTTTTGTCTTTGTAAACCTGTGTCCTACTTTTAGGCAAATAGGGCCAGGGTAGAGAGCTTTCCTGAATGTGCTGCTGCTTGTCTTTAGCACAATCCTTCATGTTTTGGGGAGGCATGTCCTGGTCTCCCACACGTGCCTGCAATATTTGTTGAACTCTGGCTAGGTGTGGCGGCCCACGCCTGTAATGCCAACACTTTGAGAGGACAAGGTGGGAGCATCCCTTGAACCCAGGAGTTTGAAACCAGCCTGGGCAACATAGAGAGACCGTGTCTCTACCAAAAAAAGGTTTTTATGTTTTTTTGTTTTTTTGAGACGGAGTCTCGCTCTGTCATCCAGGCTGGAGTGCAGTGGCACAATCTCTGCTCACTGCAACCTCCGCCTCCCGGGTTCAAGCAATTCTTTTGTCTCAGCCTCCCCAGTAGCTGGGACTACAGGCACGCACCACCACGCCTGGCTAATTTTTGTATTTTTAGTAGAGATGGAGTTTCACCATATTGTCCCGACTGGTCTTGAACTCCTGACCTCGTGATCTGCCCGCCTCGGCCTCCCAAGTGCTGGGATGGCAGGCGTGAGCCACTGCACTCAGCCAAAATGTTTTTGTAAATTAGCCAGACTTGATGACATGTGCCTGTGGTTTCAGCTACTTGGGAGGCTGAGGTGGGAGGATCACTTGAGCCCAGAAGGTAGAGGCTGCAGTGAATTTGATCGTGCCACTGCACTCCCACCTGGGTGTTTGCGAGACTCTATCTAAAAAAAAAAAAAAAAAAAAAAAAAAATTACATACACACACACACACACACACACACACACACACACACATATAATTTCAAAAGTATTTTTCAAACTCTGCCCTAAGCTCTACATATTCTGGCAATGGGTACAGTGGGCACCCAGGTCCCAGGTAGAGCTGCAGTCTCTGAGGTGCCTTGAATGGGAAAGTCTTCTTTCCCCATGAAAGGAAATAAGCAGAATCTCTCAATACAGGTATGGCTGGGAAGACATGGCTGTCTTCTGGCCATTCCACTTCTTGTCTTCACTTTTGCCTTGCACTAGCTAACACTGTGACCTTGAGCAACTCTCATGACTTTTTTGGCCCTTACTGTTTTCTTCTGTAAGATAAGGAAGCGATTATTTTCCTCTATTTAAATCTTAATTCTATGTAATTCACATCTCAGTGAATGCCTGTTATGTGCCAGGTCTCTGTAAAATGCGAGGATACGGTGATGAGCAAGACAAACCAAAGCCTGCATGATTGATTGGGAAGGCCGACTTACAATGTGGGGACTATTTTAAAAAGACTATTTACTGGGTACCATGGAAACATGCAGCAGGGGGATTTAACCCCACGAAACAACAAACACAGGCACTTGTCCTAAGTGGAAGACATACACACACGTTACATTAAATGTGAATTGACTAAAGATCAATTAAAAGATCATCAGACTGGATAAAACAGCAAGAATCAAGCATATGGTGTGTGCAGGAGACACACTTTAAATACAAAAACAAATGGTCAAAGGTAAAAATGTGAAAAAAAACAAGCAAATAATAATCATGAAAAAAGCTGATGTGTTCATATTGGTATCTGATAGTAGGCTTCAAGACAAAAATAATTAACAAAAATAAAATGGGGCATTTTAGAATAAAATGATTAATTTATCAGGGTGACAATCTTAAAAGTTTATGCTCGTAATAACAAAGCTTCAAAATACATGAAGCAGAAACTGACAGAACGAAAAAGAGAAAAGACAAGTTCATAATAATTGGAAAATTTTATACCACTCTCTCGGTGATAGAACAAATGGATCAAAAGACACTAAGGATCAGAACTTTTGGACATTATACAAAAATTTAATCTAATTGACATTTATAGAACACCATCCCCAATACCACAGAATATACTTCTTTTCAAGTGCAAATGAAACATTAAGATAGACCACATGTTGTAAACAAATCTGGCCATAAACTGTCTTAATAAGTTTCAAAGGATTGAAACCATAGAGTACATTCTCTAGTCACAATGAAATTAAAGTAGAAATCATTAACAAAGAAAGCTGAACAGTCCCCAAATATTTGGAAACTAAGTTACATATGCTAAGCAAACCATTGATTTAAAAAAAGAAATCACAAGGGAAATTAGAAAATATTTTGAATGATTAAAAACCAGCAGATCAAAGTTTATGGAATGTAGCTAAAATAATGCTAAGTGAGAAATGAATAGCTTGTAATGCATATATTTGAAACCAACTTAAAACAAATGATCTAAGCTTCCACATTAATAAGCTAGAAAAAAGAGCAAATTAAACCCAAAGTAAATAGAAAGAAATAAAGATAAGAGCAGAAATGAAGGCGAAACGAGAAAAATCAATGAAACTGAAAGTTGGTTCTTTGAAAAGTTCAATACAGTTGATAAACAGTTAGATTGACTGATCAAAAAAACTCATTTTGTTGCAGAATTTTGCTCCTTAGTTCAGCTAAAACCGGGTTCTTGTCACACCACCAGGAAGGATTAGGAACATGGACACATTGAAGGGTGAGGGGAACGGAATTTACTGGGCAAAAAGGAAAAAAGAAAAATACTGTCAGCAGAGCAAGAGGGGGTCCTGCTAACAGGCCTCCAAACTCACATTGAATCCCAGGCCACCACACAGAAATTGAAGAGGCCAGGCTCCTCCCCGCTGAGCATGGCCACAGCTTCCCTTGGCTCCATCTTGTTCTCCCAGTGCACAGATGGGTTGGAGATTCTCCGGAGACCCTCCCCGTAATCCCCCTCCTGCATGTATCAATTTCAGTATCAGGAAAGGAAAAGGAGATACAACTAAAGATCCTAAATGTATTAAAAGGATAACAGAATATTTATAACCAATTTTAAGTCAATAATTAAACTTAGATGAAATAGACAAACTTTATTGAAAGGCACAAATAACCAAATCTGATACAAGAAATAGAAAACTCGAACTGTCACAGAAATTGAATTTATAAGTAAAAGCCGTCCCACAAAAAAAAAAAAAGAAGAAAAAAAAAACCTCCAGGCCCTTATGGTTTTACAGCTGAATTCAACCAAATATTTAAAGGTTGAAGAAGTTTTTGGACACAAACTTCTAGAAAATTCAGGAAGGAACAGTTTCCCAAACATCTATGAAACCAGTATTAATCATGATACTGAAACTAACAATGCATTACAAAAAAAAAAATTATAGAATGATGTCCTTCTTGAATGTAAACTTCTTAAAATAGCAAACCAAACTCAATGGTATATAAAAGGACAATGCATCATGACCAAATGGGGTTTATTGCAGCAATGTGAAGTTGCTTTAACATTAAGAAATCAATGTAACTTACTACATTGATAATCAAGAGAAAAATCATATCTCTATAAATGCAGATGAAAAACATCTAACAACATTGAACCCTCATACATGGTAAAACTCCCAGCAAACTAGTAATAGAAGGACTCTTTATTAGATAAGGGACAGAATGAAAAATACAGTAACGTTATACTCAAGAGCAGAAGATTGCACTCAATGCTACTAAGACTGAGAACAAGGCAGGCTGTCCTCTCAACCACTTTTATTCAACGTTATACTAGAGGTTTTTTAAAAAGAGCTATATCGGTCAGGAGCGGTGGCTCAGCTTGTAATCCCAGCACTTTGGGAGGCCGAGGCAGGCGGATCACTTGAGGTCAGGCGTTTGAGACAAGCCTGGCCAACATGGTAAAACCCTGTCTCTACTAAAGATATAAAAATTAGCTGGGCGAGGTGGCACGTGCCTGTAGTCCCAGCTGCTTGGGAGGCAGAGGCAGGAGAATCGCTGAACCAGCAGCAGAGGTTGCAGTGAGCCGAGATTGTGACACTGCACTCCAACCTGGGCGACAGAGTGAGACTCAGTCTCACAACAACAACAACAACAACAACAAAAACACACACATACACACACACACACAAGAAAACTGACAAGAATAAACAAATTTGGATTCGGAGCAAGTACGGCCACAAACCCAAGCGACTAAAGCCACCAGTTGGTACTGTGAGCTCTTTCTTCATCCATAAAATCGTAGTAGTCCCTTCTCTGCCCACTTCACAGTATCAGTGCTCTGACATGCAAGGGCTTTGCAGAGAAACTGATGGGTGGCTTAATTTGAACAGCTGAAAACATTAGAAATGGAAATGGACAACCCCAGATGCTACGAACTGAATGTGTCCCCCCAACATTCATATTTGAAATCCTAACCCCCAAGGTGATGGTATTAGAAGGTGAGCCCTTTGAAAAGTGATTGGGTCATGAAGGCAGAGGAAGACCTCTCACCTCTTCTGCCACATGAGATGACACTGGGAAGATGGGACCCTCACCAGATGCCAAATCTCCCAGGGCCTTGAACTCGGCCTTTCCAGCCTCCAGAACTGTGAGAAAGATTTGTTTCTAAGCCATCCACTTTGTGATATTTTCATATTATGAAGGGACTAAGACACCAAGCTTGTCAGATTTTTTTTTCTTTTTTGTAGAGACAGGGTCTTACTCTATAACCAGGCTGGAATGCAGTGGCACGATATGGTTCACTGCAGGCTTGGTCTCCTAGATTTAAGCGAGCCTCCCACCTCAGCCTCCTGAATAGCTGGGACTAGAGGCACACATCACCACACCCAGCTAATTTTATTTTTTGTAGAGACAGGGTCTCGGTTGCTCAGGCTGGTCTCAAACACCTGGCCTCAAGCCATTCTCTGGCCTCAGCCTCCCAAAGTGCTGGGATTACAGGCATGAGCCACCGTACCCAGCAAGAGACTTTAAAAGCCTTTTGGGAAGGTAAAAGTGGAACAAACTCTAGTATTTGGAAGCAGGAATACCTGCAATTATACTCCCACCTGCCTCTTAGCAGGTCATGTGGAAGTGGATGTGATTTCATAAGAATCTTATAGAACATTGCATCCAACACCTGGAAAATGGCCCATCAGTTAAGGATGACTTCTTTCTTTTTCTGGCCTGCTCTAGACAGTATTCTTTACATAGAACCTGCCTTAGAATTTAAAAATTAAGGAGGACAGAAAATCATCTGGCTTCCAAAGATGATTATGAAGAATATAAGCAAGAAAATAAGATGGGCCTAGAATTTAAAAGTATAGAATTTATTAGGTACTGAATATAAAAATAAACCATCTAAATAGGGGCCCAGAGAACTCCCTTTATTTCTCTAGGTGTCTCTAGGCCTTTCCACCCCAACCCCGATAAAAACATTTTGCATATATAATGGCTAGCAAAGACTAAAAAGATGGAAAGCTTCCAAAGACAGCAGGCACTCAGCTTAAGGAGGGTGACAACCGGGTAAGATGAGATCTTCCTGGAGGAGCCCACCATTTTCTCCATCGCAACACTGACAAAAAGACACCCTGGCCTTCTGGGCCAGAGGCTGACATTAGGGGGTCCCTGAGCAAGTGATGGGCTGGAACTGCTGGTTGGGAGGCAGACGGCCTACTCCCTCATTGCATCCTCCAACTGCTTCACTATCAAAGCCTCCTTCTGCTCCTGCAGCACATCACAGAACCGACGCATAGCTAGAGGGTTCAAATGGGGACAGAGAGAAATAGTGATTTAGTAGGTTTGCTGGTGGGTCCCAGACATACCCAGGTCATGGTCAACCATAAAAGCCTCTCATTCAGGGATCCTGAACTTCAGCCCTCCCACCTTTGGGATGGATTTCCAAGTCTACATGTTGCATCCCTGATTTCTTTTTGAATATCATTGTTATGTCAGCCTGCGAGACATCTCAATGTCTTGTATCAAAGCCTGTACTCTCGGGCTTATGGCCTTGGCCTAATCAGGATTTCTATTTGCCTCTAGTGTCTCTTCACTCAGCCTATCTTCTATGCTAGCTCAAAAGAATTCTGTAACAAAAACCTTCATGAGAATGAACAATTCACTGCTATATTCCCAGCAGGTAGAACAGCATCTGGCATGTAGTGGAATGCAATAAATAAATGTTCACATGAATGTCCTATTCTCTATAACCTCAGAGGAGAATCTAAACTCTCTAGTATGGCATACAGGGACTTCCATGGTCATCTGCCTATCCATCTCACTTACTAGGCTGCCAGTCCCACAAGGGCAGAGTACTACTTTTTTCGGGTTTTGTTTGTTTGTTTTTGTTTTCTTGAAACAGTCTCACTCTGTCGCCCAGGCTGGAGTGCAGTGGCGCAATCTCAGCTCACTGCAACCTCCACCTCCCAGGTTCAAGCAATTCTCCTGCCTCAGCCCCCCGAGTAGCTGGGATTACAGGCGTGCGCCACCATGCGTGGCTAATTTTTTGTATTTTTAGTAGAGACAGGGTTTTACCATGCTGGCCAGGCTGGTCTGGAACTCCTGACCTCATGATCCACCCACCTCGGCCTCCCAAAGTGCTGGGATTACAGGCATAAGACACCGCACCTGGCCTCAGAGTACTACTTTTTAGCTTGTGGTCCCAATGCCTCACTCAATGGCAGTCACAGAACAGATACCCCAAATGGGTAATGAATGGATAGGTGCTTGAGGTACATATCAGTTCTTGTTTGCAAGAGCACCTAACTAAAGATAGACATGGAAACAGGGAATAAAGGGCTAGATCTATAGGATGTTTAAGGGGGGTGGGGGAGAAGATTGACATATTAAATTGATGGGGCGTCTTTAAAGGATTGGGAGGTCAGCTCCACTCACCCAATTTTAGCCGGGGGAGCTCATCTGCAAAGATGAGGCAGAACCAGCCTGGCTCCTTACACATGTAGGTTTTGCCACGGGATAACAATAGCTTGTTGTCCAGGAAGCGGCAATAGAGGAGCCGTTCTTCTTCAAATGTACAGGGATCCAGGTACTAGGGAGGGCAGAGGAACAGAACTGAGCCCAAGACCCAGCTGGCAGGTCTGCCCAAGAACACCTGTCCTCATTCCCAGAACACACCTTTTTCAAGTTGATCCAGACATAGAGGCCAGAGCTGCGGTTGTGAAAAGGGATCTCCAATGCCTTCAGCTCAGCAGTGATGTACTTGTGAGCTTCCCGGAGCCGGTAGCAATTGGTGGGTAGGTATACTTTGTCAATCCATTCTGGATGGGTAGAGGAAAAACACTGTCACAGATATTACTACAGAAATCTACCGAGAGTTCCTTCCCAAATGCTCCCTTCCTGGGCTTCATGCAAGTTTGTTTGTTTGTTTTTGTTTTGTTTGTCTGTTTTTAAAAAAAACAAAAAAACCAGAGTTTCCCTCTGTCACCCAGGCTGGAGTGCAGTGGCACAATCTCGGCACACTGCAATCTCCACCTCCTTGGCTCAAGTGATTCTCATGTCTCAGCCTTCCAAGTAACTGGCACTACAGGCGTACGCCACCACACCCAGCTTATTTTTGTATTTTTAGTAGAGATGGGGTTTCACCATGTTGGCCAGGCTGGTCTCAAACTCCTGGCCTCAAGTGATCCACCTGCCTCTGCCTCCCAAAGTGCTGGGATTTTAGGTGTTAGCCACTGCACCCTGCAAGCTATTTCTAAGACTAACTCTAGTATGTTTGAGCTGATGGTGTCCACACCTGATACACCCACCTCTTATCTAAGGCTCTGGTAGAGACACTGGGCTTCTCAAAGGTCTAGTAGGAAAGTTCTCTTTGAGTTCACAGCCCTGAGGCAAGGAGTCAATCCCCTAATAGGGGTTGATGCTGTTGTTGTTAACTGGGCAAGCAGCAGGGACTCGCAGCTCCTACCACCCGAATTTGAGCCTCATACAATGGAGTCGGAGGAATATATGTGTGCCTGGGGATGCTCTTGGCCAGTTGCCCTCTGCATTCATAGAACAGAACCACTTGGGGAGCTGTTAGAAGCCCTGATGCTCAGGCTATATCAGGATCTTTGAAGATGGAACACACGTCAGTATTTAAGCTCCCTGGGAAACTCCCACGTCCATCCAAGATTGAGGACTAGCGTTCAAGGGGCTGGGATCTGGTTTCTGCCAAGTATCAAAGGTCTTGATATCTAGGGAAGCATTCAGTTGGATTTCTCCTATCTACCTCTCTCCCCTCCCAGAGCTGAAAGCAAATTGTTTTCTAAATCAGCAAATATAATGACATCAGTTTGTTTCATTATATCCCAGCTATTAATTAAAACTTTCAGCTTGGTATCTGTTCTATTACAGGGAACTAAAGAAAGTGAGTCTCTAAGCTTGGGCCATGGCTTTAAAGGGGAAAGTCCCTTCTGAGGCCAGCATTCACTTGAGATCCAAGCAAGGGGACGATGAATCTAGGTACCACAGGCCTAGCCACACCAACCTGCCCAAATGGCAGCTCTCCTCTGGCCACCTTGGAAGATGAGATTATGTTGTATTAGAAGAATCAGAGTGTTTGTGTTGTTTTTGGTTTTATAATCTTTGTCTAAAGCAAACAGAGTTTTGGGGAGGGAAAATCTATATTCACATAAAGACTAATTTCTGAAGTTCCTACCTTCACAACTTAGAGTACGATTAGCCATCCCACATCTGGGTAGAACACAAGCTACCAGACATCCAGAAATTAAAGCTCATCCTGTAGTTTTTTGTTTTTGTTTTTTGAGACAGAGTTTCACTTTTTCTACCCAGACTGGAGTCAATGGCGCTGTCTTGGCTCACTGCAATCTCTGCCTCCTGGGTTCAGGAGATTCTCCTGCCTCAGCCCCCGAAGTAGCTGGGATTACAGGCGTTTGCCAGCATGCCTGGCTAATTTTGCATTTTTAGTAGAGACCGGGTTTCACCTTGTTGGCCAGGCTGGTCTCAAACTCCTGGCCTCAAGTGATCCGCCCACCTCGGCCTCCCAAAGTGCTGGGATTACAGGCGTGAGCCACCATGCCCGGCCTCATCCTGTATTTTAAAACAGCACCTCCATCTTCTGCCTACACCCTGCTGTGTTATCTGCCCTATCTTGCCCTCCTTCAAACCTCACATCTTACCACAGTTAAATCTGAGACAGGAAATAGGGTCTCAGTATATTAAGGGCACATCAGAGGCCCAAGCAAATCCAAGAATTCCCCATGGCCATGAGGTCCAGCCAACATGCTGGTCTGTGCTAGAGCTCAGTACCTGTGTTCTGGAGCAGTTGACACAGCTTGTGCTGGGTGATGCCAGAAATACTGTGGAGGTAGCCAAAGGCACTCACAGCAGAGGCCACCTCCTTGTTGTGGGTATACAGAGCACCAAAGCGGAAGCCAGAGATGCCAAAATCCTAGAGGAAGAAAAGCAGGAACAGGAACAAGTGTTTTGTCTGCCTTCTATTCCTGGCTCCTCCTCCTTCCCTAGCCAAGGAGAGAAAGCAATGGCTCACCTTACTGGTACCCCAGATCACATGGGTCCTGTTGCTATCAGGCAAACTGAAGAAGAAGTGGAAAAATTAACTAAGGTTATAGAGAAATAGTTGATGAAGATTTGGGGTATAAGAGGGGAAAGTAGATTTGAGGTTGGTCCTAGACAGAAGGGCCTATAGGGCCCAAAGCTCAAGAAACAGTTGTCCCAGTTAAGCCAGGAAGTCAACACAAGGTATTCCTGAAGACCTAGAGGGCACAGAACCCAAGTGCCCACTGAATGAAGTCTAGGGCCTTCAGCCTGACATGTGGCTCTCCTACAGCTTGGCCAAAGCCACTTTCCTGGCAGTTGGCTCTTCAGATGTGGGTCACCATAATTTCTAGAACGTGCCCGAGTATTTCCTACTGCTCCACCTTTGGTGAAGCTATTCCTTCTGCCAGGCATTTCCTTCCCTTGCTTTGAATGCTGGAATCCCATCTCTATGGCCAGATACTACCCTTCAGAAGGTTCTGCCTCCTTTTTCTTTCCCTGTGCTCTACTTATCAAGAATCTCCTACCCTGGCATTTTATGAGGCTTTATTTTGACCTTTGACAGTAGACTTTCTACCTTGACCTCAAATTATCTTCTACACAAAATGGCATATAGACTAGAAGACATTTAGAGGGAAAGATGATGCTTTGTTTGTATTCACAGGCCCTGTGGGCAGTTAACTGGCTATGTGCTAGGAACTGAGTTAAGTTCATGTCACATAAACTCACCCTGCAAAACAAGAACCTTGTGGTTCTCGTTCCCAACTCCAGCTGAGACCAGCTCACCTTTTCATGCTCAGAATGCTGTGGAATGTGATGGATTCATCAAACACAGACAGCATGTAAATCTCATCTATGATCACATGTAGGTTATACCTGTAGATTAGATGAAAGAAGGAGAACAAGATCTAGCTTCTCTCTAATCTTTTTTCTTTGCATGCTTTTTACAAGCATCTTTGTAATCTTAAGTCATGTCTTTTATGGTGTTCTCTGGACACAGATCATGCACTCCTACTGCCCCAGCAGCCCATCTGACCCTCCAAGGGGCATAGTAAGGTAGATGGGGTGGTACATCAGAAGGGACCCTTAGACCTAGCTTGGGGGTAATGGGAAGGAATAGGATGCAAAAGACACATATGAGAACATCTTGTCTAACCTTAGCTAACCATTCAACCATCAAGCAGAGACTATGGGAAGAGGTTGGGTAGCCCAGAGAATTTTTAACTGGTAGAGTCAGGAGCTCCTAACTGCTTATGTGCCTCATTCATTCTCCCAACAACCCTCAGTACTGTCATCTCCATTTTAGATGAAGAAACTAAGGCGGGCCGGGCATGGTGGTTCAGGCCTGTAATCCCAGCACTTTGGGAGGCCGAGGTGGGTGGATCATGAGGTCAGGAGTTCAAGACCAGCCTGGCCAACATCGTGGAACCCTGTCTCTACTAAAAATACAAAAATTAGCTGGGTATGTTGGCGCATGCCTGCAGTTGTAGCTACTCAGGAGGCTGAGGCAGGAGAATTGCTTGAACCCAGGAGACAAATGTTGCAGTGAGCTGAGATCCCACCACTGCACTCCAGCCTGGGTGACAGAGCGAGACTCCATCTCAAAAAAACAAAAAACAAAAAAAAAAAAGAAAGAAAGAAAAAAAGAAACTAAGGTTCTGAGCTGTAAAGTCAATTCCCTCAATTAGCAGCTGCTATAGCTGGGAAGTGAACCCATTCTATCCAATTCTTGCCTACCCCCTCTAGCATTTTTCCTCCTGACCACACACTGCACCATTCATTGGTCTGTGTTAGTCATGAAGTTTGACTAAGTCTGTTTCTTATGGAAAATGGAAGGTTATAATTTCTAGAACGTGCTCTTAGAAAGGAATGTGAAGTTCTATAGGAACACGTCTTCATCCCACAAGGTCTGAAAGTGTCTTCCTCGGCACTCCAGCCCAAGTGGCTTCGGAAATGGATGCTGGGAGAAAGTACTTAAGCTTAAGTAGAGAAGTAACAAATTATATATTTTTAAGTGACATATTTCTCAGAAAACAAAACTATATTTTGACTGTTATATAAATGTCAATACATAGGCTGAGGCTAGAAAGGAAATGGCAAAAAATTTGAAGTGGTAAGCATGTGATTGCGTTTTCCTTCATTTTAATTTCAGTTAGTTTTACATAACTCTGCAAAGTATGGTGTATAGTGAGACCATTTAGGGTAAATTACTTTTTGAGACAAAGTCTCACTCTATTGCCTAGGCTGGAGTACAGTGGCATGATCTCGGCTCACTGCAACCTCCTCCTCCCGGGCTCAAGCAATTCTCATGTCTCAGCCTCCCAAGTAGCTGGGATAGTAGGTGCCCACCATGATGCCTGGTTAATTTTTGTATTTTTAGTAGAGACAAGGTTTCACCCTGTTGGCCATGCTGGTCTCGAACTCCTGACCTCAAGTGATCCACCTTCTCGGCCTCCCAAAGTGCTGGGATTACAGGCATGTGCCACCAGATCTGGCTCTTGATTACTTGACTATAAGTGATGGGAATCCTTTCAAGAAACATTACCTAGTCTCAAGGGGTAGAACTCATACCTCTTGGCAAATTCCAGGTATTTCATCAGTGAGTCTGGGGAGTAGATGTCACCCAGAGGATTCTGAGGGTTGATTAGCACAAGGCCTCGGACCTTTTTCCCCTAAGAAAAACCCAAATATAACTGAGTGAATACAAGTCCTTAGCATCTACCCTAAATTCAGCCAAGGATCTTTTATAGGTTAGGCACCCAAAAAGGCCTAGGTAGGGTCTTGAAGCAGCAACTACTATACTGCCCAAAGAGGGGAAACAGGAAGGAAGTCTGGGGCTGCCATAACATCCCCACAGGACTAGAGGGACACACCCCTGGATCATTTACTGTCTCTTCCAACTAAGGACAGCCCACCAGGTCTTGGTGAATAAGCAGTACCAGAATTTCAATACTCAAACCCCTTTTAGGACCAGCAGTGGCCATCCTAAAAATATGGTTCCCACCTTACCTCAAGCCTAGCTTCAAGCAGGGCTTCCTCTAACTTGTCCACAGTGAGCTGGAAAGGATGGGTGTTTGTAACAGTGACCTGGAAGAGAAACACTATGTGAGAAGTGTCTCTTAAAATCTAAGTCTTGATTCCTCATTCCCATAAGCCCCGCAATCCTTTGCCTTCATACCAGAGTGCCAGTCCACATGCCTTCTCCACCCCTACCCAACCACTTAGATGGGTAGAAAGCAAGCCCCTCTACCCCTTTAGGTGTCCCCAGAACAGTCCATTGTCTAGGCATACTGAGCAGGGAAGGGGCCCCATTCAGACCTCACTCTCCAGGTGGACAGGAATCAACTCAACCTTTGCATACAGGCGGGAGCTAAAGGCAAAGCCACCATAGAAGGGAGCAGGGACCAGGAAGGCCTCTGGAAACACAGAGAGACAGAGCTATCAGTCCAAAGTCTCCCAATCAGAGCCTGTTGCCAGGCTCCCCAAACTAGCAAAGCTATCGACAGAAAAAAAGTCAGTTTCACGATCCTTTCTACCTGGGGATTAATGTTCTTAGGTTCAGGTGCTATGAAAGTTATCCATTATTATAGACATCACTGGGGGAAACAAAACTCTAGTTTCTTCTTTGCGGGTACACTAGAGAAGAAGAGGGAAGAATATCACTGAGTAACTCAGAATCCAGGGCACAAGTCAAGCGAGGCTCACTAGCAGATGGAGCAATGGTTATCAGGAAAGTCTCAACAGATTCAGGCCAAATATCAGAGGTCAAGGTCCATGCACAAGGAGGGCTCCAGTTATTTGGACATGGTGATCTCACGTTCTTTTCTTCCCATCCATTTGGCCTTACTGATGAGCTGAGAGAAGCTCCTTTGCAGGAAAGGGACTATCTTAGCACTTCTTTTGATGCATCCAGAGCTCTTTAACATTGGAGCCTCTTGCTTAAGCATTGTTACCGGGGAGGTTCAGAACAGTCCACTCAACCTTGTTGGGTCCAGGACTAATTAGCCTTTTTCTGAAGAGATAAGAAATCTATATTGTCTGAGTCCATTGCCATGGCTGTCTGTATTGCAGCTGAGCCCAAAAGCCCAGCCATGAACATAGTAGGTAGGCTCCCATCATCATTCCTGGGGCATACCTCCTTGAGGTCCACCATGTCTCTCTTCCCTTAAATGGAGAATCCAAACCCCTTGTTCCCACAGAAATAGGAAGATAACCTAGTCAGTGTGGGAGAAGGCCCACCACTTTGGGGAAAAGGCCTTGAGTCAGGATGCTCTTCTTCCTCAAAGTCCAGTGCCCGTGTGTTCCTACCTGTGTTGCTAGTATTTCACTGAGAGTGAAAGGAGAGCCCACTGACTTACCGCCTGGATCACACAGAACCATGGCCAGGGCACAGAAGACAGAGCAGCAGCCATTTAGAACCACCACCTGAAGACAACACATGAGAGGCAGAAGTCAAAACCAATACCTATGTGAGAAGGGGTAGCCATGCTTTCTCCATCCCCCTGGGCAGAACAGGCACAGGGAGCCTCCTCAGTTGGGACACATTGGCCTTCATGCTGCCCTGGCCCTGAGAGTCTTCACTGGTTCTCCTTGTACCCCCTAGAAAGGGCAGAGCATCCTCCAAGAATATAGCCCTCCACCAGGGTGGCAGCAAGGCTGGGAAACTGACTCACATTTTCTGGGTCAAGTCGGGTAGGTGCCCTGCAGTAGTAGGTCAGGAACCGGGCCACTTCTTCCCGCAGGCTGTAAACAGACCCAGAGAGACCTTGTGGCTTCCGGGCCCCTTTCCTCACTCATGGTCTAGATGGTCATTGTCCAGCCTAACAGGGACCTTTTCTACTCAGTCCAACCTCATATTACAGGGCTACTGACTAAGACCATCAACTCCCCAAGTCACACAGACAATAAATGAGAGTTGGGACAAGAACTTAGGCCTTGGCCGGGCACAGTGGCTCATGCCTGTAATCCCAGCACTTTGGGAGGCCAAGGCGGGTGGATCACAAGGTCAGGAGATCAAGACCAAGCTGGCAAACATGGTGAAACCCCGTCTCTACTAAAAATACAAAAAATTAGCTGGGCGTGGTGGCGGGCACCTGTAGTCCCAGCTACTCGGGAGGCTGAGGCAGGAGAATGGCCTGAACCCAGGGGGCAGAGCCTGCAGTGAGCTGAGATAGCACCACTGCACTCCAGTCTGGGTGACAGAGTGAGACTCCATCTCAAAAAAAAAAAAAAAAAAAGAACTCAGGCCTTTTGAATTATTCCTACTATACCAGAATAACTATTCCTACTATACCAGGCTGCCTCCTGATGAAGTTTTGCTCTAGGCATTTTCTAGAAGTTATTACCCAAAGAGATAGGGAGGTAACCAACCAGGAATTTGGTGCCTTGAATCCTCCTTCTGGATAAGGACAGCTGCCTGTGGGACCAAGAGACTCTAAATCTGAAGGTCACTTACAATGGCTGCCCTCTCCAATCAGGGTACTGAAGCAAGGTGTCCTCAATGCAGTTCATGTCACTTTCTTGCAACTGTTGACAAATAGAACATGAAGACAGGTAGGCCAGGGAAGTTCAAGAGGCCTCATTCTACTCCTAGTTTGTACATGAGTGTTTGCCCTCCACATACATGACCTCCTAGAAAGGGAATGGGTATATACACTGCATGCTCCTTAATGAATGGAGGCTACCATCTTGTCATAAATTACACAAGTAGATACCTCACTGGGAAGTATTTGACCCAGAGGTTCCCATAGCAACTTTCCCACCATATACCTAATCAGAGAATATCTCTGGACAGTCAGCAAAGCCAGGAGGTTAAATGTGCTATTCTAGAAGCTATTTCTTCACTCCTCTTCCCAGGCTCCTATGTCTCACCCCTGTATCTACCATAGCTCAGGAGCACGCTAGGGGGACTAAGCCTTGAAGGGGTGGGTCCCAACACAGCCCAGAACATCCTTACTCTTTCAGTCATCAGATCCATGCAGAGCTTGTTCTCACTGGTGCCAAGGTTAATGAAACCCTGGAGATGGAAGGAATCCAAGATCAGGTCAGTCCTCTTGCTCCACCCTACATAGATCCCTTGAAACATTAGTTCAAATGGAGATCTCACTGCCTATGAGGCAATTCAATCCAAATTTGACAACTTTACACGTTAGGAAAGCTTTCCATGAACCCAAAATAGTACAGCTTGCAAATTTCCCCATTAGAGCCACATAAATAAGTTATGTCCTATCGACCAGTCATTGAGTTCTTATTATGTACCAGATACTAGACCAAGTGCTTCTTGTGAGTTGTCTTAATTCCTGAAAAGAAGGTTCTATATAATCCAGTTTAAAGAGTGAAGTTTAGAAAAGTTGAATAGCCTACTAGCCATGTGACCTTGGGTGAAAAGTAGAACTCTACCTACCTGACGCCTGAGCCTGGACCCTTAATCCCCAAGGCCCCATCTGGCACCTACCTCTGCTACTTCTCCTTACACATTAGGGCCTTCTAAGTTATTAGAGGAGAACAGAGATAGGAACAGAAGGGGAAGGTATAGCTAATGTCACCCTCCACCCTCTGGCTGGAGAGCTGCTAAGGACCCCCTTTCCTGGAAGCCTTTCATCAGTTCCCCATCGCCCTTAGGGTAACATTCCTTTTTTTTTTTTTTTTTTTTTTTTTTGAGACAGGGTCCCACTCTGTCACCCAGGCTGGAGTGCAGTGGCGCGATCTCAGCTCACTGCAACCTCCAGCTGCCGGGGTCAAGTGATCCTCCCACCTTAGCTTCCCAGATAGTTGGGACTATAGGTGTGTGCCACCACGCCTGGCTAGTTTTTGTATTTTTTGTAGAGATGAGGTTTCACCATGTTGCCCTGGCTGGTCTCGAATTCCTGGACTTGAGCGATCCACCAACCTTGGCCTCCCAAAGTGCTGGGATTACAGGCATGAGCCACCACGCCCAGCCTCTTAGGGTAACATCTTAACACCTCCCATCCACCTCTGTTCACACCTCCTGCCACAGCACCAGTGGTCCCTACTCTGGCCATTGGACCTCCTTTCCCAATCACTCCTAGCCCTTCGCATCTTGAAGGTTTCACGTGTGCTGTTCCTCCTGCCTGGAGGGTCATGGCCATGGCCATCACCACATGGCTGGCTGATTCAGCCTTTAAGACCTCTTCCCAGACCACCTGAAGTGGGCATCCCTTTCACGTTCTTGGGAAGATTATTAATGCCTGTGCCCCAGTGGCTGACTCCATTCATCACTACGCTAAGTTCTTTAACGGCAGGCTCATTTGTCCCTGTGACCACAGGGGCCAACTCCTAATAATTAAGAGCTGGGATTAGGGAGAGGGAGGGATGTGGGGGTGGATGGAGTTCTCTAACTTTCTGGGGCATGTCACTTTATTTCTGTAATTATTCCCTTATCTGCAAGATGACAAGAGTGCCCGTTTCATAAGGCTATAAAGAATGAGAGCATATATAGCACTTGGCCCAGGACTCAGTAAATCCAAGTGACTGGAGCCCGTGAGGATGCTGCCCACCCCCCACCCCAAATTCTCACCAAGGTGTTCTTGTCCTTATGATATTTATCTTTTTGGTAGGCATTGTAGTCCTGGAAGCTCGACTGATAAAAGACAGAGATGTCAATCCCACGGATGGATAGGTCGCGGTTGACAAAGGCAGCTTCACAATCACTCAGTTGGGGAACTGGATCAGGCTGCCCAGAGAGTTGGGCCCTCTGCCCATATCTGACATCACCCCTAGAGTCCTCAGAAGGAAGAGGCACTTGGAGCTCCAGGCCACTCGCGGCCCCAGACTGTAGGAGGTTGATCATCCGGCATATTAAGCGACTCAGAAGGGCTTCATGCTCACAGATGGCCTCAGTGTGCCTCCTTTCCTCCAGCGACAGGCCCTGTCTGCTCGTCAGCTGCACGAAGTGCTCCGTCATGGCCTGCTGCAAGTGCAGCGTTATCTCCAACAGCTGGGTATAGATGCTGTGGTCTCTGGGGACCCGGCCTCTCCTCTGACCAGAGGGCACAGGAAGGGTGTCTGACCGATGACTCATACTCCGGGTATCTTTACTGGCCTCTGAAGGCTGCCTGGCACCTATGGAGAAAGAGACCATTGACAATGGAGCAAAGGAGGATCTCCTGGACCCTCAGGTCCAGGAATGGATGGAGACAGAACAGATCTCAGATCTGTTCTTCTCACTTCCATGCCTTGGTTATATGACCAGATTGGTTCATGAAGAGTTACCTACTCTTTAGGGCAATGAGTACATGGCCTCAAGCCTAGACACTGAGTGCTCTATTTAAATGGCATTAGGATGTGTTCTGAGGAAGAGCAGGGGGATATGAACAAGGAGGCTCTGGATTTTCCACCCCGTTCTTCAACCTGAGCACTTCCTGCTTTGTTTGGTTAAATAGGAAAAAAGGGTTTCTACTGCTCAAAAACAATCACCATCACTACCCACTGAGTAAAACATTCTGCTAGAATAAACTAATGCCTGAGGGCCAAATCTGGCCTGCCACTTATTTTTGTAGATAGTTTTATTGGAACACAGCCCCATTCATTTATTTATGTCTTGATTATGGCTGCTTTTGTGTTACAATGGCAGAGTTTAATAGTCATGACAGAGACCACGTGACAGAGACCATGTGGTCCACGAAGCCTAAAATATTAACTGTCTGGCCCTTTACATAAAAGGTTTGCCAAGCCCTGTTGAAGAACATCAGCCCTTCTTTTTGCCTTTTCTTCTCCAGGTTGGCCATACCAGATACTCAAAGCCTTTAGATTCCTCAGTTCCTCTATCCTCACTTGGCTTCCTGCAAATGCCTTCCACCTACTCACTGTGACAGCTGCCTTAGGCTTCCATCACTTGTAACTATGGGCTAGGTACATGGCTCTCAAACTTTGAAGTCCATCAGAATCACCTGGAGGGCGTGGTAGGAAACAGATGGTGAGACCTCACCCCTGAATTTTGAGTCAGTATGTCTGGGGTGAGACCTGAGAATCCTCATTTCTAGCAAGTTCCTGGGACTATACTTAGCAATTTTGTTTTGTTTTGTTTTTGTTTTTTTTTGGAGGGACTGGGTCTTGCTCTATCACTCAGACTGAATTGCAGTGGCATGATTATGGCTTACTGCAACAAACTTCCAACGATTAGGATTAACCTTCCTTTTGAAAACAAGTTAAATACTGAACGAGACCAAAAAATACCTTTTAAAGCCTCAAAGAATCAATAAATCAGATAGCAAGATCCCAGAAGGTAGGAAAGCTTGAGGCCAACAGCTGCCACTACTTCTTTAAGACAATCCTTATATCCCAAGATATCAAGACCCTTTTTTCTAAAAATCTAGACCTATGCCCATTCCACCAAATGCTACAATTCCAAGTTTTTCCCCCTAAGTAACATCCCCCTACACACACACAAACACAAAAAAAAACCTCGTTGCTTCTTTTATAAATTTAGGGCACCAGTACTTCAGAGTACCAAACACTCTGTCCAACTTCTTCAAACCATGTTCAGTTTGCCTGTGATGTTCCCATTGCAACCTATACCTCACCTTAGTGACATTTAATATTGTTACTTGTTCAGTGTCTGCCCAGGTCAGCCTTCAGTATTACATTCTTAGCACAGTACCTTGGCACATGGGCAACTAACATAGTTAATGAGTAGGAGAGGCATAACCACAAGGATGTTGCCAAGTCAGGGAAGAGATGAGCCATAAATGAAGACTTTGGCCATGGAAGATGGAGCAATAGACAGAGAAAGCCACAGAACAAAGCTGTATCAAGTCTTGACTTACGATCCCAACCTTTAATCATAATGCAAAAACTTTATTCAGTGTTAGGAACATACTGATGAGAAAGAAATTGAACAAATATAAGTGTTTATGCCTAGAGAAACCGTCTCTTCCACAAGCAAGAACTTTGCCCTGGCCCAAATTCCCTGTCCTAGAAGAGATTCATTTTAATGGGGCTCTCAACTCTGTAGGTAAGTCACACTATCTTTCCAAATACTTGATTATCATAGAGCATTGCAAGGGCCAGGTGAGATTCCTTTGGTTTTGCCTTCCAAAAGGTGGTGCCTATCATCCCTGTTGGTCCTGCGGAGTGCTAGTGGAAAGAGCCAAGATCGGGGTGGTAACCTCCCTCCAATGAACAAGAAGCTATTGTCACCAGGCATCTTCTTCCTTTTCCCAGGACTGGAATTACACATTGAGTATCTTTGCCCTGTGTCACCTTAACAACAAAGTCAAAGATGGGACAGCTCTTTGGACAGCTCTGTAACATCAGCCAGCTCAGCCCATGGTCCCAGAATTTTAGTTATTCCAGTTCAGTTAAATTAGGGGCTCTTAGACTTCTTGCCATGGAAGTCCTTGCTGTTACCAAAGTCCCACTAGTCTGCCCCATATACCAAGCACTCAGCCGGGGACTCCAGGCACATAGGAAATAGGGACCAGGATGCGGCAGGGAAGCTGGAGGCCAGTGTGGCCTAGTAGGCAAATGGAGGAGGAAACTTGTTTAAAGTAGTTTGAATGAGAACCCCCCAGGGCAGATTTATATAGCAAACATGGGGGCCAAGGCAGGTAACTGAAAGTAATGCGTTTTCCTGGTAAAAATGTTTTGGTTTTTTTGTGGGGGGGGTTGTTTGTTTTTGAGACAGAATCTCACTCTCTCGCCCAGGCTGGAGTGCACTGGTGCAATCATGGCTCACTGCAACCTCTGCCTCCTGGGCTCCAGCGTTCCTTCCACCTCAGCCTCCTGAGTAGCTGGGACTACAGGCACATTCCACCACACCCAGCCAATTTTTGTGTATCTTTTGTAGAGATGGGGTTTCATCATGTTGCCCAGGTTGGTCTCAAATTCCTGGGCTCAAGTGATCCTCTCGCCTCAGCCTCCCTAAGTGCTAGGATTGTAGGCAGGAGCCACCATGCATGGTCCCAAAAATGTGTTCTCTGATAACAAAGTGAGTATGCAGCAAGGCCAGGAGTAAACCTAGAAGCTGGACTTCTGCCAAGACTCATCTTTCTATGGGAAAAGTCTATTGTAAATGACACCATTCCACAAAGGCAACAATGCCCCTATTCCTCAGCCCTAAGTTGTCTGGTACCGGGGGTATACCAATCCTCTCCTCAAGTCTCCTTGGCTATACCATTGGTTTCAGTATTCGTCAGCCTCCCACCATCTACCTTTCCATTCACCCGGGGGCCTTCTCTAGCAGCTAGAACCAGTATCCCAGGATCAGCCCAGTAGATGCTAGCAGCCTTTTGACAAGAGCTGAAAGACAGATCATGAACAGAAGTTGGGAAGGAGAAATGAATGTGGGAAATGAAGTGGGAACAGGCTGGCAGTTCACTTTTGATGCCAGCACATGGCTATACTGTTTACAGAAGGATACTTCTAATATCACTTTTTCTAGTGCCCTACAAGCCCTTATAACTCTTCCAGCCTTCCTTCTTCTTGCCACACACCAGCCTCCTCTGGTGTCTCAGTACTCTCACCTAATTCAGATTCTTCCTTCTGGGTATGGCAAGTATGATAGGGATTGCAGAATCGTCTTCATGTGCATGTAAGGGGAAGCAAGTTATTTGGGGATATAGATCCCTAAATACAAGGTGCAAAATTGAAAGCTCAAGTAGAAGTACCCTTGACAGGCCTAGGCTCTATTCTATAATTGCTGCTCACTAACTGTAGGATGTTGGAAGAATTACTTCCCCTGTCTGGGCATCAGTTTCTCCGTATGTAAGATGAGAAGAATGTGATGAAACTGAAGCCCAGTGAAGATAAGTACCTTCTAGGGTCTCACATTAGAGCCAGGATTTAAACCCCAAGCCTCCCATTTTAGCCCTAGGAAGCAGAGTGAACTAGTAGAAAACCAGTCCTTGCATGAACTCCAGCCTGGCTTCATGTCACATAATACCCAGAAAGTCTCAAGTTCTGAGATTGGGTTAAATCATACCGTATTTTGGTGACTCAAAATTCCAGGTAGAAGTAAGCAAACACTCTGGAAGCTGCTACCATAGAGTATATTTCTCAAAGCATTTTTAAAATATTGTGTCCAGCATATAGAAAATCAGGTACATAAATAAACAGCATGACCTAAAACCACCAGCACAGACAAGAGAAAGACCAACTGGTCTCCAGCTATTGGGAGTAGATTATAAAATAATTGCTTTTCTGTTGAAGGAGATAAAATCCAAGTTTAAAAATGGAAAGAAAATTAAAATTTATTAAAATAACAGATTTGAAGGAAAACAGGAGATCCCCAGAGGTTACAATATAAAGACCAAAAATTTAAAACCTCTAAAGATAAAATTACTAACCTGGAAGAAGAGGCTGAAGAAGCTTTCTGGAATAAGGCATGAAGACAAGAGAAAGTAAGAGAATATGAAAAAATCTAATACACACACAGATGTATTTTTTTGGAGTCCCAAAAGAAGAGAAAATGGGACAAAAATCATTTGAATAAGCTGTATCTTCAGTGCTAGATAGTTAGACATCAAAGCATGGATTCAAGAAGTCCAAATGCTAACTGGGATAAGGAAATCTACACTATATAGTGAAACTACAAAAAACAAGACAAAGATAACATCTCAAAAGCAATCCAGGAAAAAAATGTACCTTTCAAGGAATAACAGATCAAAAGCTAACTTCATCAACAGTGGAAACCTGAAGACAGTGGGATGTCATTTTCAATGTACTGAAAGAAAATAACTCCACTTAGAATCTTGTGACCATCACAGGATCAGTATTTCCACAGGCAATACCAATTCCTCAGACTAGTGGTTGCCAGGGGAGGCGTGTAGGAAACTGACTGCACTGGGGCCCAAGGAACTTTTCTAGGGAAATGGAGGTGATCTCTATTTGATGGAGTGGTAGGTAGATGGTGATAGCCATTTGTCCAAGCTCAAACGGTATACTTATGAATCTTATCAGACTTAAATAGATTTAAAATGTAGCTATAGCGAACTAAGTCTCTGCTAGAATATAAATAGCTAAATACGTTTATTTTTGAGACAGGGTCTCACTCTGTCACCGAGACTGGAGTGCAATGGTGCAATCAGAGCTCAATGCAGCTTCAACTTCCCAGGCTCAAGCAATCCTCCCACCTCAGCATCCCGAGTAACTGGTATCACAGGCACACACCACCATGCCCAGCTAATTTTGTTGTATTTTTTGTAGAGACCAGGTCTCACCTTGTTGCCCAGGCCAGTTTCAATCTCCTGGGCTCAAGTGATTTGCCCACCTCAGCCTCCCAAAGTGCTGGGATTACAGGTGTGAGCCACTGCACCCAGTCAACAACTTTATTTTAAATGCTAGCCTTTCCAGTGGAAAGACCAGGATGGGGTTGGGCCTCATACTTACACAGGATATTTGCATAATTATTTTATAGTAGAAAAAAGTGAGCTAGTTCCAAAAAAGACAAGCTAAAAAAACAAAAAAAACAAACAAAACAAACAAAAAAAAAACAACCAGGAAGGCTAGGCATGGTGGCTCACACTTGTAATCCAAACATTTGGGAGGCTGAGGCAAGAGAATGGCTTGAGGAGTTGGAGACCACCCTCATCAACATAGTGAGATCTCATCTCTACAAAAAAAAATAAAAATAAAAATAACAGGAGAAAGCATGTACACAGAAATAAGGACTAAAGACTATTTTGAATAGTTCTATGGCTACACTTCAATCTGGATGAAGTGGACAATTTAGTATAAAAACTGAATTTATTAGTCCTAATCCCAGAAGAGAAATAAAATCTGAACAAATCAGTTCCCATGGAAGTTAGAAAAGAGCTAACTCCCTAAGAAAGTAACTGGCCCAGACTGTCTCACAGGTGAATTCTACCATATATTTAAAGGAGTATATTACTCCAATGCTATTTAAATTGTTTTAGAGAAGAAAAACCCCATACTTTATAGTCAAATAAATAGTGATAAAGATTTGATGAAGTTTAATGAACTATGGATGAATTTCACCTATGAGTAGATTATCAATATCTTAAAAGCTGAATAGCATTCAGCAAATGGAATCCAATGGCACCATAAAATAACCTTATGACCAAGTGGGGTTATATGAGAATGTAAGACTAGTTTAATACTATTATTTATATCAACTTTTCATTAATAGATCCTAGGGAGTTTCAAAAAATCAATTATATCTATAGATGCTAAAAAGATACCTGACGAAATTCAGCACCCATTCTTTATTTAGACAACTTATTTAAATGAATGGTACCTATTTAACATGAAACATCTCTCAGCTAAAAAGCCAGCCTCCTACACAATTGGGAAACAATGGAGGGATTCTCATAAACAAGATAAGGCCTACCTATTGTCTCTGCTAAATATCTAACATTGTACCAGCAGTCTCAGCCAAGAATATTAGCCAAGGTAAGAAATTTGAGTCAGAAAAGGGAATTTGAACTATCACTATCTACAGACTACTACTATACATCTGGAAAACACAAGAGAATTAAAGGAAGATCTACAAGAGTTTAACATAGTTGTAGAATAGGGGCCCATCTCATGTTTTTATAAAGTTTTATTGGAACACAGCTATGCCTATGTTGCATATACACATAGGTCAGACTTTGGTAAACACTAGACTAGCATTTTCAACCTATCCTAGAGGTTCAAATATAAGGACCAAAAATGGAAAACCTCAACAAAAGGGTTTAGCAGGCAATTAGATATAGCTAAAAAGAAAATTAGTAATCTGGAAGAAAAGGCTGGTCACTTAGCTAAAAAGTGAGCCTAATGACTACCTAGCTGACCCATTCAAGTAGTTTCATTTTCACTTAACCCTAACAACTGCTGTGAGGTAAGAATTATCCCCAACTTTCAGATGACACGGTTAAGGACATAATTCATTACAGTCCATTGAATTTAGCAAGGTCCCCAGATATGACCTGAATGATTATGAATGACGTAAACTATTCATGGGGGACATAGAATTCTCTGAACCACAATATTACCAAAGACAGCTAAAACATTATTCAAGCACTGCCTCAAGTCAGGCTCTGGTCTAGGTTCCTTATGTATTTTATGTTATTTAATTCTCAAAACAGTCCTATTAGGAGGGTACCATCATTAGACTCACTTTACAGGTGAGAAAACAGAGGCTCAATGAATCACACAAGATGGTACGAGTAGGACGTGGAAAGGGGAGCTTCAAACCCAAGTTGGTCAACCTCAGGCCCCATTGCCCTTATAAACATTCCTCCTTAAGGCCTCTCCCTGGAAGGGCGCACATACTCTCAAAGCTTGGCATTCACTTTTGGGGATCCATGAGCCACCTAAGTCCATGAGGGACCCTACCTCACTGGAGGCCCAGGAGCCCTAGGCATCACCGGGTCCAAAGTACCTCTCTCACTCTACATCCCACAGCTCACATTACCCTGCCACCAGCACTTACCTCTGTATCTGTTTTCACTCTTCTTTTCTCTGGCCTAGAAACTGACTGAGCAAACCATCATTGACTGTCAGCACTCAGGGACCTGCTCTGCCGCCCTCCTCACTGAATGTGTTTACCACTGTGGCCTGCATGTTCTGCTTGTAGGCACAAGGTGACTTTAGAGGTAATAATAAGATCCACCTTTTCCCATCCAGGGTGATCTTCCCCAGGAATTCCCTATTACCTAAAGTGGGCTTTCTTTGCCCCATTACAGAGAAAAGGCTTTGCAACGCCCACCCAGGGAGAACCACTCATTGAAGCCACGGTTCTCAAACTTTGGAGGGTATTGGCATCACCTGGAGAACTAATCAAGTGCTACAGGACCAGGCTCTTTGAAGTAGGCTAGGCCTGGGCCTACGTACTTTATCAAGACCACCAGGTGATTCTAATACTTACAAACTACTGAGAACTACTAGAGCAAGGGACTCCCAATTAAAACACAAATGAGCTACTGACTTTTCCCCATATCTGAGGAGGTCATGATTTGAGAACAAGCTGAAGTGGGTTAACCCAGGGCAGAAAAGACAACTTGGCAAGAAAGATCAGGAAGGAGACCCAGGAGAGCTGGATCCCAATCTGCCCAGGCCCCCCTGCCTGTGTGGCCTTGGCAAACCCACCTAGCCTTTCTGGTTTTCAGTTTCTCCTTGTTAAAGATGGCAGTAATGAAACCTACCTCCCCGAGGGTGGTATGAGGACTAGACGGGAGCAGATATGCTAAAGTGATAGGGCAGGTGGAACCGCCCATGACTATGTGCTGTGGGCTTGCCAGGCTTGCCCTGGGCAGCTAGCTGCTGTGCTGCTTTCTCTAGGGGTCTACACAGAAGCAAGGCCAAGGCAGCCTGTAGCCCCAGAATACTCTGCCTTGTGCCTCTTTGCAAACTTTAATGAGAGCTTGTTTAACACACAGGTGCCTGGGCTCCACATCAGTAGGATTCCAATTCAGTAGGTGTATAACTGAACCCAGGAATGTGCATTTTATTTATTTTTTATTTCCATAGGTTTTTGGGAAACAGGCTGTGTTTGGTTACATGAGTAAGTTCTTTAATGATGATTTGTGAGACTTTGGTGCACCCATCACCCAAGCAGTATACACTGAACTCAATTTATAGTCTTTTATCTCTCACCCCCTTCCCATCCTTTCCCCCCGAGTCCCCAAAATCAATTGTGTCATTTTTATGCTTTTGCATCCTCATAGCTTAGCTCCCACTTATTAGTGAGAACATACAATGTTTGGTTTTCCATTCCTGAGTTACTTCACTTAGAATAACAGTCTCCAATCCCATTCAGGTTGCTGTGATTGCCATTAATTCATTCCTTTTTTATGGCTGAGTGGTAGGAATCTGCTTTTTAAAACAAGCATGACAGGTGATTCTGGAAGACTCTTGGAAAGACAGTGCCATAGTAGATTCCACACCTAAAGGAAGCATTAGCTGTGGGCAGGCACCTTACCCCAGAGGGCAGGACCTCACATATCCCCCATCCTGTCCTGCACTGGGAGCCCATCTCCTCTGTCATTTGTTTATTCATTCCCCATTCATTAAAAACAAAACTAAAAACAATCCACCGGGCACCTATTAGATACCAAGTATTGTCTTAGACCCTGGGAGCATCAAAATGAAGAAATAAATCCCCTGACTTGAAGGAGCCCCAGAATAAACTTTCCAATGGAAAAGTCTGATCCCCTATTTCCTGTGCTCAAGATCCTTTGACAGTTCCCCTTCACCTTACAGAGACTGCAAATTCAAATACCTTCAGGGACACAGTGGCGACACAAGTACAATGCTGACTTAAGGAAAAGGGAGAGGTTGGGGAGGACATAGGCTAATGGAAGCCTGCCTATTCCTCCAATAGGCATTCAAAATTTTTTAAAAAGTAAGGCCAGCCAAGCAAAGTCATTTTGCCCGTTGATTTCAGCCCTGTAGCCATCATTTGCAAGCTCTTCAGTGTGGCAAATAGAGCTTTGGAATAATCAGTCACATCTAGCTCCCTACTCTCATCCTTTGCATTCCTCTCCCCCTCACTCTACCCTCTAACTCTACCCTCTAACAACCCAAATCATTGAGCCTCCTTAACTCTCCCAGCACACCAGGATTTCTTGTTCCCCCGGGCCTTTGCACATGCTGCCTCTCCACTGGAAAGCCCTGTCAGAGGCTTGCCCACTCTGCGCATTCCTGCTTATACTTCAAGTCTAAGCTCTTTTATCACCTCCTCCAAGGAGCCTTCCTCCTTAACTCCTCAGGCAGATAAAGGGACCCATGCCTATGTTCCCACATACTTTGTTCATGCCCTCTGTATAAAACACAACAGGTAGGCAGTGCTTTAGAGTCTTGGCTCTAACATGAATCCAGCGTCTGGGCTACTCTGTCCTCAGATACCTGCTTGGCTCACTCCCTCATCTCCTTCAAGGCTTTGCTCAAAGCTCACCTTCTCCCAGAGTCCTGCTATGACCACCTATTTAATTCTACAACCCGCTCCTCATGCTCACCACACTGCAGTTCCCCCTCCTCCATCCCACCTTTCATTTTTATAGCACTTTTCCCCTTCAAGCATACTATATAATGTACTCATTTATTACATGCATCGTTTATTTTCAGTCCCCTTCTCTAGAAGGTAAACTCCATGAGGGCAGAGGTCTTCAATTGCTTTGTTTACTGATATTTCTCAAACGCAAAGAAGGGTGGTTGGCCCATGGAAGAGCTCAATAATGTCTGTGAATGAATAAATGAATGACCAAGTGGATGGATGGATGGATGGATGGATGGATGGATGGATGCATGGATGGATGAATACCATAATGCAATTTTCTAAGGTCTGGGCCCCCTTCTGGTCTGTACACTATTCACGTTCTACCATAGTTCCAAGGCACACAGGGAGTTTTTAGTTAATATTTGTTGAATATTCATTTCTAACTAATCTTTCAATGACTGAAGACAAGAATGAAGAAATCAATCAGTTGCAGGCACCTTGTGAATGTTGACAGTAGAGTGAAGATTTACCCAGTGGAAAAACTTCACCTTCCACAGCCTGGGAGCCTCTCTGCTGCGGGCACCCTGACTACAGCAGCTGTAACACGGATTTGCCAAGAGGGGTCGCTAAACCCTTATTTTCTTGCCTAGTGCAGAAAACTCAGGCCAGCCAGCACTGCAGACTCAGAGAAGCAGCGGGTGAGAGGAGTATAGAAGAGGCCAGACAAGGAGCAGCCAGTGCGCCATCCGCGCGTGCGTGACCTCAGAAAGGCTGGGAGCAGGCAATTGCATCTCTTTTCTGACCCACTGCAACCGCTGGTGGCTCTTGGGATCTCTTAGTATTTCTGTTTTACAGACAGGACTCAGGGCTCAGAGAGGTTGGGTACCTTGGTCACTGTCACAACCAGAATCTAGTGATAGGATTAGAATCCAGAATTGGCAAATACGACTGTTCCTGCTACCACCCCTTTGGCATCTCTGCTCCAAAAGCAAACAAATTCCAAGTACAACATCTGGCATGGCCTAATTTAGAAGGCCTGTAGGTTCCAAGGTTGGGGAAAGGTGGAGGTAGGCAGTGGGAGATGGGGAAAGGAGGAGAATTCCTCTTCCAGGGACACTGACCCAGCTGCCCTCAGCTCTCCCCATCCCTCCAGATTGCATAACCTTTTCTCCCTTGACTTCAGTTCTCTGGGCTTCTAAGTGGTCACTGGCCTCATACAAACTCACTTTGGAGACAGCAGCCTGGAAGGCACAGAGGTGCAGCCAGTGGGAAGAGACTGCAAAAGGTCCCCAACCCATCAAGGAAACTGTGGTCCAGAGAGAGGTAGAGGAACCTACCTGGCAAGACCCTGGCCCGTCCATGCCAGAACCTGGGAATCTTTTTTTTTTTTTTTTTTTGAGCTGGTGTCTTGCTCTGTCACCCAGGCTGGAGTGCAGTGGGGCGATCTTGACTCACTGCATCCTTTGCCCCCAGGGTTCAAGCGATGCTCCTGCCTCAGCCTCCCAAGTAGCTGGGATTACATGTGTGCACCACCACACATGGGTAATTTTTGTATTTTTTGTAGAGACAGGGTTTTGCCATGTTGGCCAGGCTGGTCTCAAACTCCTGGCCTCAAGTGATCCACCTACCTTGGCCTCCTAAAGTGCTGGGATTGCAGGTGTGCACCACAGCACCTGGCATAGAACCTGGGAATCTGTAATACTGGGCCCTGGGTTCCATATAACGGGCCTCCCAACAATTCAATGAGGAACGTGTCCTTGGCCCCATTTTATAGGTAACAAAACTGAGGCCCAGCGAGGTTCCTCAATCTTGTCCAAGTTCATGCTACTTGCTTGGGCCTGACTGCAGACCTGTCTGAATCCAGGCCCAGAGTATTCTCTTCACAGATTCCTGGGCCACAGTGACAGGACCCTAACAATTCCTTTAGGTCTGGCCTGGTCTCTAGGTTGTATGAGGTGACCTGGAATGGGGATCCTGGGGAGGAGGAAGGTCACCATGTCGGGGTCCTAATGGCTCTTGCCCACTTTCCTCCAGCGGGGGCCGAAGGCCAGTTACCCAGTTGGTTGCTACCTGGTTGCCCCCTGGGGAACAGTCTGGCTCAAACCACTTACATTGCAGGGACTGTTTTTCAAAGGGCACTGAAGTTCTCCCCTTCTCCAGAAAAGTTCCCTGACTGCTCCAGCCCCCTCGGAACTTCAACTATTCTTTTCTTTCTTTCTTTTTTTTTTTTTTTTTTTTTTTTACACAGAGTCTCACTCTATGGCTCAGGCTGGAGTGCAATGGCGTGATCTCGGCTCACTGCAACCTCTACCTTCCAGGTTCAAGCAATTCTCCTGCCTCAGCCACTTCAGTAGCTAGGACTACAGGCATGCAGCACCATGCCTGGCTAATTTTTGTATTTTTAGTAGAGACAAGGTTTCACCATGTTGGCCAGGCTAGTCTCAAACTCCTGGCCTCAAGTGATCCGCCTGCCTCGCCCTCCCAAAGCGCTGAGATTACAGGCCTGAGCCACCGTGCCCTGCCCCTTCAGCTATTCTTTATGGTTCTAATGCCTCCCAGATATTCTCTGGCCTTAGCACTCAGACCCAGACTGTGAAGATCTTGAAGAGAGGAACTAATGCTTTACTCTGCTTCTTTCTCCCTTAAGCCCATGGTGGCTGAGCATACCGTAGATGCCAAGTAGCTGCTTTTTGTTTACTTGTTTACTGTTTACATGGGAAAACAGATCCAAAAACCAGCTCTCTGCTTTCCAGGGAATTTTTAACCACAGTTGAAAATGACATCTGTGTCCTGTTGGACAACAGAGAGGAAGGAATTAGCATTATTCATTCACTCAACAAGTATTTATTGAGCAACTGACATGCTAGACACTGCTCTAGGTGCTGGGAAGAGAGACGGCAACGAGACAGACACAACCCTCTTGCAATTTACCTAAAGCAGGTGACAGAAAATGAGCAACATATATAAATAAGTATAATGTAATTGGGTAAGTGCTGTGAAGAAAACTCAAGTTGGGTAGGATATTGAGAGCAAGAGGGGGTGCTATTTAGGTAGGATAGTTGGGCAAAGACCCACAGGAAGCAAAGGAGGAACCTACATGGATCTCTGGGGGAAGGAAGAATGTTCCAGGCAGAGGGAATGCCAAGTGCAAAGGCCCTGGGATAAGAGAGTGTATTTGCTGTAGTTGAGGAATGGATCTGCAAGATTTCATAAACCTGGATAGCCACTTTAGCTTTTACTATGAGCATGATGGGAAGATAATACAGGTGCTCTAGAGCTACTGTGTGAGTTACTCATTGCCTTGTGGAGCTGGCTAGAGGCCCCTGAACCACTCAGGGTGCCTGGGACTCTGTGAGGTTCATTCCCTGACTTAAAATTCACTTGTTCTCATTGCTAGAATGAAGCACCTGATATGGTTTGGGTATGTCCCCACCCAAATCTCATCTTGAATTGTAGCTCCCACAATTTCCACACTTCATAGGAGGCACCTGGTAGGAGGTAATTGAATCATGGGGATGGGTCTTTCCCATGCTGTTCTCATGATAGTGAATAAGTCTCATGAGATCTGATGGTTTTATAAAGGGGAATTTCCCTGTACAAGCTCTCTCTCTCTCTCTCTTGCTTGCCACCATGTAAGACATATTTTTTGCCTTCCACCATGATTGTGAGGCCTCCTCGGCCATGTGGAACTGTGAGTCCATTAAAACTCTTTTTCTTTATAAATTACTCAGTTTCAGGTATGTCTTTATCAGCAGCATGAAAACAGACTAATAGAGCATCCTTGCTCCTCAAAAGCTAAGGTCTTCATCGGGGTTTCCTGGAGCCCCAGAGCAATATGCTCAGCCAGGGGCCATGTCAAAATCACTGGGAAGCTTTTTTCCAAAAACAAATGCCAAGTCCCACCTGTGCCTCGCTGACCCAGTCTCTGGGGTGAGCTATGGGCTACACACTGCTCATGAAGACCCACAGTCCCAGATGGGGTGTGGGTGGACCCCCACCCTAAATTGTATCTACATGTACATGTGGTGTTAGGGGGATGATAATGACCACAGCTTGCATTAGACGCCCCCAAAGATGGAGAATCATATTCCAGGCAAACCAAATGGGGCTGCCACTGAAATGGCTGCACAATGACAGCCCAAGCCCGGCTGGGCTTGACCCCTCTCCCTCCAGTTCCTTTCCTTCCCACCCACTGCCCCCACCCCCATCCCTTCTGCCAATGTCTTCTTTCTCGGGCTCCTGCATCTCATTACTTTGCTTAGATGTATTTTGATGGCAGTGTCTCCCTTCCTTCCAGCACTTAGGATGCCACCAGCATCCAATACCTCTTCAAATATGAATAAGCTGTTTTCCTTGCCAGAGCTGCGGCTCAGTGAAGTCAGTCTTTTCTGGGCCCTTTCTGTTTACTCTCCCCCCAAACAAGGTCTTCCTGCTTCAGCTGTCAAAGAGGATTTTGTTCCAGTGACCCATTTCTCCCCCTGCCCAGGACTTGGTATCCTGCTTGGGACACAAAGAAAAGGGTTTTGTTTCATTTTCCATTGACACTATCTACCACTGTCACCCACATTTCAAATCCGAGGGGCCCCCTTTAAGAACTCTGGTGCTGTGGGGGAGATCAAATGACCTCAGCCCTGGGCATGCTGGGGGTGAGGAGGCTGGAGACAACAGTGGTGGCCGTGTCAATGGCCTGGTTCCCTGGCTGGGAAGGGGTTGCTATCTGGCTTTGGCAGGCACTGAATTCATCTGCTCATTTTCTGGGCCTGTTTGCCAGGATTCCCTAAGAAGTTCCTTTCTCTTCAAGAGGTATGGTATGGTGTGTTGTGGTCTGATACGGAGTTTTTGTCAAGAGCCCAGGGTTCATGCCGCAAGTTCAAGTCCCAGCTCAGCCACTTACAGACCACGTGGCCAGGCAAACTACGTGGCCATGGGTGAGTTACTAAGCATCTCTGGGCTTCAGTTTCTCCTCTGTGAAGGAAGGTCAGGGAGGAGGGCTGGAGAGGTTATGTGAAATAACAAATATAAATTTGAGCCTCTTCCTTCCAAGTTCCATCCTGCCATCCACCAAACCCGACTGTTCGTCCACCTGACCATTTAAACTTTCATTCTTTCATTATTAACTTTTGTTGAGCCTTACTCCACTGTGCACTCACCAGTCTTCTGAGACTGAGGCTGATACAAGAAACATTTTGGAGGGAGTTCCTGCCGACTCCTCCCACTGTCGCCAGGGAGGCTTGAGCTCTGTAGAGAAGTCTCCACCCGCGTCTCCCTCGGGGGAGCCTCTCAGAGATGATGAGCTGAGAGTTTCTGTGGGACTTTTCCTCCCAGTCATACCACATTTGTGAGTTCCTTCCCACTGGGAAAATTCTTGGCAGGAGGGCTTTTCCTTGATTCTGAAAGGCCCATTCTGACCTACTGGGCTTCTGTTGACCTAGGTCTCCCTCAAACCTGGACCTGCAGAGCTGGTCTTCACCACTTCCCTTCTTCGTAGGAATTCTTGAGCGGGGACAATGCCCACGTATCCGCCCGCTCCCCACTCCAGTCCACTCTGCTATGTTTTCCCAGAGCTAGGAGTGCTTATTTAATGCCTCAAGCCTTCCAGAGAGCAATTTCATCATGCCCCAGCCCCAGGTTATTGGGCGCATTGAGGCACCCCAGACACTGTGCTGAGCACTTGGCAATGTTATTTCATCCTCCTCCCCGCACCCTGCAGCTGCCTGGACCATTGCTGACCCACAGTGAATAATGCCTTCTGGTATTCACGCCCTTGCACATGGACTCTGGATTTGGCCATGTGACGTGCTTCAGTCAGCGAGACATGAACAAGAGCCATGCAAGCAGAGCTTGACAAGTGCAGTGGGTGGTCCAGAAGCCAGTGCCATGCTGCAGAGCAGCTCAGACTGCAGAGTGACGAGAGGACATGTAGAGAGAGACCCTGGAAGGTGAGGCATCTTGCATATCCCAGCCCCAGCAAAGCACCCATTAGATTGCAGCCACATAAGCAACCTTGGCAATGCCATGTGAAGCAGAAGGACCCCTAACTGAGTCCCATTCAGCAACAGAATTGTGAGAAATAATACATTATTGTAGTCTTAAGCCGCTAAGTATGAGGACAGTTTGTCACACAGCAATAGAAATTTGAAATAAAACCCTCAGACCCAGATACTATGATAATCAGTCCCATTTCACCGATGCTGACTCTGAGATTCAGAGAGCTTGAGGGAATTTCCCAAGATTGCCCCTGAGTAAGTGAATGTGGTGGCCGTGAAACATGCACCTTGGATCTCCTGCTGGAGGGAGTTTAATTGACTGACAGCCCCCGCGACTGTCCACCTGCATCCGCCACCATCCACACTAAGGCTGTGTCTTCTCCAGGGCTGCCCCCAGCCAATAAATGAGCACAGCCAAGGTACTAGCACAAGCCTCTTCCTAGGAGACGTGAATTCCTCCATCAGTCTACTTTGGCTCAAAGACTCCCCATCAGCCTGACTCAACCTTTCTTGGAAGTGTGTGGCAGTGCAAGACTCTTCCTACCTCAATCCCCATCCTTCTGTCTTCTCTCCCTGGGTCACACAGTCTGAAGGCCCTCCCACCTCCTCCTGCTCCCTCTCTTTCATCCATTGCAGGTGTTTCCTCCAATAAATATATTGCATTTCTAATCCCACCCAGTGGGAAAGCTAAGATTCAAGCCCATGGAGCCTCTGTCTTGATGCTTTCCTTTGTTTTCCTCGAGACACTTTTCCTCCTAGGAAAAACGAGCATCTTCAAAAATCAATACCATCCAGATCTCAGAAGTTCTAAGGCCACAGGAAAGGAAAACTTCAAAGACAAGAAAAACAAGGTGCAGGAACCTCAGCAGATACCCTGGGGGAGCCGGACTGACATCTGGGTCTTCAGGAACTGATGTGATCCAGGAGCCTCTGCTGGAAGGGATGGCAGGGGGCAGGATGACGTGCGAACGTTTATTCTCTGTCCTGAGCTCTTTACACACATTATCTCATGGAATCCTCCTAACCATTCACAAGCCAAGTAGTACCATTCCCATTTTACGGAGGACATGAGTCTCAAAGAGGTGAAGCAGGCTGCCTTGGGTCACACAGCTAACACAAGGCAGGGCTGAGACTTAAACCCCAATGGAGGGAAACAACAGTCAGGTGCCTTCCAAATCCTGGGTGTAAATCCCTGCCTTTTGTGTGTTCCTGGGAGGCCTTGGGCATGTTGCTTAACCTCTCTGAGTTTCAGTTTCCCCGTGTATAAAACTAGGACCCTCCTTGTCTCTTCCTCCTAAGAGCATTGTAAGCATAGAGAATGAGTCTTGTGTGATCATGTGTTAGATGTGTTAGTCAGACCTTGACTCCCACCCCAGCCTCCAGACCAGCCAGTTTTCCATTACACTGAGTTGTTTCCATCCTATTGACACAAACAAGATAAGAATTTTTTTTTAAACCCAAACTCCAGGCTGATCACAAATTACACAAGAGTTGATGTCCATGTCTGATTCATAATCTGGTGTTGCCTTCGTTTCTATAAAAAAAACAATACATCAACAACAAAAAACCAGATAAATTAGCAAGGGACACACAAAAATTGAAGGCTCCAAGCCAGGATCCAAAAAAAATCCCCTGGATTCTTTCCCCATGAGGGGAGGTTTTCCACAGGGACGCAGTCCTGTGCCTTGGCTCAGAGACTCATGCTGCTTTCTCCTTGAAAAAGCTCCTGGGCTAAAAATAGCCAAGCAGCAGGCGGCCCCTTCTGGGGCTTGGAGAATAGGCGGGGAGGGATGGAGGGGAGGGGGCCTAGGCTTCTGGACGTCTGTGTCCATGAGAAACAGGAGGGAGAGTGGGGCTCTACAATCTGGGGTTTTAGGGAAAGGTGGGGAGAAGGGGCTTTGTAGTGAAGGGGAGAAAGAAATGGGTCAAGACTCCTCAAATTTGTTGAGCCAGAGAATCCTGAGGAATCACTACTAGTGTTCTCAGATTTACTGGGGAGAGAGAAAAGGGCCCAGGGAGAGACAAGTAGACATTGATAGACCAGGAAGAGAGAGGCAGGTCACCACTGTCACTAAGCAAGGAAAACCAGGGGGAGCCCCTTTATACTAAAAAAAAAAAAAAAAAAAAAAAAAAATCAACCAAAGAAACAAGCAAACATAAAATAAAATAAAATAAAATAAAATAAAATAAAATAAAATAAAATAAAATAAAATAAAATAAAAACAAGGCCCAGGGGACCCTGGTTTGACTGTTTGACATGAACCCAAGTCAATGGAGTCACTTCCAAGAACCTCATGTTATACAAAAGTTATCCCCTTGCCCTTTCAGTTCTGTCCCAGGGACCCCTGCTTAGATTCCATTCTTCTTTATCCTAAGTGATCCCTTAGCCAATCCAAGATCACACTGCTCCTCTGGAGGGCCAACTCACCAAGCAATCAGGCAAGGATGTAAGCAGAATCGGGGGCTCTATGGAACTTGGGGTTATGGACTCTTTGAAATTAGAAGGTATCTTCCAGATTATTCATACTCCCTTGTTTAGGCCTCAACATGCAGATGGGGCAGCTGAAGTCCAGAAAGGGTGAGTAGCTTGTCCAAGTCACCCAGCAAGTGTGCCAACTCCCAATCCAGCACCACCTCACTGCATGAGCTGCCAGTGATTCATTCTGACCAGGACTTCATTCATTCAGCAATAATGACTGAGCACCTACTCTGCACCAGGCACTGTTGCAGGTGCATAGGTATCCAACGGTATACAGAGAAAGCCTCTCTGATAAGGTAGCATTTGAGCAAAGGTTACCTGAAGGCAGCAAAGGGTGAGCCATGAGAATATCCAGAACAGTCTAGTCAGGGGCAACAGCAAGGGCAAAGGCCCTGAGGCTTCTCATGTTGAAGGAACAGCAAGAAGCTGGATGGCTGGAGGGGAGTACTCAGAGATGAGGTCAGAGACAGAACAGGAGGGACCTGCAGGCCTCTGGAAGGATCTTGGCTTTCTCCTAGAGAGGCCAGAAGCCTTTGTAGGGTTTTGAAGAAGACTAGATCTAATTTAGCACATAGAAGGATCCCTCTGATTACAGTGTGGAAAAGATGCTGTTGCAGAGGCACAATGGCGGGGCCAGATAGGAGGACATCATAATAGCCCCAGGGCAAGGTGGTGACAGTGTGCTCAGCATGATCACTGCCCGGGAGTGAGAAGTGGTTGGATTCTGGGTGGAGGTCAAGCCTACAGGATCACCACACCCCAGCCCAGCCTGAACACACCTGTTCTAAAGGACACATCCATTCCAAACTTATTCCAAACTTATTGTTTAAGCTAACTCATTTTTCTACTACTTTGTGGCTTACAAAACATTCCTCCTGTATGATTCCACATGACCCTCATCACAAGCCTATGACATATGTGGAGAAGTCATTATTACTCTTATTACCCTTATTTTACAGACAAGGAGACTGAGGCACAGACAAGACTGATGAAACAAGGCTAAGTCCCTTGGGCAAGGCTGCTCTATCACACAATCCAGGATTTGGGTGCAGAAGCTTTGTCTGCTGACCCCTGGGTAAGGGCTCCCTGTGCCACACACTCTGCTCAATGAAGGTGACGCAGGGATGACTAGAGGATGCTGGCAGACCCATGGAGCAGCTGTAATAAATTTGGTTTATGGCTGAGCTGTCCCAACACAGCAGCTACTAGTCACATGTAGCTGTTTAAATTCAAAATGTAAAAATTAATTCTTTAATCATATTAGCCACATTTCAAGTGCTAAATGTGGCTGGTGGCCACCATACAGCACAGCACAGATAGTAAAACATTTCCATTATCAGAGAAAATTCTACTGGACAGTGCTGGTACAAATAACCTTTCCTGCCCACTCCAACTCTAACTCCCAATGTCAGAATTGAGGGCTTGTGGGTAGAATGTGGTGCCATGCCAACTTCCACTACTCTCAGCTTTTGCCCTGACAACATACCACCTGCACCATATCTTACTTATCTTAATAACTGATTTTAGATGGACTCAATTTTTTTTAAGAGATAGGGTCTCACTCTGTCACCCAAGCAGGAGTACGGTGGCATGATCATAGCTTACTGCAGCCTCAAAATCCTAGGCTCAGGCAATCTTCCCTTTAGCCTCCTAAGTAGCTAAGACTATAGGTGCATGCTACCATGCCCAGATAATTTTTTTGAGAAGACTTGTAGAGATAGAGTTTCACTCTGTTGTGCAGACTGGTCTCACACTCCTGGCCTCAAGTAATCCTCCTGCTTTGGCCTCCCAAAGTGCTGGGATTACAGGCATGAGCCGCCACACCCAGCTTAGATCGATTGACTCACTTTTTAAGCTTAAATATCTATTATATATATGCCTTGTCCTAAGCACAAAGTCATGGGTTTGGTGTACAAATTATGCATACACACAAACATGCAGGCAAAGTTGTTGAATGATGATCTATATATTACCTTAAATTATCTCATTATTGGGAAACACTGGTATGGTGGAGAGGCATGGGCTTAGAAATCAGAAAAGGACTTCACCATTTAACCAGTTGTATGCCCTTGGGAACATTTCTTCACCTCCTTTAACCTTCACCAATCTTTAACCCTCAGTGGGGCTGAAAAAGGGGAAAGAAGAAGGAGGGGAAAGGAATTAACATTTGATGAGCACTTACTCTGTGCCAGGCAAAATGCTAGGTTTCACTATAAAGCTCTCTACCTAATTTTCATAGGAACTCAGCTGGTCCTTTATTGGAACATTTACTTTACATATAAGAAAGCTGAGGCTCCAAGATTTAAAAAGCAAAAGCAGAACTGGAAGATTCTATAGGCGGCTATGAAAAGCTCCAATTTATTTCTGGGAATCTAGAAGTCCACATGCATGTTCAGAGGCATGCACATACCCATGAAAGATCTAAGAAGGCCCACATCTCTCTCCTCTGGCTGACCTTGAGCCTCTGCCCAAGGAAGTAAAGGCTAAGGCAGAGTTGTAGACTGTCTGCCAGAGCATTAAAGACATGCCCCAATGAACACAAAATACCTCTTGGCAAAGGCTGAGAAACTTATTGTATCTAGGCGTTTAAGGAAATCTCTGTCCAATCATTAAAAGACCAGTAAGCTAACAAGCAGACTTCAGGGATCACGCATGATAAAGAATATAGACTTTAAAGAATTAGTCGGCTGGGTGCGGTGGCTCACGCCTGTAATCCCAGCACTTTGGGAGGCCAAGGCGGGTGGATCACTTGAGGTTGGGAATTCGAGACCAGCCTGACCAACATGGAGAAACCCGTCTCTACTAAAAATACAAAATTAGCCAGGCGTAGTAGCACATGCCTGTAATTCCAACTACTCGGGAGGCTGAGGCGGGAGAATGGCTTGAACCCAGGAGGCGGAGGTTGCAGTGAGTTGAGATCATACCATTGCACTCCAGCTTGGGCAACAAGAGTGAAACTCCATCTCAAAAAAAAAAAATTAGTCTAGATAAGTCACTAAATAAACAAACAATGACAATAACAAACCCTAGTGAAGGGACAGAATCTGATTTTCAGAGTTGCCACATTATGTTATTTTAGATGTCCATATTTCAATTTAAAAATTACAGGACACACTAAGAAACAGGAAAGTATGGCCTATACATAAGAACAAAAAGCATTCAATTAAAACTATCCCTCAGAATGCCCAGATGTTGGATTTACTAAAGACTTTAAATCAGCTATGATAAATATAGTCAAATAACTAAAAGAAGTCAAGCATAAAGAATTAAAAGAAAGTAATGAGAACAATGTCTCACCAAATAGAGAATATCAATAAAGAGGTAGACCTTTTTTTTAAGGAAGCAAATAGGAATTCTAAGTTAAAAGCACAATAGCTGAACTGAACAGTGTATTAGAGGGGCTCAACAGTAGAATTGAACAGATAAAATAAAGAATCAGAAAACTTGAAGATAGATCAATTGAGATTGTCCAGTCTGTTTAGCAGAAAGAAAAAAGAATAAAGAAAACCAAACAGAGACCTGTGACAAACCATTAAGTATACCAGTATATGCATAATGGGTGTCCAAGAGGACAGACAAGGAGGTAGAAAGAATATTTGAAGAAATAATGGCTGAAAACTGCACAAATTTGATGAAAATATTAATCTGCACACCCAAGAAGCTCAACAAGTTCCACTTAGGATAAATTCAAAGGGTTGCACACCTTGACACACCCTAGTCAAATGGTTAAAAGACAAAGAAAAAGTCTTGAACACAACAAGAGCAAAGTTACTCATGTACAAGAGCCTCTTAATAAGATCAGCAGTTGACTTTTCATCAGAAACTATGGAAAGCAGAAGGCATGGGGATAACATATTCAAAGTGCTGAAAGAAAAAGACTTTGAACATGAATTGTATATCCAGCAAAACTATCTTTCAGAAATGAAGAAGAAATTAAGACATTCCTAGATTTTTTTTGTAACTGAGAGAATTTATCACTAGCAGACCAATCCTATAAGAAATACTAAAGGAGTCATTTAGGCTGTATGAGCTAGCCAGGAACTCAAATCCACATGAATAAATATAGAGTATAAGTAATCACATAGGAAAATATGAAAAACAGTTCAAAGATATGTTTTTGTTTATAACTCTTATTTTACTATCTGATTTAAAAGATAATGGTATAATTCAATAATTACAAAACTGTTACAGTCTTATCATGCATAAGGATGTAAGTTGTATGCCAACAATAGTAGAAAGGAGAGGGACAGCAATGAACAAAGTTATGTTAAAATAAAGTTTTTGTATAGTATACTATTGAAATTAAGTTGATACTAGTACAAACTAGATTGTTTTAAGTTAAGGTATTAATTGTAATTCCCAGGGCAACCACTAAGAAAGTAATTTTTTAAAAAAAGTGAAACAAGAAGCAAGTTAAAATTATATATTTAAAAATATCCATTTAATACAAATAGGGCAGCAATGATAGAATACATAGAGAAAAAGACATAGGACATTTAGAAAACAAATAACAAAATGGCAAGTGTAAACCCTACCTAAACGGTAATTACAATAATGTAAATGGATTAAATACTCCAAGCAAAAGGATAAGACATATCATCCAATTATATGATGTTTATAAGAAATACACTTTAGAATCAAACACATAAACAGATTGAAAGTAAAAGAATAGAATATTTACTATGCAAATGTGCCTAAAAGAGAGCTGGAATTGCTATATGCAAATGTAAGACAAAATAGACTTTAAGACAAAATCATCATTGGAAACAAAGAAGGGCATTTTTAAATAATAAAATGATAAATATATCATAAAAACATAACAATTCTATGCATCTATGCACCCAACAAACAGCCCCAAAATACATGAAGCAAAAAATAACAGAAATGAAGGGAGAAATAGACAATTCAATAATAACAGAAACTTTAATACCTCACTTTCAATAATGAATATAACAACCAGGCAGATCACCAGCAATGGAATAGAACATTTAGACAACATATAAACCAACTAGATCTAATGAACATCTATAGAACTCTCTATCCAACAACAGCAGAATACACATTCTTCTCAAGTGCACATGGAACATTCTCCAGGATAGACCATATGCCAGCCCATAAAACAAGTCTCAATAAATTTAAAAGTATTTTTTTCTGACCACAATTGAATGAAATTGGAAATCAATGTATTAGTTAGGGTTGTCCAGAGAAACAGAAGCAATAGGATGTATACACACACACACACACACACACACACACACACACACACACACAGAGAGAGAGAGAGAGAAAGAGAGAGAGAGATATACATGGGAGAAGATTTATTATGAGGAGCTGGCTTATGCAATTATGGAGGCTGAGAAGTCCCATAATCTGCCATCTGCAAGCTGGAGACCCAGGAAAGCTGGAGGTATAGTTCCAGATTGAGTCCAAAGGCCTGGAAAACAAGGGAGCCAGTGATGTATATCCCAGTCCAAGAGCAGGAGAAACTGATGTGCCAGCTCAAGTAAACAAGCAGGAAGCAAAAAAGTGAATCCCTCCTTCCTCTGCTTTTTGTTCTATTCAGACCATCAGTAGACTGATGATGCCCACCTACACTAGGGAGCACAATCTACTTTATTGAGTCCACTGATTCAAATGCTAATCTCATCCAGAGACACCCTCACGGACACACTGAGAAATAATGTATAATCTGTATACCCATTGCCCCAGTCAAATTGACACACAGAGTTAACCATCACAATAACAACAGAAAATTCAGGAAATCCACACATATGTGGAAATTAAACAACACACTCTTCAATAACCACTGGATTAAATAATAAATTACAGGGGAAAGTAGAAATGATCTGAGATTAATAAAAGTGAAAACACAACATACCAAACTTATGAGAGACCACTAAATTAGTACTTAGAGGAAAATTTATAACTATAAACATTTATATTTTTAAAAAAGAAAGCTCTCAAATAAATAACCTAACTTTCCACCTTCAGAAATTAGAAAATTAAAACCAAACTTCATCCACAGCAAGCCAGAGGAAGGAAATAATAAAAACTGCAGCAGAAATAGAGAATAGAAAAAAAAAAACAGATAAAATCAACAAAACTAAAAGTTGGTTCTTTGAAAAGATAATGAATTGACAAACCTTTAGCTAGACTGACCAAGAAAAAAGAAAGAAAAAATTCGAGTTACAAAAATCAGAAATGAAAGAGGAGGACATGAGTACCAATCATACAGAAATAAAAAGGATCATAAGCGAATACCAGAAACCACATACGCCAAAAGATTAGATAACTTAAATGGAAAAATTTCTAGAAAGACACAAACTACTCAAATTAAATCAAGAAGAAATAGAAGATCTAGGTCGGGTGTGGTGGCTCATGCCTATAATCGCAACACTTTAGGAGGCTGAGGCAGGTGGATTGCTTGAGCCCGGGAGTTCAAGACAAGCCTAGGCAACATGGCAAAACTCTGCCTCTACTAAAAGTATAAAAAAGTAGCTGAGCATGGTGGTGTGCACCTGTAGTCCCAGCTACTTGGGAGGCTGAGGTGGGAGGATCACCTGAGCCCAGAAAGTCTGCAGTGAGCTGCAGTGAGCCATGATGGTGCCACTGCACTCCAGCCTGGCCAACGAGAGTGAGACTCTTTCTCGAAAAAAAAAAAAAAAAAAAAAGAAGAAGAAGAAATAGAAAATCTGAATGGACCTATAATAAATAAAGAGATTGAATTAGTAACCAGAAAACTTCCCATAAAGAAAAGCATAGGCCCAAAATTCTTCACTGGTGAATTCTACTAAACATTTAAAGAAGAATCAACACAAACTCTTCCAAAAACAGAAAAGGAGGGAACACTTTTCAACTCATTTCATAAGGCTTGAATTACCCTGATATCATAGCCAGACAAAGCGATCACAAGAAAACTACAGACCAATACCTCGTATGAATATAGACACAAAAATCCTCAACAAAATACTTGCAAACTTAATGAAGCAACAAATAAAAATAGGATAAAACACCACAACCAAGTGGGATTTATTCCAGGAGCGCAAGATTGTGTTAACATCCAAAAATCAATCAATGTAAGCCAGAGCAATCAGACAAGAAAAGGAAATAAAGTGCACTCAAATGAGTAAAGAGGAAATCAAACTGCCTCTATTCACCAATGATATGATCGTATGCCTAGAAAACCCTAAAGACTCATCCAAAAAGATCATAGATCTGATAAATGAATTCCGTAAAGTTTCAAGATACAAAATCAATGTACACAAATCGGTAGCACTGCTATATACCAACAGCAATCAAGCAGAGAATCAAATCAAGAACTCAACCTGTTTTACATAGCTGCAAAAAAATAAAATACATATGAATATATGTAACCAAGGAGGTAAAAGACCACCACAAGGAAAACTACAAAACACTGCTGAAAGAAATCATAGATGACACAAACAAATGGAAACACATTCCATGATCACAGATGGGTAGAATCAATATTGTGAAAATGACCATACTGCCAAAAGCAGTCTACAAATTCAATGCAATTCCCATCAAAATACCACCATCATTCTTCACAGAACTAGAAAAAACAACCCTAAACTTCATATGAAACCAAAAAAGAGCCCTCATAGCTACAGCAAAACTAAGCAAAAAAAAAAATCTGAAGGCATCACATTACCTGACTTCAAACTATACTATAAAGCTATAGTCACCAACACAGCATGGTACTGGTATAAAAATAGGCACATAAACCAATGGAACAGAAGAGAGAACCCAGAAATAAAGCCAAATACTTACAGCAAATTATCTTCAACAAAGCAAACAAAAACATAAGGTGAGGAAGGGACACCCTATTCAACAAATGGTCCTGGGATCATCAGCAAGCCACATGTAGACAAATGAAACTGGATCCTCATCTGTCACCTTATAAAAAAATCAACTCAAGGTGGATCAAAGACTTAAATCTAAGACCTGAAACCATAAAAATTCTAGAAGGTAGCATTGGAAAAACTCTTCTAGACACTGACTTAGGCAAAGAGTTCATGACCAAGAACCCAAAAGTAAATGCAACAAAAACAAAGATAAATAGATGAGACTTAATTAAACTAAAAAGCTTCTACACAGCAAAAGAAATAATCAGCAGAGTAAACAGAAATCCACAGAGGGGGAGAAAATTTTTGCAAACTATACATCCAACAAGGAACTAATATACAGAAGCTACAAGGAACTCAAACAAATCAGCAAGAAAAAGAACAAATAATCCCATCAAAAAGTGGACAAAGGACATGAATAGACAATTCTCAAAAGAAGATATACAAATGGCCAACAAACATGAAAAATGCTCAACATCACTAATTATCATGGAAATACAAATCAAAACCACAATGCAATACCGCCTAACTCCTGCAAGAATGGCCATAAATAAAAAATCAAAACATAATAGATGTTGGCATGGATGTGGTGAAAAGGGAACACTATTACACTGCTGGTGGGAATGTAAGCTAGTACAACCACTATGGGAAACAGTATGGAGATTCCTTAAAGAACTAAAACTAGAGCTACCATTTGATCCATCAATCCCACTACTGGAGGAAAAGAAGTCATTATATGAAAAAGACACTTGCACACACATGTTTATAGCAGCACAATTCACAATCGTAAAATACGGAACCAGCCTAAATGCCCATCAACCAACAACTAGATAAAGAAAATGTGATACATATACACACACCATGGAATACTACTCAGCCATAAAAAGGAATGAAATAATGGCATTTGCAGCAACCCAGATGTAGTTGGAAACCATCATTCTAAGTGAAGTAACTTAGGAATGAGAAACCAAACATTATATGTTCTCATTTGTAAGTGGGAGCTAAGCTATGAGGACATGAAGGCATAAGAATGATACAATGGACTTTGGGGAGTCAGGGGAAATGGTGGGAGGGGGGTGAGGAATAAAAGACTATGCATGGGTAAAGTGTACACTGCTAGGGTGATGGGTGCACCAAAATCTCAGAAATCACCACTAAAGAACTTATCCATGTAACTAGATACCACCTGTTCCCCCAAAAACTATTGAAATTAAAAAAGAAAAAAAATCAATATAATGTACCATATTAATAGGATAAAGGACAAAAACCATGTGATTATCTTCATAGGCACGGGAAAAACATTTGACAGAATCCAACACTCTTTCATGATAAAAACACACAAAGACACTAGGAATAGATTTCCTCAATCTAATAAAGGACATCTATGAAAAATCCACATTTATCATTCTTAATGGTGAAAGACTTAAAATTCTCCTTGTAATATCAAGAACAATAGAAGGATGTCTGCTCTCACCATTTCTATTCAACATTGTACTGGATAGTCTAGTCAAGACAAGTAAGAAAAAGAAATAAAAGGCATCCAGGCTGTGGAAAAAAAAGGAGTAAAACTATCTCTATTTGTAGATGATATGATCTTATATATAGAAAAGCCTAAGGAAGCTACAAATACACAAACTATACGAGCTAATAAACATGCAACAAGTTGCAGGATACAAGATCAAAATGTACTACAAAGCAACAGTAATCAAGACCATATGGTACTAGAATAAGGGTAGAAATACAGATCAGTGGAATAAAATTGAAAGTCCAGCTGTAAACCTTTACATTTATGGTCAATTGATTTTCAACAAGGGTGCCAAGATAATTCAGTGGGGGCAAAAATAGTTTTTTCCAACAAATAATGCTGAGACAAGTGGATATCCACATGCAAAAGGATGGAATTAGACCCCTACCTTATACCATGTGCAAAAATTAACTCCAGATGGATCAGAGGTCTAAATGTAAGAGTTAAACCAATAAAGCTCTTAGAGAAAAACATAGAAGTAGATTTTCGTGAGCTTGGATTAGGTAATGGTTTCTTAGATATGGCACTGAAAGTACAATTTACAAAAGAAAAATATATTTAAATTGAACTTCATCAACACTAGAAACTTCTGTGCTTCAAGGGACACTATCAAGAAAGTAAAAAGATAACTTTCAAAAGGGAGAAAAGATTTGCAAATCATATATCTGATAAAGGTCTAGTATTTAGAACATATAAAGAAATCTTACAGTTCAGTAATAACAAGACAAATAACCTAATTTTTAAATGGGCAAATGATTGGAATAGAGATTTTTCCAAATAATATATACAAATGTGCCAACAAGCCCATGAAAAATGTTCTCAAAAACCACAATTAGATACTACTTTATACTCACTAGGATGGCTAGAATAAAAATGACAGACAGTAACAAGTGTTGGCAAGGATGTGGAAAAATCAGAACCTTCATACGCTGCTGGTTGGATTGTAAAATGATGCAGCCACTTTGGAAAACAGGCAGTTCTTCTAAAAAGTTAAACACAGAGTTACTATATGACCCAACAATTCCACTGCTAGGTATATACGCAACAGAATTTGAAACATATGTGCAGGCAAACACTTGTACACATATGTTCATAACAATATTATTCATAATAGCCCCAACGTGGAAACAACTTAGTCCATCGACTGATGGATGATTAAACAAAGTGTGATATATCCATACAATGGAAAATGAGTACTGATTCATGCACCAACATGGATGAACCTTGAAAACATACATTAAGTGAGAAAAACCAGCCACAAAAGACCACACATTGTATTACTTCATTCATATGATATGCCTAGAAGAGTCAAATTCATACAGACAGAAAATGAATTAGTGGTTGCCAAGGGCTGGAAACAGAGAGGGGAATGGAGAATTAATGGGTATCAAATTTCTTTTTGGAGTGATGAGAATGTTTTGGAATTAGATAATTGCACAATTTTGTGAATATACCTTAAAATGCTGAATTGTATATTTTAAGGGGTGAATTTTTAATTTTCGTTTTATTTCCTTTTATTTTTAAGAAATGGGGTCTTAGTATGCTGTCCAGGCTGGTCTCAAACTCCTAGCCTCAAGTGATTCTCCTACCTTGGCCTCCCAATGTGCTGAGATTACAGGCATGAAAAAGGTGAATTTTATATGTGAATTATATCTCAGTAAAGCTACTTTATTTTAAAAATGAGTAATTATTACTATTATCATCCTGGACCCAAGTCTAGAAACCCATCTAGAATGGACCCTGAAAGGTCAAGGGTGCTGTTGCCCTCCACCAGGCACAAGGCCAAGGTCTCTCAATCTCTGGCTGCCCAGGTGAAGGGAAGAGGAAGTTGAGCCTGGGCTGTGTCCAAGTCTGCAGGAGAAACTTCTGCCCTGACTGAGCACCAACTATATTGCCTGTAGACTCATGGGTCAGGAGGGTAAGCCTGAGTGGGGCTGGGGCGAGTTGGGGCTCCTGCTATCAGTTCTGTGTCTGCACAGCTGGTGAGAGCAGGCAGAGGTCGAGACCGGCTGGCATAGACCTCCCTGCTGTGAGTTCACATCTCAGTCTGGCTGAGTCGTCTGCCTGGAGTTGTGATGCTCCCTGGGAAGCTCACCCTCTCTCAGATATCTGCATCTTTGGTCTCCTTAAGTACTGCCCAGGTGGCCAAGGGGTCTATCCACTGTGAAGTTCCTTCCCCCACTGGGGCTGGGGGACAGACAGACGCCCAAATACAGGGAGTGGCTCAAGGTCCCTGATGGGTGAGGAAAAGAACTCCAGTCCCCTGGATCCCTGGCTCCTGTGTACTTCACAAAGCATTTTTCCTAAAACAGTTCTCCCAGGAGACGCTGCTGGTTTCCTGGGAGCCATCCAAATTTATGATTTATGGAAAAATCATTACTGCTTGGCAATGGCTCATCTCCAGCCCAATGACAAGCTGCTTACTTCCACCCCTCTCTTCCCAGTGCCCAGTAGCTTCCAGGAACCACTCCACCCAGCCTTTCTCTCTCTCTCTCTCTCCCAGGGTCAGTCATCATAACATGGATCAATGATCAAGCCCAGGGTTACACAATTACTTTACATGTATGATCCACCTGAATGTCCTCCAAAACCCTGTACAGCAGGAGCTCTTATGATGCCCACTTTCAAGGAGTAAACCGAGGCATAGAGAGGTTATGTCAGTTGCCCAGGATCCCAGAAAGCACTGGAGGAAACATCTGAACCTGATGTCTGGCTGCACTCTTCTCATGAACACTTGAGCCATTCAGGAAATGAACAGAGCTGATTGCCCCCAAGCCTGGGAGAACACTAACCCCCATAGGCCAGGTGGACAAATGGGCCACCCAGGGGCTACTCTTGCCTGTTCCTGCAGACCTGGCAGACATCATTCCTCTATGCCAGCACTTTTTTCAGGGCTTTTGCATAAGGCCTTGCAGGTTGTACACAGGGAGTATAGTCACAGAGATCACAATGTGAATGCCCCTGGTGCCCCTGGAGTTGTGCAGTGCACAACCTACACAGCTGTATGTGTGAGCCCTGACTTTTCACCAGGCCTTGCATGGGACATCCTGCTCCCTTCTTCTAACCTAGTGAACTCTGCTCATCTTGCAAGGCCTGGCTCAAATTCTACCTCCTCCTGGAAGCCATCCTGGAACAGCCCAGGCCACCTTGCTGTCCCTTCCTCTGGACCCCCATAGACAAGTCCTTTCCATTGGGTATTGGGTGGCTGCTTCCATATGTGTGCCTGTGTGTATCTGAATGTCCTTGATGAGCTCTAGGAGGGCAGAGGCTGGTTTCAAAGTGACTTGTTTCTCCCACCTCACCTGACAGGGCTCTATAAATACTTGCTCATTGGCAGATCTTCAGATTATGAAACATGAGGCAAAAACTCCAGAAATGAATCAGAGATTCTCAGTGCTGGAGGGGTCTCTATAAGAGATCTATTTTATAAGTAGAGAAACTAAGGCTCTGAGAGGGAAGTTGTTTACCCAAAATCCCAAGGTCAGTGGGACCTCTGACACCATGTCCAGTGGTCTTTCTGTTAACTACCGCAGGCCTGGGTACTCGGCTGCTTCTCCCAAAGAAATGCCATAGCAGCTTTGCCTATGGAGTCCACATACTTGTCTGCTGGATTTCTTGGCAAGTCCCCTATCATGAAGTCCTGTATTTGGGGTATTGGAAAGGGCTTTCAAGGCTTGGTCCAACCACCCTTCAATTCCTGAGGACCACCCACCCTTTTCCCAGAGCTGGACCCCCAACCTGAACAGATACTATCTTTTTCTGGTTCTATTAAACCACCTATTTTTGAGTGATCAAGATACAGGGGCCTTGTTTCCCCAAAAAAACCTCAGGTCAGAGCAGCTCAGGGAGGATTTAGGACCCTTTCCAATCCTGTTGTAGTCTAGCTGAGCATCTCCAGAATATCTGCTCGCCCATTCCCCCTCCCCCAGCTCAGCTAGGACAGAAGCAGATGCTTCCCAAGGGACCTCCGTTGCTGGAATCCAACCACCTCCCAGGCCTGCCCACTGTGACTAAGCCGGCCAGCAATACTGCAGCAGCCACCACCCGGCAACCTGGGGTTTTTCCACTCCAGAAATGCTGCAGGATCTGTGTCCCTGACTGGCCCACCAGAGTAGCAGTTGGCTAAAATTGAGCCACCGGTACCAAAGTCTCATGTTCCTGGGGGCTCCAGGCCTGGCTTTATCAAGGCACAAAAAAGAAAGCCCCTATCAATGCTTGGAGGTCTTCATTGGTTGGAAGAAGTGTTTAGGGATGCTAGGGCCACATAGGAGAAAAAAATAGCAGGCTAGAGTAAGGGTCCCTTTTTCAACCCAAAGAAGAATATTTTTATTGGAGGAAGAATTGGAGCTTCTGCAATATGATCATAAATGACTAAAGGAAACAAAGAAATTAATATAATTTATTACTACATGCCAGGCATTTTCATTTCTTATGTTTCGCTTACTCCTCACAACTAAATTAGAAATTAGTGTGATTGCCCCATTTTACAGATATGAAAACTGAGGCTCAGAAAGCTTAAATACTGGTCCAAGGTCAGAGGACTAGGATTTGAATGCAGATCTATCTGATGACGCAGCCCAGGCTCTTTCTAGTACACCATCCTGCTGGGAATTAGCTCCAATGTTTAAGACAAACCTAGCCGCATTCTTATTGGAGAAGTATTTTTGCATGAGCTGGGTTGAGGATGGGCTTTAGGGTAGAAGCGAAACACCACTAGTCTGGCTCTTAGGAGGCTTTGGTGTGGGTTCTGCTCCCCACTCAAGGAGTAAAGTTGCTTCTTGTCTTGGGCCGGCGTCTTGTCTGCCTCTTTAGTGAAGCAGGAAGGACTCAGAGGTCTATATGATGCCTACACGATGCTAAGCTCCTATTTCTTCTCTCTGGTAGACGGCCCTGTCTCCCACTGGAGGAGAGTGGGTGGGAGGCAATGCAATGTCAGAGGCAAGAGCAGAGGCTTTGCAGCCAGGCCAATCTGAGTGTAAGTCCTGTAAGGATTTGAGCAACGTGCTTAACCCTCCCAGCCTCAGTTTCCCATCCTTAAAATGGGGCTAATCTTATTAGTAGATTTATTGTCTGGTGTATTGCAACCTTATAGTGTATTTGGGTGGAAAGCAGTGATATAATGCATGAATCATGCCTGCCAAAGGACTTGGTATGTAGTCAGCATTCAACACGTGTGCTCAGAAAAAAAGCCATTAGCTGGCCACTGAGTGTTTATGGAGCACCTACTCCATCACCAACTTGGTGAGATTATTTGCCCAGAGCAGTTTGTGCATGCCTGTGATTATGGCAGCTGATTGACAGTGCCATTGGCTCCTGGGTGCCCCTGCATGTGTATCATCACATCCCCGGGAGGAGGGGAGGGGGAAGGCAGTCAGGCCGCCACTGGCCCTGGGTTGAGGATGCTGAGGCCCACGAGATGTCTGTGATTCTTGGGATTGGAGCAGGAGCCCAGGCTCGGAGAGCGCTTTAGAGGCCCAGGCCCATACCTTTTTCTCTCACCAGGTGTCTCTCCACGGTGCCTCTGCTGTACTGCAGGACTCAATCTGGTGGGTCCTTCTCCCCTCCTACTCCTAGGGTCACTCAAATGTAGAGTCCAGACTTTCAGAGTAAGGCCCTGCCAGGGGCTGCCCTAGGGTCACCATCCTCCAAGATGGACCCTACGATCCCCTCTCCTGGTAGTGATACCCTTGTGCAGGCCCCTCCCACACTGTGCCAGGTTGGTCAGTGTGACCAATAGAATATGGTGGAAGTGGTGGTATGTCCCTTCTGAGATTAGGTGATAAAAGACAGTGGCACCTCTCTCTCTCTCTCTCTCTCTCTCTCTCTCTCTCTCTCTCTCTCTGGCTATCTCTCTCTGCCAGCTCATTGCTCTCGGGGAAGCCAGCTGCGATGTCATGATGACCCTCAGGCAGCCTATGGCCCACATGGCAGGGACTGAGGTCTCTGGCTGACAGCCGATGAGGCATCGCCGCCTGCCAAGGGCCACAGAGTGAGCCTGGAAGCCCAGTCCAGTTTTCAGATGACAGCAGCCCCTGCCCGCAGCTGGACCTCAAGGGGCCTCCTGTGAAGCCCTGAGCCAGGATCAGCAGCTCAGCCACTCTTGAAACCCTGGCCTTCAGAAACTGTGAGGCAGTAAGTGAAGTAAGCATTTGTGGTCTTAAGATGTAAGATGCGGTGTGGGGATATATGTTTCACAGCGGTATATAACTGGCACCTGCCCCCAACCCCACTGCTGGCAGCACTCCTGGGGGCCAAACAAAAAGAACCCTTATCTGCTGTTTCCCCTTCAGGAAGGCGCTGTGCTGCTTTGGGCCTCAGTTTCCTCAGCATCACGATTGGTGGCAATGAGGCCTTCTTCTCAAGTTTGAGATGAAGACCAACAGAAATGAGTTCAGAGCCCAGGTGGTTTCTGGGGCAGGAGGGCGCCTCTGCAGGCTGTGAAAACCCATCTGTCTGTTACCAACCCCGAAGCCTCTGTCCGCACAGCCCCAAATGCTACTTTTTACTTTTTACATTCAAGTCTTGCTGCAATCAAGGGTGACCAAGCAGTCCTGTTTTTTTGTTTTTGTTTTTGAATTAAACTAGGTTTGCAGGGTGGTGGTGAGTTGTAGAATCACTATATGCTCACAAAATAAAATGAAACAGCTCAAAAACCTATGAAATACGTAATATATTTTCATACCCTTCACTCCAAATTCTGTCTTACAGAGAAAACCATTATTAAGACGTGCTTGGCCAGGCGTGGTGGCTCGCGCCTGTAATCCCAGCACTTTGGGAGGCCGAGGCGGGTGGATCACCTGAGGTCAGGGGTTCGAGACCAGCCTGGCCAACATGGCAAGCGCCCCCCTCCACCCCCCATCTCTACTAAAAGTACAAAAATTAGCCAGGCATGGTGGTGGGCACCTGTAATCCAGGCTACTTGGGAGTCTGAGGCAGGAGAATCGCTTGAATCCAGGAGGCAGAGGTTGCAGCGAGCCGAGATTGCGCCACTGCACTCCAGCTCCAGCCTGGTGACAGGGCAAGATCTTGTCTCCAAAAAAAAGGAAAAAGAATTGCTTATGTTCTTTTACATACATAAGTTTCCTATGCATAGATAAGCAGATCCATTTATGCCTATTTTTAGCCCAAAAGTATGATAATATACACGCTGTTTTGCACTTTGCTTTTTCAGTGTATCTTGGACTTCTTTCTTTATATGCATATATAGACCTACCTCATTCTCTTTCCTTCAGTCATGTAACCATTATTTCTTGAGCACCTGCCATGTGCTAGACCCTGTTCATATATCACAGATTTAATGAGTATTTACCATGCTCCCGGCACTGGGCTAGCCCAGGGTTTCTCACCCTTGGCACTATTGATATTTAGGACCAGATTATTCTTTGTTGTTGAGAGGAGGTTAACCCAGTAAAGGACACCAAGAAGGAACGTTGTTGAGTTAGGAAGAAAATCAAGGGACTGTAATATGGAAAGAGCCACCTTACAGCTTTCATAACATTTCACCACATGGAGGGACCACAATGTATTAGGCCGTTTCCTTATTGTTGGACTTTAATTGTTCTGACTTTTTTGCTAGCATAAAAAACACTGCAATGAACATCTTTATATGTCTATCTCTGCACACAACTTCAAGTATATCCATGAGATAGATTCTTGGAAGATAATTTGGCACTATGAAGGGTATATGTCTTTAAATGTTTGACAGATATTGCTAAATTGCCCTGAAAAAAGTTAATCAAGGCTGGGTACAGTGGCTCACACCTATAATCCCAGCACGTTGGGTGGCAGAGGCAGGTGGATCACCTGAGGTCAGGAGTTCAAGACCAGCCTGGCCAACATGGTGAAACCCCGTTTCTACGAAAAATACAAAAATTTGCTGGACATGGTGGCGGGCACCTGTAATCCCAGCTACTCAGGAGGCTGAGGCAGGAGAATTGCTTGAACACGGGAGGCGGAGGTTGCAGTGAGCTGAGATCGTGCCATTGCATTCCCGCCTGGGCAAAAAGAGCGAAACTCTATCTCAAAAAAAAAAAAAAGTTAATCAAATTGATATTCCCAAGAAGAGTATATAAGAGAGCCTGTTTCTCCATACCTAGCCAGCATCAGGTCTTTCTGGAAGACTGAGCACAAAGTGGGCATAAATGGGAACCTCTATTGAGAGCCAAACACTAGCCCCACTGACCACAGCAGACCACTTCCTGGGCCATCACCTCCTTGAAGGAGTCCAGAGGATCATCCAGGAGAAGACTTTGGCAGGACGGACAGAAAAAAGGCTAGAAGGGAGGTTCTTCTCTTTCCTCCCACATCCCTCCTAGCATCAGCACATGAGTAATGATTCCCTCACATATGTACTCATTACACAAATACTTAGCAGTATTGGAGCAAGTATTCATTGCACAAATACTTCAAATAAGGCTCTAGGTTGGATGTATTTGTATTTTGATAGGTAATTGAACAGAATCCTCTCTTCCTCTTTTTCCTCTCACCAGGGAATGTTCTTTTAACTTCTCAACCATACACACACACACACGCCCCCACACATACTCAAACACACACCCAGGGTTTATCAGGGTCTCCACCACCCATATGTGAGCTCTGAACAGACCAGTATGTTCTTTCAGATGGACAGTCTTGAAACACTTCAGCATTTTTTTGGTTGGGGAGGAGAAAAACTGACTGCATATGTGCAAAAATTACTGATCTCTTTTTGAGGTTTATAACACCTTTATTCATTTATTCATTCACTGAACAAATATTTATTGAGCACCTCTCACAGATCAGGATAGGGAGACCGAGTAAGTGTCAGAATAGGTCTAACTTATGTGGACGTGTTTACAAAGCATTGGCCAAAATATGTTTCAAACTCCTTCTTCCATGCTTTGTGCTAAGTGCAGGGGACAGAATGATCAGCAAAAACAGACGCAGTCCCTCCACTTAAGGACATTATAATGAAATGGGGAAGGCAACCATTACTTAAACAAGCTCACTAATAAATCCATAGCTAGGACCACGATGAGTGCTGGGGAGAAGTACTGGAGCCAGCCATGGGGGTTTCTGGCCTCACTGGCTGGGGGTTGGGAGGTGGAGGTCAGGGAGGATGTACCTGTTGAGCAGATGTCCAGGTGGGAAATGAAGGTAGCATGGACTGAACAGGTAGCAGGGGAGATGGGAGACATACACAGATCTGAGACACCCTTAGGAACTAAACTCCCAGTGGGGCGAGGAGAGACAGATGTACGCTCTTGGGTTTCTGGCTCATGGTGAAATCTTTTCCAAAGGCTGGAAATATTGGAAGCGCCCCAGGTTACAGGCTCTAAATGCAATGCAATATTTTAACTTATTTGGACTTTTATGTCCCAGCTTTTCCATCATGCAATTTGCCTAACTTGAGTCACCCTCACTGACTAAGTATAGGGGTAACTTACAAGATGTTTACAAATTCTTGCTAAAATAGAGTGCAAATTCCTCAATCCTAGCTCTCACATCAGCAAGACCCGACTCAGTTATACACACTTGTTGCTCCTGCTTCCATTTCTCAATTTTCTTTGCCATTTTCCAGACCAGACAACTTCTCAGGAGGCCCAGGAAAGGGTTTTGAGTTTGGAGAACGAAGTAAATCAGTTGCTTCTAGCTATCAGCACCAGACCATGTACAATTCCATTTCAGAGTTTTGACTACCTGGGATTGGAGACTTCAGGGCACTGCCAGTGGGAAAATGTGAACATAGCAAAACCACTTAGCAGAAAGAGCTCAAGAGAGAGGGGAGATTTTTTTCTTCCATGTTATCCACTTGGGCATGAGAGGGGTCAATTCAAGTTTTGCCAGTCATATAAGTCCCCTCTGAAAAACCTGCATTAACTTGGACCATATGCCCACTTTATTTCAGGGATATTTGTCCCTCTATCTCCAGCACCTAGAGTAATGCCTGTACATAGTAAGTGTTCAGTAAATATTTGTTGCCTATATGAAGGAGACGATTTTTTTTTGAGACAGAGTTTCGCTCTTGTCACCAGGCTGGAGTGCAATGGTGCGATCTCGGCTCACTGCAACCTCCGCCTCCCAGATTCAAGCAATTCTCCTGCCTCAGCCTCCCGAGTAGCTGGGATTACAGGCATGTGCCACCATGCCTGGCTAATTTTGTATTTTTAGTAGAGACGGGGTTTCTCCATGTTGGTCAGGCTGGTCTCAAACTCCTGACCTCAGGTGATCCCCCCACCTTGGCCTCCCAAAATGCTGGGATTACAGGCATGAGCCATTGCACACAGCTGAGAGGTGACGTTTTTATCTCTCATTTAGATGTCAGTCCTCTTAGCCTAGTTCTTCCAACACCAAGCAGTTGTTTTGAGCAGGCATCTCTGGTCTCACATTTACCATCATTAATAAGAGAGAAGACTTTATCCCCAGGAGAAGCAGAGTAAGAAGAGGACTGGGGCTTGGGATGGCAACTTGTCCATTCAGAGTAACAAGGAAGCCTTTTCTATGGGCAGCCAGAGTCCTTTGATTCCAAGATGCACAATTGGTTCTCATTCTATTTGATATTATTTTATTTATTTACTTACTTGAGACAGGGTCCTGCCCTGTCACCCAGGCTAGAGTGCAGTGGTGCGATCACGGCTCACTGCAGCTTCAACCTCCTGGGCTCAAGCGATCCTCCTGACTCAGCCTCCCAAGTAGCTGGGACCACAGGTGCACACCACCATGCCCAGCAAATTTTTTATTTTTAGTAGAGACAGGGTCTCACTATGTCGCCGAGGCTGGTCTCAAACTCCTGGGTTCAAGCCATCCTCCTATCTTGGCCTCTCAAAGTGTTGGGATTATGGGCGTGAGCCACTGCGCCCGGCCCTGAGCACTTTTTATATGCAGCTTTTTCTTCTCCCCAGTTTTGTTTCAGACTCTGTGCTCTCTGGCATTTCTCTTCCAACTCTGCTAATCCTTCTACAAATCCTAGGCTAGGCCCAAGGAACTGACCTGGCAACAGTAGAACCCTCCTGTGTGGGTAGAGAAGGGGAGAAACTGAGTCACAACAAATCCTTTTTAGCAGCTGGGAGAAGCAAAGGCCTGGGAACCCTGATACCGCAATCGCTCCTATCCTGTTCAATAATGGTAGCTTCCATTTATGGAGCACTAGGCATTGTATTAAATTTTGTTTGTTTGTTTTGAGACAGGGTCTCCCGCTGTCACCCAGGCTGGAATGCAGTGCCATGATCACAGCTCACTGCACCCTCGACCTCCCAGACTCAAGTGATTCTCCCACCTCAGCGTCCCGGGTAGCTGGGACCACATTTACATGCCACCATGCCTGGCTAATTTTTTGTATTTTCAGTAGAGACAGGGTCTCGCCATGTTGCCCAGGCTGGTCTCAAACTCCTGGCCTCAGATGATCTGCACACCTTGGCCTCCCAAAGTGCTGGGATCACAGGCTCTGACATTTACCAGTGATATGACCTTGGACCTCAGTTTTCTTATCTGTAAACAGGGTTTAATACAAACACCTACTTCTGAGAGTTGTCAGGAGATGACATTACCTGATGCAGGTGATGTGCTCAGGCAGTGCCTGGCCCTTGGTAGGTGTTCAGCACATGTCACTAGGTGCCTCAGATTGTTTAAAGTGGCAAATCTATGAGACAGGTGTTATCATCGCTGCAGTGAAGAGGAACCTGAGGCCCAAAGAGGCAAAATAACTTGCCCAGGTTGACACAGTTCATATATAGAAAGACTATGCTTCGCGGTCATACAGCCGGTCCCAAGCCATCTTCTTAACCACTATGCTTACTGTCTCTATCAATCCCCTTTTACAGATTAGGAAAATGAGATTTGGATGAGTCCTGTTCACAACGACAGAAGAAGGACAGCCCCTGTGGGGCAGACCAGGTCTCCTGACATTGCTTTTTGCCCTGAGAGCCCTGGGAGGTCCCGGAGAGATAAACTACCCAGTGAGCAGAGACTCCTGCAGTCCAGGCACCAGCCCCGGACCACGCTGCCCACAGCTGATATGTCACCTCTCTTAGCTTTCTGCAATTTGGTCGCATCCCAGGGAAAAACTGTCACATTTTTGCAGTGGTCAGGGCCTCCCCAGCCCCTGCATCACCACCACCACCAAAAGCCATCTCTGAGCATCTGCTTGTGGCCTGGGGCAAGAGGCAGCCTTAGAAGGTGAATCATCCTGGGGAATGAAAATTACTTCTGAGATGCCCTCTGGGCACTGAAGTATTGGCATGTCCAGGTTGATGGGGACAATGACACAGAAGCCTGGATATTGAACTGGAGAATCAGCTGCCACATCCCCACACCAGGCTAGACCAGTGTGCACACTGGAAGAGATGGACCCTGTCTAAAGCAAGAACCCTCTTCCTGCACTCCAGTGCCTGAGCCACCTTGAGGGAGAGCTGCACCCTGTGTGCTGTTTTAGGAGTCGAGACGGGTCTCACTGCACCATCCAAACCACCCCCAACACTGTCTTATAACCAAAGGGATAAAAGTGAGCATGTACAGAGCACCTACTGTGTGCCAGCCCTGAGCTTGGTCATTTCATCCTTCCGTTGTCTCATGTAATCTACACCACAAACCAGCAAGGGCATACATAATCATCCTTATTTTCCAGAGGAGGAGCCTCCCTGAGGCGCTCTGGGGCTCAGAGAAGTTGAGTGCCCAGCCCAAGGTCACACATATAGAGCCTGAGAGGCAGAGGAAAGGTTCAAGTGCTGCCTTTCCTGCTATACTTAGGTGCCTTTGCTTGGACTGACCCAAGGCCTTGTCTCTATGAGACAACAGGGATGTGGTTTGAGGAGCGAGCATCATCCTGGGACAGAGAAGAGGGCTTAGGTGGTTCATCACTGCACAGTGGCCTAGAGGTCTGTTTCTATGGGGGCTCTTGGAGTCCCCCAGCTTTTGCACAGATGCTTCCCAGAAGCAATGGCTTCGGATTCCACATCCAAGTGGGGCCTCTGAACAATCTCGGGCCTTGGGGCTTCTTTCTCGCCCAGGCTCTGGAATGTCTGGCTGGGAAGGGGGCCCGAAGCTGGGGGGCACTTCTGTCTCAAACTGATTTCAAATAAAATTCAGTCCCCAGAGAGTCATCCATCTGAGACAGAAGGAGCCTGTGACATTCCCGGGGCCTCCCTGGGCAGATCTGGCAAAAACCAGAGCAGGCCTGAGGCAGTCTGCCCTGCAGCTCCCTGGCCCTAGGGCCTGCCAGGTGGTACAGACTCTGGCCTTGTATGGGCAAAATTGTCCCGCCAAGCCTAACTTTGGAGTCAGCTTTATCTCTATTTTTGGCCCCCGGGGGTAGTGTTGGTCTCTCCTCTGAGCTCTCATTGGCTCAAACGTCAGCTAGGCCTACGAGGATTCTTGACGCTCGTCTAGGGTCAAGGGCCAGTGGGGAGAGGTTAGCTTGAATGTCCAACCGCGGGGAGGAGAACATCGCTAAAAATAATAACAACAATATCAACAACTAGCTATTACTTCCTGCCAGGCATCATGCTGAAAGCTTTCCACAGATTGTCCCTTTAAGATCTTAAAGAGGTCTGGGTGTGGTAGCTAATGCCTGTATTCCCAGCACTTTGAGAGGCCAAGGCAGGCAGATCACTTGAGGTCAGGAGTTCGAGACCAGCCGGGCCAACATGATGAAACCCCATCTCTACAAAAATACAAAAATTAGCCAGATGTGATGGTGCGTGTCTCTAATCCCAGCTACTCAGGAGGCTGAGGCAGGAGAATCATTTGAACCCAGGAGATGGAGGCTGCAGTAAGCCGAGATTGCACCACTGCACTCCAGCCTGGGTAACAGAGCGAGACTCTGCCTCAAAAAAAAAAAAAAAAAAAAAAAATCTCAAAGAGGTGAGTAGCATCATTATTCCCCCTTAAGCATCTTCCAGAAGTTGGGTACCTTACCCAAAGTCACGCAGTCAGCAAGGAGCTGCAAAGCCATGCACACTGGCTCTCAGCCACTCAAATGAGCTGCATCCAGCTAGCACCCAGAGCTGGAAGGGGCCTCAGTCTACATCCAAGCCAGCTCCTCCATCCCACAAGGAAGCCTGAACCACCTGGGTCCCACTTTGGTGGCAGGTCCAGGCCCAGATCACCCAGACTCCAAGGCCAGAGCTTTGCCCTCCCACCTAGCACCCTGCCCCTAAGGGTCTAGCCAGGCCCTGGCTGCCAGAGGAGGGTCCACACAGTCACCCCTCCTGGGACTGGCCCAGTTCTTTCAGACTGGTCCAGTTCTGGGATCCAGGAGAAGTAGTCTCTACAGAGTAAGGCTGGAACCCTGGAGGTCGCTGGGGTGGCATGGTGGTGGGAGTCTTGAGCCTAGGCCACAGAAAAGATGGGGTGGGGAACACACCCTGCAAACTTGGGCCCTCCCCTGCACTTTGGCCTTTGGGCAGATTCCTTGCATTGCGGATCTTTGGAGTTTACACCTGGGTCCAAATCCAGCTTCTGCCACTTAGCAGCTATTTGACCCTGGAGACAAAATCCTACATGCCTGTAAGCCTTGGTTTCTTCATCTGTAAAGTGGGGATAACAGGTCCGCCATCTCCTCTAGTTGTTGAGAGAGTTAGATGTAGTGTGATAGTGTAATTACCTGCACAGCTTTACCTGGGGGTAGAGGGCGGGGGAGGAGGTTCTGGGAACATGAAACTTTCAGTAGTAAAATCTGGGCACGTCCGGGGAAGCCAGAATGAGTTGGTGTTCCTGTGAGACCTAATATGCAAAGCACGGAGCACAGTGCCTGGCAGAAAACACACCCAATGCCCCAAACCCGCTGTGCATTCAAAATTCACAGCCCACTCCTCAGCTGCACTCCCTCCCTCAGCGCTGCCTCACTGTGAGAGATTTGCCACCCAGAGCCCCTGAGTCGAGGAGCAAAACAAAGCTAGTGCTGCCCTCAGTGCTCCCCTCCCCATAGTGGAACCCCTTTGTCCTCAGAACCCTCCCCTCCCCCACCCAGGCAGGCTGTGTGCCAGCAGCAATTACAGAATCTCATATTCACAGAAGCCTGCACGTGCAGCCCACGATCAGCAGTAATTAGGCAGCTAAAGGAGTTTGAAAGCCCATCAGCCAATCCGGGGAGGGGGTGCTGAATGGGACAATCAGCCTCACCAGGCAGGGGGCTGGGGGCAGGGAAAGAGTGGGACTCTTGTCGAGGGGTGGAGGGACAGCCATTGAAACAGTTCCCCTCACCCCTCTACAGCTGTCGTGTACAATGGCAGGGTGGGGGTGAGCTTGCCGGGACTCGAAAAGCACAGGGCAGACTGGCACGGGGGAGAAGGGGTGGGTGGGCCGGGCTGGGTGTTCTGAAGACAAGGCCAACCTCACCACCACCAGTGGGCCTCCGAAAAACATATCTCCTACAAGTGTCCCAATGGCCTTGGTTAGGAGTGTATCCAGGCAGGTATCCTCTCCCTGCTAGGAAGTTGCATCCCCTCGATGGGAAAGAACTCCTAGAGCAGTGCTTCTCCAACTGTAAAGTGCTAGCAAATCACCAGGTTCTTGCTAAAATGTACATTCTGGTCCCGTGGGACCAGGAAGGGGCCTAGAATTCTGCATTTCCAACCAGCTCCCAGATGCTGTCAATGCTGCTGGTCTTGGACTGCATTTTGAGGAGCAAAGTTCAGTGCATCTCTGAGGATAGGGCGGGCAGATGGAAGGGAAAGACCCTGGAGTCATTTACCCACTACTTGACCTTGGGCAAGCCCCCTCGATTCCTAGGGCCTCATTTTCCCGATAGCCATCCTGCCTGCGGCTGGGGCTGGGCTGAGAATGAAAGGAGAAAACAGCTAGGTACATGCCCTTGAGAGTCGCAGACAGGCTTTTATGGGGAGGGGACCAGAGCTCAGCTCAGCTCAGCTCAGCTTGGCCTTGGAAGCCCTGGGTGCGGGTAGGGAGCAACTGGAGCTCAAATTTTGGAACAGGCTGGTGAGACTCCTTTTCTCACCTCTTGCTCTTGGGGGTCCCTGGGTAGTTTCTTGGTCCCCCAGGGCGGTATGCGGGGGTGAGCAAACACCAAGAACTTGGCCCAGAAAACCCGCTCTGTGTCCTTCCCCAGACTCAAGCTCGTGACTGCCCTTCTGATCTGGGCTCTCTCTACTCCAAGCCTCTGTGCACGTGGTTCTAGATGCCCGGGACACATCCCCCCCCTTCACCTCACTCACTCCTGGGAGCCCCCTGGCCTCAGTTTCCCCCTTCCACATGCAGACTCAGCCCCTCCCCTGACTTCAGGACCAACGGAACAAGAGGCTGCAGGTTGCTAGGCAGTCAGGGTCCCAGATACCTCATTCTGGGCATCTGGGTACCCCTTACCCCAGGATAGGGGTCTGGCTCTGCTCTGCCTGCTCTAGCCACAACCCCAGGAATGCTCACCTCCAAGGCCTGGGGGAACAGCTCCCTGCTACTGGCTGCTGCCAGAGGGTGAGGGCCTGGTGAGGTTCCTCCAAGTGAGGTACCCCCTATCCCTGGGTAACAGGGGCCCCTGGCAGAGCCCAGACCCACAGCCCCCGGGCAGCAGTCAGGTCAGGCTCCTGCACTGCCTCTCCAGGCTGGAAACTGCAGAGTGTGCGAAAAGTCAGAGGGGAATGGGCAGTTACTGTCCAGTGGGGATAGAATTTCGGTTGTATAGGATGAAAAGAGTTTTGGAGATGAATAATGGCAACAGTTGCCCAATGTAATTAATGCATTTTTTTTTTTTTTGAGACAAAGTCTCACTCTGTTGCCCAGACTGGAGTGTAGTGGCGCGATCTCAGCTCACTGCAACCTCCACCTCCTGGGTTCAAGCGATTCACCTGCCTCAGCCTCCCGATTACAGGCATGCACCACCACACCCAGCTAATTTTTGTACTTTTTGTAGAGCTGGAGCTTCACCATGTTGGCCAGGCTGGTCTTGAACTCCTGGCCTCAAGCGACCCACCCACCTCAGCCTCCCAAAGTGCTGGGATTACAGGTGTGAGCCACCATGCCAGGCCTATGAATGCATTTAATGCCACTAAACTGTACATTTAAAAATAGTTAAGATAGTAAACTTTATGTTATGTGCATTTGGCCACAATAAAAAACAATTCAGAGAGAAGAATCTGGCAGTGGCTGCAAACACCATGTCCTCTCTGAGGTGACTTCCGTGACCTGCTTTGGCTTATACTTGGAACATTGTGTTATCATTTTTAACATAATTTTTCTCCTCATTCTTTTTAAAAACCAGCTTCTCCTAATGCAATTACTTTTCTGCAAAATATAATAACATTTTACATTTGTAAATGTTCATTATGAAATATTTCAGATGAACCAAATGGTCTTTACTCATGTCCCCTCACCACGCTTAAGCAATGAAACATCACGAATGCAGCTGCAGCCTCCTTGTGACCCTGCATGATGGTGTCTTCTCCCTCCCTACTCCCAGAAAGTCACCCTCACCATGCCGCATCCAGACCCCTCCAGCCCTGGACAAGGCCATGCAGCCATTCCCGTCAACAGAGCAGCTCCCCTACCCGGTGCCTTGCCAGGGGCTTTTGCTTATTGTCTCATTTAACCTCCACAACAAAAAATCACTCCTAGCTAGGGTAACTATCCCCATTTTACCGGTAAGGATTCTGAGGCTCAGAGAGGTTAAATAGCTCCCCTCAGATCACACAGCATTCAGACCCACAGAAGGCAGATTCACAAACTGCCCTTTTCCAGATGCCAACTAGGGCCTCAAAGTGCCCCTCCCACCCTAGTAAGCTGGTATCTCCCCAGCTACAGCCTCCAGGGTCACTGGAGTTTCCCAAAGCCAGGTCTCTTGGGGAAGTGAGTGGTGAAACCCTGAGTTGGTTGCCAGGGATGACTTTGGCCATCCTGTGTCAAGACGACTTAAAAACATAAGCCAGAGGAAAGTGGTGTGCTCGACCATCAGAGAGAATTTCCCAGCGTAACCTTTCCCTAGAAACCACGCGGGGGGCTTCTTCCAGAAACTTCTTCCAAAGAGTGGGTCATTCCTGGGGGTCCAGATTCACCCCACCCGGGTGCAGGTAGGCCAGCTCGGGGTGGGGCGAGGTGGCATCTGAAGGGGAGAATCCTTCGAGGCCAGGCCCACAGCTCAGGGCAGCATGGGGAGGCGCGCTCTCAAACCCACCCCTTCTCCTGTCCCCCACCAGAATGGCCCTTTCCGGTGGTCTGGGGCCACGTAACACAGGAGGAAGGAGGACCTGTTTCACCTTGGCTCAGGAGCAGGGACAAAGGAGCAAGGGCAAACACTTCCCCCCTCCTTGTCCACAGATGAAAAAAAGCTCAACAAAACCAGGGCTGTAATTCCAAACCTATTTTCCTCTCCCTGGTGGGCTGACTCCAAGGCCCCCTCCCTGAGCCATTAATACTAGGAATGAGCTGTGCTAGCTCTGAGAGGACCTGTCACCAGGGTGCAGCGGGGTGAGGACAGTGAGGAAGTGCAGAGAGAAGAAGCCCTCAGAGCCTTCCAGCCCCTTCAACCACTTTGGGGAGGAAGAAGGAGCCTGTCGGGGAGCCCCACCCTCTACACACACACACACACACACACACACACACACACACACACACACACACACACACAGCCCCTTTACCTCCACTTCCCCCCTGCTCCCACCCCATCCATGAACCCCAGGCAAAGGCTGGCCTCCTTTTCTGTAATTCCTCCTGTCCACCCACATTTAGATTTATAACAGCTCAGAAGGCGAGTGGGCAGGATCTCGTATTTTGCTTGCACAAGGCAGGAATGCATGAATGAATCTCCATTTAACAGATGGACACGCCGAGGCCAGACTCTGCCCCCGACAAGCCAGCTGCAGAGGAGGCACCTGACTCCCGATCTTCTCTATACACAGTCTCACCCCGGAATCTTAGAACGTTTCCCAATTTCAATAATTGTAATACTTCTGCCCTCATTTTTTTTCAAAGTTTGGATGCCTGTTGCTGTTGTCTGCTAACAAAAGACTGAACAGAAATGGCTAGAAAAGACTGATGGAAAAACCTGGAAACAAGCCACCCCCGAGAGATGGGCAGCTTGCTTTGCTCCTGAATGCAAGCAGGACTCTTGCTTGCAATTTCATTTTGCGTACAAATAACGAGTATTGTTCACCACATTTTCCGCTGGTAAAAATTGTTCCCGGTTTCCACCTTGCTTGGTAGTATGTCTGTTTATGTTTCTGTCCTCCCCACAAGACTGCAGGCTTCCGGAGATGAGGGAATTTATTTTATGCATCTCTGTGACTCCCATAGTTAGGACAGGGCCTGGCACAAAACAGGGGCATAGCAAATGCATGAATAACAATAATAATGGCTATCATCTATCGAGGAGGCAGCTTAATGTAAAAGTTATGAGGATGAGCTCCAGAATCACCTTGCCTGGGTTTGAATCCCAGCTCAATTTTCTTAACTTATCGGTGCCTCAGCCTCCTCATCTGTGAAATGGGCTTATAGCATAGTTGTCTCTCAGTACCTGGGGGATTGGCTCCAGGATCCCCTGTGGATACCAAAATTCATTGATGCTCACATCCCTGATATAAAATGGCATACTATTTGTATATACACTATGCACATCCTCCCATATACTTTATTTCTTTATTTATTTTACAATTTTCTTTCTTTCTTTCTTTCTTTCTTTTTTGAGGCAGAATCTCACTCCATCACACAGGCTGGAGTGCAGAGGTATGATCTCAGCACACTGCCACACTGCAACAGGCATTTTTTTTTTTTTTAATAGAGACAGGGGGCTGGGCGCATTCACTATGCACATCCTCCCATATACTTTATTTATTTATTTGTTTGTTTTACAATTTTGTTTTCTTTTCTTTTTTTTTTTTTGAGACAGAGTCTCACTCGGTCACCCAGGCTGGAGTGCAGTGGCATGATCTCAGCACACTGCCACACTGCAACAGGCTTTTTTTTTTTAAAATAGAGACAGGGGGCCAGGTGAGGTGGCTCATGCCTGTAATCCCAGCACTTTGGGAGGCAGAGGCAGGGGATCACCTGAGGTCAGGAGTTCGAAACCAGCCTGGCCAACATGGCGAAACCTTGTCTCTACTAAAAATACAAAAATTAGCTGAGCATGGTGGTGCATGCCTGTAATCCCAGCTACTTGAGAGGCTGAGGCAGGAGAATCGCTTGCACCCGGGAGGCGGAGGTTGCAGTGAGCTGAGATCGTGCCACTGCACTCCAGCCTGGGCAACAGAGCAAGACTCCATCTCAAAATAAAAAAAGAAAGGAAAGAAAAATAGAGGCAGGGTTTCACCATTTTGCTCAGGCTGGTCTCAAACTCTTGGGCTCAAGTGATCCGCCCCCGCTTGGCCTTCCAAAGTGAGGGGATTACAGTCATGATACACCGTGCTTGGCCCCTTCCATATACTTTAAGTCATCTCTAGATTACTTATAACACCTAATACAATGTAAATGCTATGTAAATAATTATTATACTGTATTGGTTTTTTATTTGTATTTTTCATTGTTGTGTTGTTACTCTTTATGATTTATTTTTTTCTGAATATTTTTGATCTGTGGATGTGGAACCCACAGATACTGAGAGCAGATTATACCTACTACATGGGATCAGGAAGGGGATTGAAAGACCGTGGCTGCCAACCTTACCTTGGCCTCCGATTATCCCACCCCCTGATATTCATTCTCTTGTATAATCCTCTCCCCTTGAGTGTGGGCCAGACATAGTAGCTGGCTTCTAACCGACAGAATACAGCAAAGAAGGCGTATCACTTCTGCAGTTAGGTTACTCAGTAGCAGACTCACCCTTGCTAGCTTTGCCGGAGTGTCATGGTGGAGAAACCCATGTGACAAGGAGCTGAGGACCACCTGCAGTCAACAGCCTGCAAGAAACTGAGACCCCAGTCGAAAAACCCTCAGGAACTAAATTCCACCAACACTAGAGTGAGCAGATCCTGCCCTAGTCCAGCCTTCAGATGAAATCCCAGCCCCAGCTGACATG